>NC_000004.12:151648653-151951684 GCF_000001405.40 Homo sapiens | reverse complement strand
GAATGTTCTGAGTATTAAAGCCAAATTAGCTGACAAGTATCATCTCCACTCCACGTGCCGCCTGACATCAAGCAGTGCTAAAAGTTATTAGCAGGGCGTTGTGGCCAAAGAGAGCTCCGTGCTGCTTTCAAGCCCACGTTCATTATTCATTGGCTTGTTCTGCCTGTGCTCTTGCAGGGCAGTTATATTCTCTAGACATGGACAAGGCAAGTGAACATGGGGTCGGAAAATATTCTACTTGAAAGGCAATCCTAGCATAGACAATGATTTACCATCGATGGCTTCTGTGTGAGTCAGTCTTTCTAAAAGAGGAAAGCCTTCTTTAAAAGAAAAAAAAAACCTCCGAAATCTGTCGACATTTCAAAAAAAAACCAGATCTGTCTTTTGGAATTGGATTTAAATTAAGACAAGATGACTCACTCTGCCAATGCTTCATTAAAATAGAGATACCTTAAGGAGGCCAGAAGTTTGGACATTGAGGTTGGATACAAAGTGTTCTTCCATTTCTGGAACTCTGCTCTCCCAAAGACAAAAGAATCTGGCAAAGTCTTATTATTTCTTGCCCAACGGGGTCAGGTTGCCCCTTGGCAACGTGGGCCCATATTCTGATTGACAGGCTGAGTTGACAGTCCGTAGCCAAGGCAATAACCATTTGGTAGGACCATATCAAAGCTAATTATTAAAGTTAATTAACAGGAAGCTTAATTAACTTATTAGCCATCCAACGGTGGAGAAACTGCTAAAGGTCACTTAAGGACTGGGCAGTCCTTTGCTGTTTCATTTTAGGTGAAGGATGAGGCAGAAAAACATTTACCAAGTGAAACAGAACGAAAAGAAAAATTGCTAAAGATCAGAGGCACCATGGTGACCCTCCATTCTGAGTGCCAAACAGCATCCAGCAGACAAATGATAATGATGACAATTTCTGGTAAATTGTGTTAGATATAATGCTTGTCACAGAGGTACAAGCAGGGGAACCATTGTTTCCATGCTATAACTTATCTATTTCTTTCACTTAAAATCTTAGAGGAAGAAACTTATCCACATGAAAACAAATCACTTTTTGGATAAACTACCTGAGAGTTTTGCCAATGCAGAAGATGTGATGCCTGGTGAAATAAAAGCAGATGGTCATCATAGCAGACAATGAGGAAATAGTGATTACCCACTCACCCTTCCTATCTACCCTGGCCCACCCAGCCTGTCATTAGGATTAAGTTCAGCCTTATTTTCTGGATACTTAAAATGAATCTGATTTAGTACATATGCACCAACTGTAGCTTAGTGTCTATTTGACACTGGACAACTTCATGCAAATCCATAGAGGTCATGGTGGCAAGAATATGGGATTGAGAACAAAGGCTTGAGAACCAGACTTAGATTTGACACCAGGGCTGCCACCTGCCAATTCCGTAACTCAGGCAACCCCTGGGCCACTCTGGACTTAACATACAGTGTTGTATGGAATAAAGGCCTCACCTAACAGTTGTAGCACTGTGTAGGAGCTCCATACATTATATTATTGTCTTAAGTGGCCTGTTTAAGTAACGAAATGTAGGAGGGCCATGTATTTATTAATCCTTTATTTAATACATATTTATAGAGCATTTCCTACATACCAGGTCCTGAAGGAGCTCTGAGGTTCTCTAGGATCACCATGGGACCCTGGAGAAGACTGTATCCCTCTGGAACATGGGCACATACCGGGGCCAGTCCACTCTGTCCAGAGTCTGCTTCCACTGTCAACTCTGGTTACCATGGAGGAATGGCTTGCAGATTTTTTTGTCTCAGAACTCCTTTACACTTAAAAATGATCAAGGACCCTGTATTAGTTTTCTTGCTACTGCTGTAACAAATTACCAAAAACTCAGTGGTATGAAGCAATGCAAATTTAGTGCCTTACAATTCTTGAGGTAGGACATCCAAAACCAGTCTCACTGGGCTGAAGCAAATGTGTCAACAGGCCTGGTTCCTTCTGGAAGCTCTGAAGGACATCTGTCCCTTATCTTTTTCAGCTCCTGGAGGCCACCTGCAGTCCTGGGCTCACAATCCCTTCCTCACATCACCACAACCTCTGCTTCTGGCATCACTTCTACTACTTACTCTCATCTCCTGGACCCTCTTAGAGGCACAAGAGCCCCTGTGATTACATCAACCCCATCCAGATCATCCAAGATACTCTCCCCATCCTGAGATCCTTAACTTAATCACATCTGTAAAGTCCCTTTGCCATATCAAGTCACATTTGCAGGTCCTGGAGATTAAGATATAGACAATTTTAGGAGACCATTACTCAGCCTATCACAGACTCCAAAGAGGTTTTGTTTATGTGGCTTATATTTGTCAATGTCTACCATGTTCAAAATTAAAGCTGAGAGATTTAATCATTATGTATTTATTAATTCACTTTAAAATAGCAAGAATACATTTATTATAGGTTAAATAAATAAAATATTTTAATGAAAAATCATTATATTTTCCAAAACAACAACAAAAAGCAGTAAGAGTGGCATTACATCACATTTTTGCAAATCTCTTTAATGTCCAGGTTAACAGAAGACATCTGGATTCTCATATATATTGTGGGTGTATATATATTTTTTGGTTGAAATGCATAAAGAAAATTCAGCCTCACACACAGACACATAATTGGAAAAGGAAGATCATATTTTAATAATCTTTTCAGTACAGTTGTGTATATTCTTCTTTGATACTACACCAAAACTCAATAAGTGACAGTATCTTAAAGATTAGTTGCAGTGTGGAATCTAAAAGCATATTCATCAGCTTTTCATATTCTGTCATAGTAAAATCCATTGGTCTACTTTGAAAGGCTCTTTAATTTGTGCATGAGTTTATAATATCATGTTACAATACTGGTCATTTGGAAAATATTGACTCACTAGGTTATGCAAGTCTTCCATGTATTGACACATTTAATTATATAAAATTTTAAAATTATACTCACTAATATCACCATAAGTTTATTAGAAAAGTCTTTAAGTATTGGGAAACTGTCAACATATTTCCCAAAATTCTAACTTTTGCTTGAAAACTTGTGTGTTATCATTGGCAACACTGTTAGTTGTTCCCCTTGAAGTAACAGGCTCACCTAGTTCATTTTTGAGAAGATGTCTGCCAAATACCGAAATCTAAATAGTCATAATTAGTCAGCAATTCTTTCAAATAAAAGTAGTGATTCATGGGGAAAAAGTGGCTAGTTCAGCTTATAGCTCAAACAATCACACAAGTGATTTTCCTTGAGACAATCATCATAATTTGGTATGCAACATAAAACATTTTTCATTTTGTCACCCAGAATATAAAACAGAGATTCTCAAGAGTTGAGAATTAATAAAATCCATAATTCTTATTGCTTCTTCAAGAGTGTTCTTAAATGGAAATATCTTTGGTATTATAGTGTTTTTTATAATCATTTGTTTTGCTATGAGTTCCTGGCAGTGAGGAATATAATGGCGACTAGTATGATGTATTAGTTTGTTTTCCCACTGATATGAAGAAACACCTGAAACTGGGCAATTTACAAAGGAAAGAGGTTTAACTGACTCACAGTTCTGCATGGCTGAGGAGGCCTCAGGAAACTTATAATCATGGTGGAAGGGAAAGCAAACATGTACTTCTTCACATGGTGGCTAGAGAGAGAAGTTCCAAGCAAAGGGGGAAAAACCCTATATAAATCTATCAGATCTCATGAGAACACACTCACTATCACCAGAACAGCATGGGGGTAACTGTCCTCATGATTCAATTACCTCCCACCAGGTCCCTCCAGCAAAAAGTGGGACTTATGGGAACTACAATTCAAGATGAGATTTGGGTGGGGACACAGCCAAACCATATCATTCCATCCCTGGTCCATCCCAAATCTCATGTCTGCACATTTCAAAACCAATCATGCCTTCCCAACAGTTCCCCAAAGTCTTAACTCATTCCAGCATTAACCCAAAAGTTCAAGTTCAAAGTCTCCTCTGAGACAAGGCAAGTCCCTTCCACCTATGAGCCTATAAAATCAAAAGCAAGTTAGTTACTTCCTGGATACAATGGGGGTACAGGCATTGGGTAAATACACCCATTCCAAATGGAAGAAATTGGCAAAAACAAAGGGGCTACAGGCCCCATGCAATTCCAAAATCCAACGAGGCAGTAATTAAACCTTAAAGCTCTGAAATAATTTCCTTTGATTCCATGTCTCATGTCCAGGTCACACTGATGTGAGAGGTAGGCTCCCACAGCCTTGGGTAGCTCTGCCCTGGTGGTTTTGCAGGGTACAGCTACTCCCTTGCCCCCCCGCCCCAGCTGCTTTCATAAGCTGGTGTTGAGTGTCTGTGGTTTTTCCAGGTGCACTATGCAAGCTGTCAGTGGATCTACTATTCTGGAGTCTGGAGGATGGAGGCCCTCTTCTCACAGCTCCACTAGACAATGCCCCAGTGGTGACTCTGTGTGGGAGTTCCAACTCCACATTTCCCTTCTGCACTGCCCTACCAGAGGGTCTCCATGAGGGCCCCACCCCTGCAGCAAACTTCTGCCTGGACATCCAGGCATTTCCATATATCCTCTGAAATCTAGGTGGAGGTTCTGAAGCCTCATTTCTTGACTTCTGTGCACCCACATGCTCAACACCATGTGGAAGCTGCCAAGGCTTGAGTCTTGCACCCTCTGAAGCCACGGCCCACACTGTATCTTAGCCCCTTTTAGCCATGGCTGGAGTGCCTGGGATGCAGGGCACCAAGTCCCTAGGCTGTACACAGCAGGGGGGCCCTGGGCCTGACCCACAAAACCATTTTTTCCTCCTAGGCCTCCAGGCCTGTGATAGGAGAGGCTGCCATGAAGATCTCTGACATGTCCTGGAGACATTTTCACACTGTCTTGGTGATTAATATTCAGTTCATTACTCATGCGAATTTCTGCAGCTGGCTTGAATTTCTCCCCAGAAAATGGGGTTTTCTTTTCTATCACATCATCAGGCTGCAAAGTTTTAAACTTTTATGCTCTGCTTCCTCTTGAATGCTTTGCCACTTAGAAATTTCTTCCTCCAGATAACCTAATTCATCTCTCTCAAGTTCAAAATTCCACAAATCTCTAGGGCAGGGGCAAAATGCTGCCAGTCGCTTTGCATAGCAAGAGAGACCTTTACTCTCTTTTAGTTCCCAAAAACTTTGAAATCTCCATCTGAGACCACCTCAGCCTGAACTTCATTGTCCATATCACTATCAGCATTTTGGTCAAAGCCATTCAACAAGTCTCTAGGAAGTTCCAAACTTTCCCACATCTTCCTGTGTTCTTATGAGCCCTCCAAACTGTTCCAGCTTCTGCATGTTACCCACTTCCCAAGTTGCTTCCACATTTTTAGGTATCTTTACAGCAGCACCCCACTCTCCAACATATAAATTTATTGAATTAGTTCATGTTCATGCTGCTGTGAAGAAATACCCGAGACTGGGTAATTTATAGAGGAAAGAAGTTTAATTGACACACAGCTCTGCATGGCCGGGGAGGCCTCAGGAAATTTACAATCATGGTGGAAGGGGAAGCAAACATGTCCTTATTCATATGGTGGCAGGAGAGAGATGTGCTGCGCAAAGGGGGAAAAGCCCCACATAAAACCATCAGATCTCATGAGAACTCACTCACTATCACAAGAACAGCATGGGGGTAACTGCCCCTGTGATTCAATTACCTCCCACTGGGTCCCTCCCACAACACATAGGGATTATGGGAACTACAACTCAAAAAGAGATTTGGGTGGGAATACAGCCATACCATTTCATACGGTTTGGTGCCACTACCCTGATTGGTGCTAAGGAGCCAGTAGGCTTACCTACTATTGCATTTGCACCACTGGGGCAAGTGTCAACACATGAATAAGGCAAATATTGTCTTAGTATTATTATGAAAATAGTTTTGACCTCAACAGACTCTCTGAAAGGTCTTGGGAATCCCCAGGAGGTTTACAGATCACACTTTGAGAACTGCTGCCATGGATAAACCAATACCCCAAGAGACATGGACTCAAGTAGAGGTGATCCAGATCCTTTTTAACTGTTAGAGACCACAGAGGCAGCTCCAGATAGCAAACATATTCCTGGAATAGACAAGGTTCTAGTCCTAACTTAAATCCTGTGCAATTATGTTATTTTTTCCATTGCAACCATAGTTCTCCTATCTGAAAGATGGAAATCATATCTTTCCTAACCACTTCAGAATTTTATTATGAGAATAAAACTTCAATTATGTGTGTGAAAATAATTTTTTCTTAACATATTTATTGGGTATAATTGACATTAAATAAATGGCACATATTTAAAGTATGCCTTGATGTTTTGACATGTAGATACTCCTGTGTAATCATCACCACAGTCAATACAATGAACACATCCATCATGCCCGACATTTCCTTTTGTCCCTTTGTAACCTGTTCCTCCTACCCCTATGTTCACTCCCTGATCCCTAGGCAACGATCAAGCTACTTTCTGTTACCATAGATTACTTTGCATTTTCTAGAATTTTATAGAAATAAAATTACGTTGTAGATACTCTTTTTTTTGACTGGCTTTTTCCACTCAACATAATTATTTTGAGATTCATGCACGTTGTCATGTGTAGCAATTGCTCATTCCATTTTATCCCTGAATAGTATTCCAGTGTATGGGTATACTATAGTTTGTTTATCTATTCACCTGTTGAGGGACATTTGGGTTGCTTTTAGCTTTTGGCTATTACAAATAAAGCTGCTTTGAACATTGGTGTACAAATTTTTGTGTGAACATATCTATTCATTTCTCTTGGGTAAATACTTAGGAGTAGAACGGCTAGATCATATAATAGGCATGTGTTTAGTTTTTTAAGAAAGTGCTAAACTGTTTTTCCAAAATGGTTGTCTTATTTTACATTCCTACTGGCAGTGTGTGAGTGTTGCAGTTCCTGCACATCCTCCCCAAGACTTGGTATGGTCAGTCTTTTAAAGTTCAGTCATTCTATTAGGTGTGTAGTATGTGCCAAAGTGATTTGAGGCCAGGCACAGTGGCTCCCAGCACTTTGGGAGGCCGAGGTGGGTGGATCACCTGAGGTCAGGAGTTTGAGACCTGACCAACATGTTCACCAGGCATGTTCACCAGCCTGGCCAACACGGTGAAACCTCTTTTCTACTAAAAATACAAAATTAGCTGGGTGTAGTGACGTGCACCTGTAATCCCAGCTACTCAGGAGGCTGAGGCAGGAGAATTGCTTGAACCTGGGAGGCAGAGGTTGCAGTGAGCCAAGATAGTGCAACTGCTCTCCAGCCTGGGCAAAAAGAGCAAAACTCTGTCTCAAAAAAAAAAAAAAAAGTGATTTGAATGCCAAAAAAATCTCAGGGCATGTGGATTTAGCTTGCATACACTTCCCAATCCTTGGTCAGTATTTTTGTAAATATTTTCCAAAGTTTTTGAGCATTTTTAATTCTTAATAAAGATGGCAAATTCTTCAACAGCAATGATGGGGATTTTAATTTTTTTGATATTTTTTAAAAACACCATTGACTGCCCAATGAGAATATTTTCTTCATATCCTTCCCCCAACAAATTCTCCAAACTACTTCATGTCTATATTTACATCCAGTCAAATAGACATAGCTTTGGAGAATTTTACAAATTAAAAGGCCATTCTGCTAATATGTCCCAATGACATCAGTATTTCTGTTGGTTTTGTCTTCACATCATTAGGCCAGTTCTTATTTTCACTGCAAAGGCAGCTCCAGCAGGAAGATTAGAAACTTGAGGTGACTTGAGGCAAAATGTGTTTGGAATCTTCTTGCAGCTACTTCTTAAATTGAAATAACCTACACAATGCAATTCTTCCCAGAGACATCCTGATTTGCATCCCCAGAATCACACTCAATCTCATGCAAGACAGAGGGCCTGGCTAACTCTGCTAAGGAGGAAAAAAAATAGAACATTAAATAGCAGGGAAGATCAGAACAATTTCTAAAAATAAACACTAATTAGATACACTTTTTAAAAACAATGCTTACTTCCTTGTTTTCCTGTCAATGTTAATTTATCATGTCACTGCCTATTATTAATAAACCCTTTTTATCAGTGTTAACAACTTGATAATTTATAAAATACTTTTAGGTGCATTATCTCAATACCTCTATAAGGAATGCCCATTTTTAGAAATTAACAAAAAATGTAGAAGGAATGCCCATTTTTAAAGATTAATAAAAAATAAAAGATGGGAGTCTTAGAAAAGTTAAGTAGCCTACCCAAGCAGCCCCTATTCGTTTGCTATGGCTGTGTAAAAAATTACCTCAAAGTTAGCCCTACGGTTTGAATGTTTGTTCCCACTAAAACCTCCATTGAAATATAATCCCTAATGTAAAAGGTAGGGCCTTTAAGAGGTGTTTGGGTTATGCCGCTTTGCCTTCATGGGTGGATTAATGAGTTAATGGATTAATGGGTTACCATGAGAGTGGTTCTGTTATAAAAGCCAGGTTGGCTCTCAGTGTGCCGCCCCCACCTCATGTGATGCCATTTACCATGTTATGACACAGCATGTTGCCCTTGCCAGATTCAGCTGCCTGATCTTGAACTTCCTTGCCTCCAAAACTGCTAAATAAACCTCTTTTCAAAAATAAATTATCTAGTCTTGGGTATTTAGTTACAGCAACAGGAAACAGACTAAGACACTTAGCAACTTAAAAGAACACTAATTTATTATATCAAAGTGTCCATCAGTCAGGAATTCAGGCATGAATTAACTGGATTCTCTTCTCTAAAATCAAGGCAGGGGCTGCAACTTCATGTAAGGCTTTGATTTCTCTTCTAAGCTCAGTTGCTTGCTGGAGGAATTCAGTTCCTTGCAGTTGCTGTTTTGTCTTAGAGCTTGAGTTGCAAGTTTTCTTGCTGGCTATCCACTAGGATCACCTCAGCTCCCAGAGACTGTCCTTGAGTCCTAGTCACACGACCTTCTCACAACACAGTAGATTATTTCTTCAAACCTGGCAGGAGACTCTCCAGTCAGCTATGATGGAGTCTTACTTAATGTAAGGTAGTGGGAGTGACTATCCCAGCACCTTTGCCATTTAACAGAAACTAATCAAGGGAGCCACTATCCTATCATATTAATGGGCCCCACACACTCTCAAGGGGAGGAGACTATATAGGGTGTATACACAAGGGAGCAGGAATCTTGGGATCCATCTTAGAATCCTGTCCTTCACAGATCTGCAGATAATAAATTGTAAGGATCAGAATGCAGGTCTAGATGATCCAGCAGTTTTCCACGGGTGTTTAAGAGATGTGTCATCAAGAGGCCTTCAGCACCTATATATCTATCCTTTATCACATCCATTTCCCCTGTAGAGCTCCTTGTCAACATCAGTGAGTCCCCAGTACCCCCAGTAGAGAACACAGTTGGAGCATATTCAGCAGGACCTGGGTCAGGTGACTTGACTTTAGTTTGGACCAGTCTGAGGCGGCTCAGGAAGGTATCCTGAGTGCCAGAAAACAGCACCACTGATGGTGGCACTCTCCCTGGGTGGCCAACAGCATTTTTTCACCCAGTACACAGACAGGGCAGTCGGCTTGTGGCTGCCAATTCCCTTTGAGGAGCCACCATCCTTTGCTTCTTCACTTCACAGTTGTACTAGTCAGTTCTCATGCTGCTAATGAAGACATACCTGAGACTGGATAATTTATAAAGAAAAGAAGTTTAATTGACTCACAGTTCTACATGGCTGGGGAGGCCTCAAATTCATGACAGAAGGTGAATGAGGAGCAAAGTCACATCTTACATGGTGGCAGGCAAGACAGCGTGTGTAGGGGAACTCCCCTTTGTAAAACCATCAGATCTTGTGAGACTTACTCACTATCATGAGAACAGTATGGGAAAGACCCACCCCCATGATTCAATTACCTCCCACCAGGTCCCTCCCATGACACATGGGAATTATGGGAGCTAAAATTCAAGATGAGATTTGGGTGGGGACACAGCCACACCATATCAATAGTCTTCCCAGTGACTTTATTCAGAATATAGCACCACCTTCCCCTCTTTCCCAATTTCCAATCATAGTTTGTTCAGAGGATCTTTTTCCATGTCCAGCAATTCTCAGTCATCTTATGATGTGGTCCCATCACCCGGAATTGTCCTTCCATTGAGGTCATCACTAGCCACCCAACAATATTTGTTCTCTCCTTCCTTGGGCACAAATCTAAAGTATATTTTGCAGCCTTTCTTGCAGTGAGGTTTGGCCACATGGCTAGGTTCTCTGCAATGGAGATGAGGTAATGTGGGCCGCTTCCTGTTCTGGCTCATAAAAACACTCCCCACTTGCTCTTTCATGTTCTTTCCACTTTCTTTGGCTAGCTGCAGATATTGGTGAGGTCTTTGGGGATGAAGAAGCCACAGACAGAAGGAACCTGGGAGAAAAGTTGATCGTCCAACCTGAGCCCCCTCTCAGAATAGCTACATGAGAAATACAGTCTTCTATGGTATTGAGGCATTGCCTGTATGGTCTATTTGTGGCCTCAGCCTAACCTGCACTAACATGTTCAATTGTACTTCTCTACCTCCTAACCCAGTGTTCATCACAAAGTAAGCAACTAGTCAAAGAATGAATCAGTAGATATTTGTCTGAGCATCCTGCTGTATTCTATTCACTTTCTTCTAGCAACTCAATATAATTTCATTATAGCAAACAATAAATGCTCCATTAAAACCTTTAATGTCAGCATTGAATGTTCTGGGTATTGATCATAGATCACCTTGATGTTACATTAGATTTCTTGACCAATTTCATCACCTGTAAGTCATTTTCCTATCTGGGGGCTAAGAACTGCTGTGGCAGGTTGCCAAGCACCCTGGTTTCAACTTGGACTCTTCTGGTTTATAATAATAATAACTATCATTTATCAAATGCATAAAATAGCCAGGCTACATACACACACACACACACACACACACACACACACACACACACACATACTCAAACACACACACACACATTTTTCATCCAAACAACAAAAACCCTGTGATATTGGTATTATTATCATGATGTACATAAGAACCAAGGCTCAGAAGTTGAGGAATTTATGCAGTATCAGGAGGTGGTGAAGCAGGCCTCAGACCCAGGTGCTCTTTCATCTGCCTGTACAGACTTCCTGTCTACTGCTGTCCCCCACTTCAAGGTTTCTCTGCCACTGAGCCATCTGCCTTCTTCACCAGAAGGAGTAACACAGTCACTGCAAGCCCATATGGCACCTTCGTATGAATTAGAACAAGGCACCCCTACATCAAGACACTTTGATGATATCTGCCGGGAATTTGTTGGAACAAATACACAAGTTTTCTATATCCATAATCTATATCTGTATCTTTATCTATATCTATATCTATAATGTACATGGTAGTGCTTCTTAAGTTGTTCAGTGTTCAACCCATACAACTGTGTGGATTTGTCCTGGGGGGGAGAACAGCAAATGGTCATCTAGGTTCTGATGCAGGTTTTAATACAGTTGGTCTATAATGAGGCTACTGGTGCTCAGAAGACTCGTTTTCTATAGGAGTTTGGTGGTTCTATGTCTCCCTATTCTAATAAAAATTAAAAATAAAAAAAACCTGTCACAGATGACTTGAGAAGAAGAAGACTGCTTTATTGTTTTCCCCAGCTTCTATTCCTTTGATTGTGAACTCTACTTAGGAGTAGCTTCCCGGACCATGTAGCTCATTTTACTCCTTCCAGAAATGCTGTGGGGCTCTGAAGTTACGAACCTCAGGCAAGCGTAGAAGGAAGCATGTGCTGTCCCCACTGGCAGAGTCAGCAGCAGCAGAGTGGCAGATGATGCAGCCAAGCCTTCCCTTAATGCTGACCTGGTGACTGCATTGTCCCTTCTTTATTCTGCAAACTGCAAAGAGAAATGAGGGAAAAGGGGTTCATTGGTGTATCTTTAAATGAATCAAACATGTGTTTGTTCACCAAGGCAGTGTATTAAGTGGAGCCTGAGAAGAAAAGAGATGAGATAGTGTTAAAAACTATTAGTTAACAATAATATCTTGTTTCAAATGGCAAGATGGATGTTGAATGTTCCCAACACAAAGAAATGATAAATGTTTGAGATGATAGATATAACAATTACCTCGATCAATATATTACATGTATTAAAATATCACTATGTACCCCATGAATATGTACAATTATTATTTGTCAACTTAAAAAGTAAAATAAAAATAATGTTATAGGAAAAAAAATCCAATATATTAACCAGAGAACTTGAAATGTTTAGGGAGGTATAATTCCCAGCTGCTGCTGCCCATATTCATAATTAGCAGTGTTTCTAGGTTCATAATCTAGAAAATAAAATTGGATGTGGATTTTTCTGCTTTAGGAACATAATTGCTTCAGAGCAGAATGAATTATTAAAGTTAACTTTAAGTCATCTGGAAAGAGGCATTTAGGTTCTGACACCTGGATGAGTACCAGCCACCAGAGGTTACTTAGCCTCTGTGAACCTTGGTTTTCTCATCTGCGTAATGGGAAAGGTAGTACCTACTTCATAGGGTTGTGGTGAAAACTAAGTAAGAAAATTAATATAAACCATTTATCTAAGCCTCTTTCATTTGGCAGGCACCAGTAAGTAGTAGTTATTACTATTAACATAATAATAAAATAATATAAAACTAATATTAAACCCACCTTCCCCAAGGGTGACAAGACATTTCTTCTCTTATGGCATTTAGTAAAGTTTCTCCCAAAACTCGACAATTACACCTGGAAAGAAATCCTGAAGGAATGAACAACTGTAGTGAATAATTAATTCTATAACATGTGATATAAAATTTGTATGCAAAAATCACTACTTGCCACATCCATGCCCTCCAACTCTCCTGGCATGGATTATGGCAGCAATTTTAACAGAATACAGTCTTCTGAACCTGAGAGATAAAGAATAACAAGTCCATCGAAACGAACTACCATGAGGAGGGGGAATTTGGATAAAGACTCTTACTAGTAAATTGTGGCGGTCTCTTTGGACCTGGGATTCAGGTTCTCCCAGCTGCCCGCTCCTATATTTCTGCTGTCTGATCTGGATTTAGACATGGGACTGTGCACTCAGAGAGAAAGAGAACTGGGAAGTCTAGATTTAGCCAGGGAAAGGTGAGGCTGGGCTCAGGTCTGAGTGCATTCTGCATTACCTCTTCTCTACTAGTCCTCAGTAAAAATAAGAGATACAGATTGGAAAGTTTCTGAGTTGATTTTACATTCAAATATGATGCACATGTAGTTATAAAAATGGCTATTTGTTCAGGTAGAGCAGATCTGAAAGAAAAAATGATAGTATGAAATGGAGGAGTAAAAGACACTCCCTATGATGGAACAGCAGTGAGCTTTTAAAGGTCCAGAGCTACCCCAATTTGATTGTAGAGGCTGTGCAGTGTGCAACCTAAACAACTGTACATTATGATCTTGAATGGGTCTGAAATCCCGTTCGTATGCTTACGTCCACAAATGTCAAAGGCACACCTAGTTGTGCTATCTCAAAGGTATCCATGCCTCCCTCCCAGTCTGCTCTGCTCAGATTACAAGGTCCAGCCTAAGGCCCCATGAGGTTGGAAAACTCAGAGGGACTCCTAAGTTTGAGGATCATTCTAGATAGCAGGCAGCACTGGGGACCCTTATAGTATTGTTGTTCCTTTGAGTCCTAGTCTACACAACTTGGCACTCTGGAGGCTGCCAGTTAAGAGCCATAGAAGGCAGAGAGTTGTGTTCTTGGTGAAACAAAGCCCTGGGCCCTGCATGCTCACTCCTCCTGACAGCATGGCCATGGTGGTACCCTGCATTTTTCTCTGTTTAGTAGATGAAATATAGCCTAAAGCCAGAAATGAGAGATGCACACTTGCTAGTGAAAGCTCAGGGCTGATGTCAAGTAGATGTCCTGGCCCAGTATAGAAAAGGGGTGACTCTCTCTATTTTTCAGATAACCTGTGTTTCTCTATAGAGGAGGTGGAGTTGGCAATGCATCACCTGTTGACTGCCTGGAATGACTATGCCCTTGGCCAACAGCAGGCAAAACCGTGGCAAATGTGCCAGCAACACCATGCTACCTGTGGGTGGATGGCCTTCCAGACAGAAAGAAAATTAGGAGCTTTCCTTTCTTCCAGGCTCTGAAGCAGGGCAACAGGGAAAACATATATTATGGTGCCAGCATAAGTAAAAATGTTCCATGTACTTTTTTATACTATACTATTCTATATTATATCATACTGTATTATATTATGTTAATTAATCATATGATATGCCATCTCACCTTTATGTCATATCATATGGTACATGTGACAGGATGACATAATACTCTTTTAAAGGGGAAAAAGTTATCTGAAGCTTGAATAAACCCCTTAGGAAATTCCAATCATGATTTTTTTTGTGTTTGGGTTATTTTCTCTTTGTTTTTGTTTACATGTTGCCTTTGCCTCTTTCTTTGGCAGTCTGATATTGAGGTTAATATTAAAAGTATGCTATGAAGAATCCTACAAAACTGTAAAAGACAAGAAAATGACGGGATGCGTTCTGGGTCAGGCTGAGCTTGTTGTGAAAATGGAGTCCCTGCAAAGTTTGATAACGGGATGATGAAGCAGAGAGATGCAGGGGTTAATGACACTGAAGAGAACTTGAGGAGTGGTGATGGGGTGAGGAAAATGAGAGTGGAGCTGCGCATGGGGAGGGGGGGAAAGGAGGTTGCTAGGCAACTTCCCAGGGGCAGGGGAGAGAAATCCTGAGGGAGGGGGTGCTTTTGGAAGCACTGGGGCTTGCCATGGGTGGCTACCTGTGGTGAGAACAGACAGACCCAAGAGGTGGGTCACCTAGTTGGAAGCCGGCTGTTTGCCCAGAGCTGCTTCCTACAATAATAAACAGTCAGGAGAAGTCAAGGGTATACAGCCCGAGCACTGCGGCAAACCATCTGCGTAGTAGCTGGGGTGCAAAATAAGAACGGAAGCTGTTCATTCTACAGCCCGTGCCCTGAAGGAGATAATGGCATGGCCAGTGGTGCCTAGGGTTGTGGTTTGCAAACGCATTCATTGACTGCCAACTGGGTACCAGGCATTACTTGCTGGGAGGAACAATGGTTAAACCAGACATGATTCTTGTCCATAGCAGCTCTTCATCTAATAGAAGAGAAAGGCCTAAAGACGTGTGCATTGCTAATTAGCTATAGTCATGGGGTATAAAACAAAACCTCATTATTGAGAGTTTGGAGTATGGAGCCAGGTTAAAATCCCAGTCTGCATCACACTAGCTATGTACTCTGGGATAACAGGACCTTGTGGAAGTTACTTCATCTCTCATTTGTAAAACACGAATGATCATAGTACCTATGTCATAGGGTTGCTATGAGAACTAAATGAGTTGACAATGGTAAAGTGCTGAGGATAATCTCTAGCAAATATTAGGTTTGTTCAATAAGTTCTGCATAGGATCTAAATAATCAGGGCTATGAGTGCAGCATTGAATGTGGCATAAGTACCTTTCCACACATCCATACTTTTATAAAGGTGATGCCCAGCTAGGGAACACTTGTGACGCTGGGGCTCACCGGCTTCCCGACTTTTCTATCAAATGGTTCTTTGATTATCCTATTGCATGGTTCACATTGTTGTAAGACACCTTCTCTGGGTGGAGGAAATCGTGTCTTTCAAACTCAGATATACAGCCTAAGGCAGAACTAGGTCTGAAAAGCATAGATATCAGTTTCCTCAGCTCTCCTTCTAGTCTTCTTTTCCTGTCACCTGGAACAGGGAAGAATAAGTGCCTTTCATGGTACATTTCCTTTGCCATCAGTAGGGTCCTGCCCTAGCTCTCTTGTCTGCACAGGGTCCCTTTCCCTTCTCCATCTACAAAACCCTGAAGGCTGCCTGCAATTTTTCCCAGAAATTCATTTAGGTGTTTGGAATGCAGATATCGTTAGCCTTGCATTTCCAACTTTCCTGGCCAGGTAAGCATGTTGCTGTTCAACAAAAATAAATTTAGATCCACAGATCAGCACATGATGTTCTTATTATCCCAGCCCTGCCTCCCTGCAAGGGCCCCCATGATTACTTTATTGGCAGGACCCAGGGCCAGCCAATTGCCACACAGAGAGACAACTCCAATGTCAGCTGTACAAAAGACAGGGTATTTATGGCACAAACTCTTTGCAGAAGAGGTGAAAAATGCACTAAAACAGGAAGAAACATAGTCTTGAAGACCCATTTCTTCTGCCCTGGGATGCCCTCCCCATAGTCCCCAATCTGTCCACAGAGCCATCTGGGGCCATCACTCCAGTGTCCCAATGGCCCAGGTCCATGCAGTCTGCATGCTCATTCTACCCTCAGGATTTGCCATGACAGAGGTAGTTAGCAGACTATTCAAACTTCCAGTTTTCTGTCCCTAGAGAGCCTTTTTTGGTCAATTCAGATAAAGGCTAATATTCAGAGTTCTCTCACTTGATTCCATGTCTGAGGGCATTTGACAGAATGGGCAGAAATTTCTCTTTAAATGCCTGACTCTCACGGTAAACCATAATTTTTGCATTAAGTATGAAGACCTCTTTAGGGAGACAGTAAAACGCTGCAACCCCTCCCTGTGCATAGACTCTCTCCAGGCCCTGCCTTTCATCCTCATCCATCTGGTAAACTGGCCTGGGGCCTACTCATGAGTTGGTTGGACCCTTGACCTCAGGCACACATCCAAAGCAACATGGGCTTAGATGGCTGGTCTGAGTAATGCCGGAGGTGCCATCTGTCCTGCAGGAAGACTATCCTCTGTGTCAGTCCTAAAGCATTGGCTCCATATTTTAATCACAGCTGGTAACCGTCATTTGCCAAAATGAAAGATACCTGAACAGTTAGGAAAGGAAGGCACGTGATTCAGGGGCAACTTTAAATATTAGCTAGAAGTTTCAAGCCACAGGAAGATCTCCTAGAAAAATAGGAATGACAACAACAAAATAATAATAAATAAAATTAGAAAATTGCCCAAGAATAAGGAGTTGCCCAAACACTTAGAAAAACCCAGAAACATTCCCATAACTTGCAGAATAACCTAGCAATGGATTTTGTCAAAAATCAGAGCTACCAAAACGGTTCTGAAAGTCTGCCTCATAGACAATTTGCATTGAGGCCAGCATGTCTCATCTTTCCCCATTCCAGAAAATGCCCAGATTTCTCCTAGAGAAATCGGAAACTCTAATATTTCTAGCAATATTCGCATGTCATGGAGGGGAAGTGACTACCCCCAGAAATAATACAACTGCTTACCCACTCCATGAAGTGAAAGATTTGAAAGACATTTCTCTGTTCCAAAGGCCTGTGGGCAGAATTAAAAGTAATTGCCAGAAAAGCCAGTTTCAAAACAGTCTCTACACTTGCATTTATTGAATGAGCTTATTGGATATCTTGGTTGCAAGCAGGAAGCAACCTGCTGACCTGAGCTCCCTGTGGCCCTGGTCCTCTCCACTCTGAAAACATCCAGGCAGATCTTACAACTCCTCCAGTCACACCCAGATACCAACTCTAGGCCAGACCAATGCAATCTCTTGCCTGTATTTCAACTTTTGATTTCTATTGTATTTATTTAATGTTCCCTCCTTCCCCCCAGCTTGGGCCTGCTGTAGTTTGGGAAACTTGTTGGAGCAGGGCTGGGGGAAGAAGGAGGAGCCTGGAACATCGCAGTGAGGAGGAAACCCCCTTTCTCCCTAACTTCCCCTCCAACTCACAGGGTCTAGTTCAAGGCCCTCAGGCTTAAGCCCAGGGCAGAAAGGATTAGAGGGGAAAATTGGAAAGACCTGTATGGGTGTAATCTAGTGCTGATGCTCCCTGGACATAGACTTGTATAGTACAGGTGGGGGTTTTAAAGCACAGGGTAGTATGTAACTTGCCCAGTTAGAAAGTGGCAGAGCATGGCCGGGCGCAATGGCTTATGCCTGTAATCCCAGCACTGGCAGCAAATCCACTACTCTGGAGGCTGAGGCATGAGAATCATTTGAACCTGGGAGGCGGAGGTTGCAGGGAGCCTAGATGGCGCCATCGCACTCCAGACTGGGCGGCAGAGTGAGACCTATCTCAAACAAAACAAAACAAAAAAGCAATAAAAAAAAGTGGCAGAGCATGGATTCTGGAGCCAACAGCAAGGAGATTCTATTCCCCTTAATTTGAGCAATGTTGCCTCTTATGACATCCTCAGCACCAGGCAGTCCCCGACTCCGTCCCCCACACTTCTGCTGCGGCACACTGCCATCCAGGGGTCACCTTGGCCAGAGTCCCTCAAGATGACTGGCAGTCAGATATCTTCGGTGTGGTCAACACTGGTGCTCAGGAAGCACGACTCTGAGTGGTGAGCTCTTCGCCAAGCAGCCTTCTTTCCACTCTGCCACTGGCCAACTGCCCAGCCAGTCTCTAGCTTTTGATTTTCAGACATGCCTGAGGAGCCAGAACCTGCCTGGAGACTCCAAATGTTCAGGGACTCATGTCAGCCCCCTGAGAGGTACCTGAAGCCATCTTCACTCGGCTTTAGGTGAGGGAAGCTCCCAGCACCCTAACAACTCGTTCAAAAGAAATCCTCTCCTTCTGATTTTTGTATCTTTAAGGATTTCTTATATACCCCAAGGTGGGCCATAAGCTCAGGGTTGCAAAATCAGCTTCACGATCCCTTGACATTTCTTCTATGGGTGATTGGACATCTCCTGTTCTCAGACTTTGAGTCCTTGGCCAAAACTCAAAACTTAAAAAGAACAAAATAAAAGCTACATTTGACATCCTGTTATACATGGTAGAGGCAAGGCTCTCCAAAACATAGTACATATACATGTTAGGAGTAATACTCTTTAAAACAAAACTCTGTCTCCCAGGTTCTTCTTTCTACACACACACACACACACACACACACACACACACACGCACGCACACACACAAGAAACAGCAGGGAGGGAAGGAGAGAGAGAATAAAGAAGAAAGAAAGAGAGTGAGGAAGAAAGAAGGAAAGAGAAAAAGGAAATGAAAAAACGGAGACAACAGAGAGAGGAGATACAATAAAGGAAAGGAGGGAAGGAGAGAGGAAGAAGGACAGAGAGAAAGAGAGAAAGTAAAAGAATGAAAAAAGAAAGATTCTAAGGAGAGAGAGAGAGACCATGTGCTCACGCAGACTGGGCATTGGCATCACAGGTGTAACTAACATGACACGAAGCCTCTTTGTGTATCATATATAACAGTTTATGAGGCTCTTTGTGGAATCTCCTAATAACAGCCTTTTTAAAAAGGTATTATTGGCCAGGTGCGGTGGGTGGCTCACACCTGTAATCCCAGCACTTTGGGAGGTTGAGGCAGGTGGATCACTTGAGGTCAGGAGTTCGAGGCCAGCCTGGCCAACATGGCAAAACCCCATCTCTACTAAAAATATAAAAATTAGCTGGGCTTGATGGTGCACGTCTGTAATCCCAACTACTTGGGAGGCTGAGGCAGGAGAATCTCTTGAACCCAGAACGCGGAGATTGCAGTGAGCTGAGATGGCGCCATTGCACTCCAGCCTAGGCAACAGAGTGAGACTGTCACAAAAAAAAACAAAAACAAAACAAAACAAAGGTAAGGTAAGGTTTTCCTTTTAATGCTAAGCAGCCCCCAAATCATTTTCTTTTGTGACAAAGAACAGCCTGTAAAATCAAGCTGCAGACATAGAAAGGCAAGCTAGAAGCTTGCACAGGTGAATACCAGCAGCTGTGCCAATAATAAGGGGCTACCTGGGGACTAGGTATGTTAAAAATGGCAGCTACATCTTCCATTTTCTTTGTCAACCATGTGTACAGTAAGGAGCAGGCAACATGGCACCTGCCAGGCAAAGACTTCATTTGCATAACAGAAGATTAGGGTGGGGCAGCCAGCTTCCTTGCGTGCTATGTAAACACCTGGTCCAACCAATCTTTGGGCCCTATGTAAATCAGACACCACCTCCTCAAGCCAGTCTATAAAATCTTGTGCACTTGGCAGTGGGCCAGAAGTCCCACTCAGGCATCCCTCTCTCGCAGGAGAGAGAGCTATTCTCCTTTCTCTTTCTTTTGCCTATTAAACTTCTACTCCTAAACCTACTTCTTGTGTGTCGTGTACTTGATTTCCTTGGTGTGAGACAACGAACCTCGGGTATTTATCCCAGACAACAACGCCGCTTCAGTGAGTCCAATCATTGGGAGTGTTGAGATGAATGTTGGGTGATCACCTGCCAGGTGTACCAAACCTCACTGCCTAGTCACCTGGGAAGCTTGTTAAAATACCACTCCACCACCACTACCACCACCACCATCACCATGGCTGCCCCAGAACTACTGAATCAGAATCTCCAGGGGTGGCAATTAAACATCCATATTTTTTCAACTCCCCAGGTAATTCTGAGGCAGCCCATGTTTGGGATTCACTGCTGTAAAATTAGATACAATTATCTCTACAGTTCCTTCTAATTCTAAGTTTCTATCATTCAATGCACACTCTGGACGTTTAAAATCATCCTTTGTGTCCATACAAAGTTTCTGAGGCAGAATTTCTTCTTCCCAGAGAAGAGGTCCTGAGAAAATTCTTCGAAGTATGGGGACCTCGAGGTCCTGATTCCAAACAGCAACAAACATGTGCTCTAAGATTAGCCTTTCTGAACGATATTTCTCCCTGAAGACTTGTCTGTTTCCTCAGTGAAGCTATCCAAGCTTCCTAACCTCCCTCCAAGGCCACAGAGACCTCTTCTCCCTCCTCCAAACTCTGACCAGCAATCTGTGTCCTTTTTTCAGAGGAAGGGGGAAGCAGAGGGCACTTCTCACATGCTCTCTGGCATCAGCTGTTGGGGGATTCAATAGGCCTGGTTAATAATGCCAGGCATTGCCAGCAAGTCACAAACTAATTGAGAAATAAGACAAAAGAATAGGGCATGTGGAGACCAAAATAACATCTTCATTGTTGATAAATGTGCTATTAGACTAGCAGAATTCACAGCCTAGTCACCCTGTCACAGGCAGCACTGGGGACAGCTCTTCCCTGGGGCACAGATCCCCGCCCTTGCCAATGATCACAGAGGAGAGAGCAAAGCAAGCACTTCTTGTGGGCAGCCTGGCTCCTAACAGGAAGGGGAAGGAAGGGAGCGTGGTTCTGTGTGCCCTGTTCCTCTTCATGGCTCTCCAGTTAAAACATCACACTCCTCCTTTCTGGGGACAGCTGGATGGAGAATGGCCAGCTGAGTCACACAGGTGAACCCCCTCTACCTAGGACAAGCTCCCCAGAGCAGGAAGGAGGCTTCCTGCCTCCCCCAACACTTTCTTATTCTTTTCTATGTGCCTTGGGTCTTTGATGGGATGATAAACCAACGGAATGCAGGGATTCTGTATTATCTTCTGTCGATGTTTTCTCCAAAGTGCCTGGCACTGTGCTGGGCAAATTATAGAAGTTCAAAAAATATGTTTGTTTGTTTTCGAAAAATAAAGGGCAAAAAAAAAAAAAAAAAAACACAGAAGCAAGGAAATGACAGAAGGGACAGAGAGGGGAGGAAGAAATGGGATTGGGGGATGTTGTGATGATTATTTATAAGCTTATCTTAAAAATAAGGGAAGCATGAGGGGTTGGGGATTTGACTCTGAAAGCAGATGGCCTGAGTTCAAATCCTGCCTCAGCCCTTTACTTGCTGTATTGCTCTGGACAAGTTGCCTAAGTTCTCTTTCATCTGTACCTACCCAAGTGGGTTGTTGTGAGCATTAAATGGGATTTGGCTCATCAAGGGGTTAGAATACCAGTTGATGAACTGTGACTTTCAGGTTATTCTGACCTGATGCCTGTTTTTGTAAATAAAGTTTTATTGGAACCCAGACACATCCGTTCATTAATGTATTGTCTACAGTGGCTTTTGCAACTACTCTAGTAGTTGAAACAGAGATTTTATGACCTGCAAAGCCTGAAATATTTACTATCTGGCTCTTTAGAGAAAAAGTTTGCATATTGACTCCTGGCTTAGAACACAAAGCCCCATTCTTTCACCCTGTGAAGTAGAAGACTGAGTACATATGTCACTCTCTTTAAAGCAGTGCTTGATTCTTGCAGTTAGACATTGGTACTCCCTTCCCACTGTCATTCTATGGCACCTCAGACTCCTTCTACGGCACTTTTCACATGGCATTGTCTAGAGATTCTCCAGTCTGGGATTGTGTCATATTCACTGCTCCAGCATAGTGCCTTAGACAAAATTGATACCCAGTAAATGCTTGCTCAATATTCACTGGTAATACACACATGCACAATAAAAACCCTCTAAAAGGAATAACTATAAACCTGCAAAGTGACAAAGGCTAGAGTTCTGAGCAAGCCTCTCTGGACTTTTCACTATTGTTCCATCAGGTAGGTTTTCATGTCCTTCTTTCTGCCTCTTTATTTCTGTCTTCTTGCTTCTCAACGTCTGGCCATGGTGGTGGTGGTGCTTGAGTGGCAACAGTCCTGCGCTCACTGATGAGCCTGCAGTCTACAACTGGCATTCCTTTCCATGTCTTGCAGGGCCATCAGCCTTCCCTTCAATGCTTGGAAGTTCATGTCAAGACATTTTGGCCAGGCGCGCATCAGTCCTTGGGCAGATGCTCCTAGTGGGAGGTGAGGAATGCTCCCACCTGAGTCTCTCCCACCTTGCGTTCCACAGCAGGTGTGCCAGGGGCATTCTAATCATGCTTCCTGTGGACTTGCATCTGCTTCTGGTTTTCAGAGCTTCTGGTCATTTTCACTACAAAATATTAGGCTCTATTTATCTGTCACATCACCAAAGCTAGTCCTGGATATTTCTGACCAGGAAATATTTGAGCTGTGTTGTAAACAAGACAATGACCATGGGCACCTCCCTGATCCTCATCCTCTTCCTCAGTAAAACAAGAGGAAATGGTCACAAGCCTCTCTGATTCTAACATCAATGGCATCTATGAGGTCACATGAACCTTCAGTGCTAGCAATGTCTTTAAATGGGATTAGCAGCTGGCTTGAGCACTGACCCATTTGAGGGGCTGGTTGCTGACCCCACACTCCTCAAGTCCTCTGTCTGCAGGATACTAGGATGCTGACCTTTCATCATTCCACTGACGTTATGTGGCCTAAAATCCTCAGCCTGAAGGTAAAATTCCTTAAAAAGCTCTGAGCTTTCCAAAGGTTCTTTGGGGTTCAAAGGTGAAGTCAATGTTTGCCTCCAAGTAAGAATTCATTAGCTGCTATTGCCAATCAGAGCTGTTTTCTCTGAGCAGAAACGAGCTCCTTGGAACTTTGCAGGTCTCTAGGTCAACAGCTTAACATGCAGGATGTGCAAACGCCTGTGGTCTCATCCACCAGAACTTGCAGGTACACATAGCTTCCTCGCCCGACTCCGCAGCTTGGCTTCCCATCAGAAAACAGCTGAAAAGTACCTGCCATATCTTGCTAGTGAGACCCAGGTCCCATCAGACATCAGATTGCAATCTAAGATGGAGCTAGAAGCTTGAATATCTCTCCTGGGTGTTCTGACACACTCATTCTCCAGCTTGACTTAAAAAGAAGAGCTTTTTTCTCCCCTTATGGCATTTTTATTCTCATAGGAATCAGTAAGTAGAAACCTATTTGTAAAGTAATGGGTAAAATGATTACTGGGGTTTTTTAAATGCTCTTTCTGATGTTTCCATTTTTATTTAACTCAACAGTGGCAGATATACTGACAGCCACACTTATTCATGATCCAGAGAAATCTTTGCTTAATACTGTATTAAGCACTATTGAGAAGGAACACCCCTCGGATGGCTTTCTCCAGGTGTTCAGGACCTTCGCTATCCTCCCTCCACAGGGGCTGACAATACTTCAGCAAAGTTGGCTGTTGAGGATGGAATTTCATTTTGGGCAGAGCAATGTCTCAGGATAGGCTTGGGAGTCTGCCTTCCTTAGATAAATGGGCCTAAAGATGGCAAGATCATCTTCCCAGCATTGACTGCCACAGCACATATGTTAGGAACAGACTTTATTCTGACTGGGGAAAGGCCACTGAATGAGCCCTTTTTAATTAAAACCCCTGAACCTTCCTCATTAAGACTTTTGGCACACGCTGACAGTGGAATTTTTCCTGCATGGTCCTTTTGGGAGCTACCTAGATGACTTTCGCAGAGAAATGACATATAATAACATTTAGGATTATTATTATCGGGCTAGGTTCTCATCCTGTGTAACTCTCCAGGAATTCTAGCACTCAGACTTGCTTGTTATAAATACTACACCCTTCAACTTCCTCCAAGTGCACAGGAGACGAGGTGGTGGAGGGCTGTGTGGGGGTTAGGAGATGGTGTTGTTTGGAAGATCCATTAATCAAAGTCAGCTTGAAAGTCATCCTGCACATGATTAAATCAGTTATAAAAAATTATTCCCTTATTTCAGGTAACTGATTCATTCCCCCACATTTCCAGGGATGTAAGTAGCAGGCAGGTTTCATACCCATCTCAGGAATGGAAAGCAGATTGAATTGGCCCAGTGGGTGATGAGGTTATAGAACAAATGACACTGATTTGGCCCCAGAGCAAGGAACCAGGACCCATCAAAGCAGGGCCATGTCTCTAGCAAGATAAGACACTTTTGGGAGACAGAAGATAGGGATGGGAGACTATTCCCAAAATTTAAGAGAAAAGCTTCTATTTAGGAATGCTGGTACCAGATCCAAGCTGACCACTGATTCGCTTAGCCAATACGTGAGTCTGTACCACGAGCCAGGTACTGTCCCCTGTACTGGTCTAGGGTGGTAAAGAGGACAGACAAAGTCCTTGCTCTCTGGAAGCTCAAATTCTAAGGTCGGGGGTGGGGGAAACAGATAAATAAGCAAATAAGCGACCATACGAACAAAGATGAATTTATCAAGATAAATTCAGATGAATTTAAAAATGATACAAAGTCAACAAAACAAAGAACAATGATGGAAAGTGACGGGGAAGGGTAAGCCATGGGAGCCTGGGCAATGCAGACAGAAAGAGCAGGGAAGGCTTCTCGAAGGAAGGTGCATTTGAGCTGAGATCCAACGGGTGAGAAGGAGCTAGGCGTGTGGTGACATGACTTCAGAGCTTTCTAGGCAGAAGGAACAGCAAGTGCAAATACCCCAGGGCAAGAGCAGGCTTGGCATTTTCCAGGAGCAGAAAGAAGAGAGGTCCTTGTGCCACCCCATGAGCAAAGGAAAGAGTGGCAAGAGGACATAGGGAGAGGCCAGATGCCCTTGGCGGCCATCATGAAATGTTTAGACTTCATTGTGCAAGCATGGGCAGCCATTAGGGAGTGTGGAAAAGACTACTAGTTGTCTCCCCCTGCCCCCACCCATCCAGTCTCTCCTTTTTTTCAGTCCTAGAATGTTTGAGTTTTAGCCAGCAAATGCCCACATGATTAGAAGGTCCATTTTCCAGTCTTTTTTGCATATATGTGTGGCCATAGGATTAAGCTCCTGTCAACAAGACATGTGCAGAAGTGATGTATGCCGCTTCTGGACCTAGTTCTTAAAATGTTTGAGCATGTGCCCTCCCTCCACTTTCTCTTTTCCTCATCTCAGCGGTTGGTGTGTGCATCTGGCTAGAGAGCCAGCTTTGACTTTGGAGAGTGTAGGGTAGCACCTTATGATATGGTGAGCACCAAGATAGAAGGACTCTGGGTCCCTTCATGGCTGTCCATAACTTGGCCACCTGCCTGCCCTGAACCATCTGCCTTCCTTTGCTTGAGCAGTTGCATTTTGGGTTTCTTTGTTATATCAACTCAGCCTGCATTCTAACTAATACAGGATGTTTCAGGTAGGAAGGTGACATGATCTAATTTACATTTCAAATAGATCAATCTAGCTGCCATGTAGATAATGTATTGGGAGAGGAGAGAGAACAAACTGGATACAGGGAGGCCAGAGGCCACCTCAGAAGCCATTGCAGTAATCCAGACTAAAGGCACTGATGGCTTAGGGTAGCCACTCTGCAAATAAAGAGAAGTGAATCAACTTGGGATCTATTTTGGAAGTAGAACCAAAAAGATTTGAGGAGGGATTGGATGATTGGGAGAGAGGTTGAGAAAAGAATAATTAAGGTAACTCCTAGTTTGGGATCCTTTGGTGATTTCCCCAGATATCTAGATGGGATCTGAAGATAACAGGAGGTGGACCCCATGGAAGGAGGTTGGGACATCTCTGACATAAGAAACTACCCAGGAGATAGCAAACTCAGAGATGATGCATACCCCAATTGTCAGTCTAATAGTCTTTTGTATAGACACAGACTTCATGCCCCACATTTGAGTTGAAAATACTTAAGATTCTTTTAGTTGCATGTAACAGAAACCAATTCTGGCTAGTTTAAGACATAATAATTTACTGGAAGGATTGACACAGCTCCTAGAACCCAAGTATAGCCAGATCTTTAAAAAGGACTAGAACTGAGGAGTAGAAAGATTACAGGAACCACAAATACTCTTAGCTCTTTATCTCTGAACAGACCACTTTTTTTTTTATTTTTCCATAGATATGATGAATGATGGTATCTTCAAGGATTCTGAGTTTATTTTACTTCTAGCAAACTATACCAATCTAGATACGCTTAACCCCCTGGGGGTAAGAATTTAACCAGCTTTTCCTGGGTCAGGGTCCAATCAGCTATAGCCAGGAGGATGAAACCAAATAGTACAAACATGGCTGCCTCTGCCTATCCATGAGAAAAGGGCAGGTCACAGAGAAAGGTGTCTATGTGAGCTGGGGGTACACCCTCCCGGAGCCTTCTAACAAGGTCCATATTGACTAAGAATATCAATTTCATGAAGATACAGCACCGTAGAACTCCAATGGTCCTTTAGAATGATCTACTTCTAGTACAGAGTTAAATGGAAGCCATCTTGAGCTGATAAATATCTTTTTTATTTTTAGAGATATCTTGCACAGATTTCATAGCTTTTCTTGGGGACCACTGGTGAGGACTTAGAATTCTCACAAATGCTTTCTGCTTGTTTCTCACCTTTGCACTTGCCACAGCCTGTGAAAACCTCCTCTTGTTCTCTCCTCATTCAGAAGGTGGCCATCTGGGCACCCATTCTATCTGTCGGAATAACCCTCCCTGATGGTACACCTCCAGCAAGGCTGGACTGGAGTGAATAGGGAATTCTGGAGACAACTGACCTAGATGTGATCCTGCAGTCTCAAAGATTTGTCTAAAGTGTCGCTGAACAAACCACAGGGCTTTGGATCTTAGATTTGCTTTTTCTACAAGCATCTATTCTGCAAATAAGTAATCCCATCTTGCTCTTCCCCTTGCCCACTCTCAAACACTCATTCTTTATTCTCATCCAGGGCTTCTTCTCCCCACTTCTCTGAATAAAGTTTAAAATGGAGCTATAAGAACGGATATAGCAGCTCTTTATCTGTCAGAGAAAGATTAGCTAAGGATAGTTATGGGCCCCAGGCAAAGATGGGGATGCAGACTGCCTCTTAAAGGCTTGATTGGGAGGATTTTATTGTTATTATAAAAATGCACTTTCTTTTAAAAGTTTAGAGTTAGATTTTTTTTTCCCTTCTTTTAGTCACAGGAGGTCATGCACTTTTTTTTATTAGACACTTCTTATTTTTAAGGCTGAGGCTTAACAGCATGCTCAGTAAGGACTATGGGAACTGAATGGGGCCTCCGAGGAAAGCCTCACCTCCATCTGTAGGGCTGGAGGGACATACGTTATGGGCTTCGTGCCTCCTGGTAATACGTGTGGGTCATAGCCCTTTCACCACAGAGCAAGCCCTTGGCGGGGGTTGAAATATACTGTTTCCAAACAGCAAGGCAATGGAAAATGACCTTTTGCTATCCTCTCTACCTCATGATTTTTTTGACTTTTTTTTATTATGGACACTAATGATTATGATCAAATAGATATTATGTATAAAAAGTGCTCTAAAATATAATCTTATTATTTTTATGGGTTTTAAATTTCATACCAGAGTTTCTGTTCATGGTGTTCATAACCAGTGATCATCATCCCAACTGTCACTTAACCAGTAACTATCATGAGCTCTTGCTTTTTTTTTCTCATTCTTTTATTGTGGTAAAATATACATAGCATAAAATTTGTCAGTTTATTTTTTAAGTGTATACTTCGGTGACATTAAATACATTCACATTGTTGTGCAACCATCACCCCTATCCATCCCCCCAAACAGAAACACTGTACCCATTAATCACAAATTCCCTTTCCCCTCTTACCCCAGTCCCTGGTAACCCCTATTCTACTTTGTGTCTGTATGAATTTGCCTATTCTAGGTGTCTCATACCAATAAAGCATCTACTTTTTTTTTTTCTTTTAGACAGAGTCTCATTCTGTCGCCAGGCTGGGGTGCAGTGGTGCAATCTCAGCTCACTGCAACCTCCGCCTCCCAGGTTCAAGCAATTCTTCCACCTCAGCCTCCCAGGTAGCTGGGACTACAGGTGCACATCACCACGCCCAGCTAATTTTTTGTGTTTTTAGTAGAGACGGGGTTTCACCATGTTGGCCGGGATGGTCTTGATCTCCTCCTGACCTCATGATCTGCCCACTTCGGCCTCCCAAAGTGCAGGGATGACAGGCGTGAGTCACCACACCCAGCAGCATCTGCTTTTAATTCTACTTTCCAAATCAGGCACTGTGCCTTGATACCCAGCTATACAGAGACTCACCACCAGGCCTCCCCACACTCATACCGAGGCTAGAGACAATCCATTCTAAGTTGTGGTCTCTCAGCAGGAAGTCCATCCTCTGTAGAAATCATTTTATTTAAACCTTATAAAACCTTGCAAGCTGGAGATTACTATCCCCCACCTTATAGCTGCAGAAAATAAAACTCCCACAGATTAGATCACAATGCTGGTAAGCAGCAAAGCTAGATTCAACTCAGGATGAGTACCAATTCCTGCTCTTAACCCGTATGCTGTCCTCCCTTCCCCACTGACTATTGAAGTTGTATATCTGCCAACTCCTTGGCAACTCAGAATAGCTGTCCTCCAAGTTCTTACCAAGGATTAAAATCGTGACCTCTATGTTGTCCAATGTTTACCCAAAACCCCAGGTTGGAAGACATGTGACCTCTGTAGGAGGTACGTGCACTTCACCGAGAGGCAGTATAGTATAGTGGTTAAGCACCCAGGCTCTGGGGCCAGGCTGCTTGAGCTCAGCAGCTGAGTGAACTTAGCCAAGTTACTTAACCTTCATGACTCACTTTCTACTTCTGTAAATGGAAATGATACTGAGATAATGACGGGGATGATAATACCAATCTTACTGAGTTCTTATGATGATAAATTGATGTACATAGAATATGAAGACCACTGCCTAGTGCTTAGAAAACATTATGTATGTGACAACTCTTATGACCTGTCATCCATTTCTTTCTTTTTTCCTTTTTATTTCTTTCTTTTCTTTTTGTTTTTTGAGACAGAGTCTTGCTCTGTGGTCCAGGCTGGAGTACAGTGGCACAATCGTAATTCACTATAATCTGGAACTCCGGGGCTCAAGTGATCCTCCCACCTCAGCCTCCAAAAGCATTAAGATTACAGGCATGACCCACCACACCCAGTCTGTCATCCATTTTTATAGCTGATTCCTACATCCGTTTAGTCATAGATTCTTCAATGGCAAGTTATGCATCTCTGTATCAGTTACAATGCTTACTGATGCAAGTCATAAAAACATGATTCACATTGGCTTACATTCGATTAAAATATCTGGAAATAACTGAAATCTAGATGTAGAGCAGATTCCAGACATGGTACAATCAGCAGTGAATGGTGTCATCAACAACTTACTTCTCTCTGTTACTCCATTCTGCCATACAGCATCAGTGGCATCCTAAGGCTGGTTTATGGGGGCAAGACGGCTTCCAGTGGTAACCAGAGCTTTGTGCTTCCTGTGCAGATCTAGAAAGAGACAGAGCATAAACAAGCTTCACCATATGATAGTTGAGCCAACTCAGGTCTCAGGCTGGAGTGGATCCCTATACAAAATCAGACAGGACTAACAGCAACAGCCTCAAATCTCTGTACCCCAAAAGGCAACATACAAACTTGGCAGACAATTCCAGAAGTTTCACAGTCTGCAGATTAAGACCCTGTAGGAAATATTTAGAACATTACTCATAGAAGAAGTCAGACTCTCAGAAAGTTGTATATATGAAACACATTGTTTCAACTCCTCTTAGAATCACCATGACTGAATTGCATGTCAGTATCATGCCATGGGTGTCTTCTTCATCTATAATAGTGTTAGGAAAAAAGTTCACTTCTCCTGAGTAATTCATTCAATTTTATTTTATGGACAATGTAAAACATATTTAAACCATGTTTCCATCTCCCCTGAGGCACCTTAGCTTCATAGCTTACCTCAAGGAAAAAGTAGAATTAATTTTTCTGTGCTTACCCTGTACTTTGTTTTATTGTTTTCCTATTAATAATTTCCCTTCCTCCTAACTCAATTAATTACTCTGTATTGCATGTAACTTAATATGCAATGTATGGAAAAGTATATGTATACTCAATGCCAATCCCAGCATGAATAGTTAATTTTAAAAAGCAAGCAAATATAAATGTTCAGTTAAGAAGACAATTGAGTAAATTATGCATGTTTATAAAATTAAAGACATTGCCATTAATTACAGCATTGAAAAATAAAGAGATGAAAAATGATACAGAAATTTTAAGAATTTAGAAGATAGGGAAGACAGATATCTAAAAACAAACAAACAAAAAAAAACAATAAATGGACTGATGTTTCATCAGAAAAAATAGAGCCCAGATACAGTGGAATGTTATCCTCAAGGTATTCAGGAATATAATTGTCAACAAGGAATTGTATACCTAGAGAAACCATCACTCAAGAGTGAGGGCAAAACAAAGCAAAGAGAGTTTATCACTCATAGGTCATCGCCGAAAGAACTACTGAAGAGAGGTATTTATTTAGAAATAAATTGAACCTAGAAAATAGAAGAGGAACACATAAAACGTTGTGGAGCAAATAAATTGGTAAATGCAAAGGGAAGTCCAAATAAGTATCAACTGTAGAAATGAAAGAAAAACAAAACAAAAACTCTATACATAATATAATGACTAATTTTAGGGCATTTAAAAACAAAACAGAACCAAAATTTTAGATAACGACGTGGATCGTAAGTGAGAGTCACCAGAATTAAAACATTCTAAGGCTCTGGTATTGTTCCACGGAGGGTAGATGTGTTGATTTAATGTTAGATTTCTTAAATTAAGTATGTAGGCTAAAAATTCAAAGGTAACCGCTAAAAGAATAAAAATTGAATATGTACTTCTAAAAATATAAATATTCAAAATAAATATAATTATATTAAATTTACCCACTAAAAGAGATTATAAAATTGTTTTTTAAAAATATGCATTATCTTTCTAGTGAATTTTTCCTTTTATCATTATTTTGTGCTTTATCTTTTTCCCTATAAATTATTTTTGTCTTAAAACTTGTTTGTCTTTTATAAATATAAATTCCAGTATCTTGAGTCAACCATTTTTAACATGTTAGAATTGTTCCCTACTGGCCTTAAAGAAATTACACAAACATGTTATATTTTTTCCAGAAAGGCTTTGATTTAGAAAGATGTCCATTTTAATATGTGCATAATATTAATATCATATTCATTACCTTTCGAGTTCTAGGCTTCCTAACTAATATGCATTCACATGCATATTCAATTATTAATATGCATTTATCCTCCTAGACATGGGCAATATGTGTTAAAAGTAGAATATTCTTGTTAGATTTTTGGTAGATGCTTGTCATCAAGTTTTGAAAAATATTTTTCTTTTATAGTTGGTGAACAGTTTTTATTATGAGCAAGTCTTTAATTTTACACTTTTAAAACATTAGAAGCTCTACAGGATACTCTGTCCTTTGTCCCAAGTTCTAGTCAACATTGTTCTACAGGAGATCTTACCCAACAGAGTAAATCAAGAAAAAAAATTCAGAGGTAAATGGACTAAAAAGGAAGAGACAGCATTGTCATTATTCACAGGTATTATGATTTCTTGATGTGGAAAATCCTTGAAAATTTCCATATGGACTATTAGAATTACGAAAGATTTCAGCAACTATGCTAAATACAGCCACCATACAAATGCAAACTCACATGTCATCATTAATATTGGCCTTGTCTAGAAGGACACATCACGTCACATTGTTAGAGCAGGCCTGGAAATCAAAAGACAGTAGATATGAAATTTACTATTATTGACATACTAACAAGGACAGTCTATTAAACCAAAACATTTCTGGGAAAAAATTAATACATGTGTGTATAATTTCTAAAGGCCACTCGGGAACATTCCAAACTGTCAAGAATGGCTGACTCTAGGCAGTAGAATCTTCATATATGGCTTTTAACTTTCATCTCGATAATTATCTATTTTACAAAATTTCTACAATAGGCATGTACTACTTATAATTGGGGGGGTGGGAGAAATGTTTTTAAAAAAATAAAAAGAAACACTGGGGCCAGATCCATCCAGCATCTCTGTCTTACCTCCCACCTCCCTGAGGAGGCATTCTAAGTAGCCAATCCAAACTGCTTTCTGCCTCATTAGTTCCATCTTACTTCAATTCTCATCTGAAAAAAATATTTTTTCCCGTTTCTTCATAGTGTGTGCCTTAATTTCTCCTGCTCTGTTTCCTCTAACTATATCATCCAATCATGTGATGTTTTGGCCCAATACAACCTAGATTATAATAATACCTTTACTAAACATATGGTATCCCACACTGCCACAGCCCTTGGCAGATAGCATGGCAGAGACATTGTGAGCAAGACCTGCCTTTAACACAGAGTGGAGGCAGTTGCTGGGATGGGACGGTGTCATATGGCCTCAAATTCCACCATTAAAACCTTTAGGTTAAGCATTGCCCTCTCTGGGTTCCTCTTTAAAGATTTAATTCTGCTGGAAGGTAATTAAACATCAAAGAATTCTGTTTAAAATCTCCCTCATAGTGAAAAGGAGTGGAGGAGGTAGACAAAAGAAAAACAATTTTATATAGTCCAACGTTGGACTAGGCCCGCCTTACAGTGAATTCCCAGCTCTTCTTGTGGCAAGGAAGAATCCTGGGAAGATCAGAAAGGAGATTGGCTCACCCAAGCGGACTTGTTTCATGATATGCTGGTGTGACTTTCTACTAAGAAAGACTTTTTCAGATTATTCTGCCAAAGTGTTCTGTAGAAACTATTACAATCCAAGTTTTCAGAATTTGGACAAATCATTTTAGTCTTACATCCAAGTACTTGGCTCATGAAAGTGAGTGAGAAAACCCATCAGGAAGCCTCTTTTGATAGACAGAAGTTGCTAGGGTAGGGAGGTTCTCTGCCTACCCCTCACCCCACAGCAGGGGCCCATGCTGAGAGCAGCGGCAGGGCCATCTCAGTGTCCCCTGCCCGGCCAACAGCCCTAGAGGGGTCTGGGCTGTGCACAGGGCAGCTCCCTAATGCGATTCCAGCACTAGCCTCTCACTCAAAACCCTGCAACCTGGTCCAACACAGTCACTTCCTTGCCCTGTTCAGGTTGGTGTTTAGGTTTATTAGCTTAGAGATTCCCGTAAAATAGGTATAGAGAAGACAGGGAAACCCAGAAACACCAAGTAAAATCTGGGCATCTTAAATGATCCAATTTTTTTTTCCAGGCCCCACAGGAAGTTTAAAAGAGTTGGCAATTTAGTCAGGCATACAGCCATTCAGTCATTAAACAACAATGGAGCTTCACCCCATGTGTAAGGCTCCTGCAAGGCCTTGGGGTTGCAGGTGGATACAGCGTAATCTCTGTTCCAAGAACTTAGCAGCTAGATGGCAGGGATATAATAACAGGCAAATAACCATGAAACAAAGCAGCATCAGAGAAGTATCATGAGAGAGTTCCAAACCAACTTTGGGGCCAAGGGGTTAGGCAGAGGGGTTGGAGTCCTGGATCCAACAATTTCTAGCTGTGTGACTTTGGACATGGCCAAGCATTTACTGAGCATGTTCTATATGCCAGACATGGTGAAAAGCACTCTACTATGCATGATCTTGTTTTGTCTTTATAATAACCATAGGAGGTGCTATCTCCTTTTTATAGACTGGGAAACAGAATTCAAAGCAAACACTGAGTTTGCAGTCCAAGATGTTTACTAGGGATCAGCACTTTTGAAAAAAAAGGAGGAAGACACAGACTGGGCAGAGGAAGAAGCTAAACTTTGATGAAGACCAAACAAAGCCTTGACCCCAGAGCTTTGGAGCATGAGAACTGTCTGATGGAATGTTCCACTTTGGGCTAAAATGGCTGGGCATTTACAAGGATGCAGGCTGCCCTGAGAAAGACAGGCAGTCCTCTGCAGCTGAGGAAGACCCAAAAGGAGCTGACAGCTTGAGGTCATTTGCTGGCCGCAACCCCCTGCTGGTGAACAAATCCTGAGTGACATCTCTCTATGTCCACCACAGGATTCTCCCCTGCTAAACTTAGAAGGATTCGAAATAACTTTTGTAAGTACTTGGCACAAATTAGCTGCACAATAAATTGTAGCTTTTGTTATTCAACACAGAGCATGGATAGGAAAAATGTCGTGGTAACTCCTGGAAGCTATGTCTCAAGGAAAACGTCATCCACGTTGGTTGTAACTTAAAACAATTTCTCCCCTCCTGTCCGTGGCTGAATCAGGCTGAATCATGCCGAGACTCACCTTAACTACAAGGTGTAGCACAACCGTTGAGTGTGATGTGGGAGGCCTGTTTTGTGGCACGATTTTCTGAAAGTAATAGCGGATGGATTTTGTTCGTTTTGTGAACATTTAGTAGAAATATTTTGTAGTGATAGTGTTTGTGAAAAAATGCCTCGGGTGGGTGGGTGGGTGGGTGTTATTTACCAGCAGGACAGGGAGGAGGTGGTTGCAGCAATTTGAGGAGTACATCGAAGCTGAGCTCTGTAGGAGCCAAGGTGGAGTGGGGTCTGTATGGACTTCATGGTCAAGTTGAGAGGCAGTGATGGAACTGTGGTTACGAGAGAGCCCACACTTTCCAATTACTCACAGCAAGATCTGTTCTTAAAATATAAAAATGACAACTGAGACAATAAGAAACAGGCCTTTGGAACATGCGTCCCACATCCTGGCTGCTTAATGCCATTGATCCTATCAGTTCATTGGAGACTAAGTACCTGATGTGTACGATATTTGGAGAAAATTGTTTATCCACCTATTATTTTTAATGAGGAAAAGGTGAGAGTCAAATATTTTACTATTCTATGTTCTTCTCTGCATGTTTGTAAAGCACTTCATAGTCTTTGAAGCATTTTCACATTTGTGGTCTCTAGGCTTCTCAGCTTCTCTCTCCTTATGGCCTCTGTTATGAATACCCAGTTCCTCTCTGTTGCTGGACCCTACTACCTATCAGAGCAACTTTTGAACCTACTTTGCTTGCAAATTCAAGGAACAGGTGACCGGCACCCGCAGCCTCTACTTCTCTTTCCATTACCTTCTTAACCTCTCACAGCATGGATCCCACCACCACCCCTCGACAGAAAACACCCTCATTGCAGGTACAACCAGGGTGCTCCCGGACAATCAGTGCTATTCAGCATGGCCCCCCTGAAGCAGCTGGCATCTTCCAACTCTTCCCCTTTTAGAACTTTGTCGATTTTCTTACAACACTAAGCATAGCAAATACATTTAAAATTGAGTGCTTGCTTCTACCAGTTAGTAATGGTTGCTTGGAGTGTTGTGTGGAGAAGAAAATTCAAGTTACATCTAGGATGCTGTGATTGATTAACATGCTTGTCACAGGCCTGAAAAAGAGAGAAGTGGCACATGTTCTAGGCATTCGCCTTCTTATACCACACATTTCTCTTATTTCTCTTTGGTTTCTCCTTTTATTCTTTCTCTATTTGGGCACTTGATTTCTTCTCGGCCTCTAATGCGGTCAAGAATTTGACCCCCTAATGGGGTCAAAAATTATTGAGAGGATTAAATGAGGTGATATATAGAAAGCTCTTTGAATATATTGGATCCTGAATCAACAGCAACCATTATTATCATCCTCAGCTTTTTCCTATTGTCTTTATAGATTTATCTCATTAGATATCTGTGTGTTTTCTTTTTCTTTCTTTTTTTTTTTTTTTTTTTTTGAGATGGAGTCTCGCTTAGTTGCCCAGGCTGGAGTGCAGTGGCGTGATCTCGGCTCACGGCAAGCTCTGCCTCCCGGGTTCACGCCATTCTCCTGCCTAAGCCTCCCGAGTATCTGGGACTACAGGCGCCCACCACTATGCCCAGCTGATTTTTTTTTGTATTTTTAGTAGAGACGGGGTTTCACCGTGCTGGCCAGGATGTCTGTGTCTTTTCTTTATGCAACTTAGACACTGCCTTGGCTCCCAAGTCTAGTTTTCCAGCCCCAACAACTATCTACGCTTAACAAAGAAGACAAAGTAGAGAATAGGAAGCAGAAAACTGTGCAAAGGGTAAACCAAAGACAGGAAGTCCTAGCTAGAGCAATCACTCAAGAGAATGAAATAAGTTTGATGATATGAGTCTGTACCTAGAAAATTCTAAAGACCCTGCCAAAAGCCTCCTGGAACTGAGGAACAAATTCAGTAAAGTTTCAGGATACAAAACCAATGTAAAAAAAATCAGTAGTATTTCTATACACCAATAATGTTCAAGCTGAGAGCCAAATCAAGAATGCAATCCAATTTCCATAGCCATACACATAATAAAAAATGCCCAGGAATACATTTAACCAAGGAGATTAAAGATCTCTATGAGAAGAATTACAAAACACTGCTGAAAGAAATCAGAGATGACACAAACAAATGGAAATATGTTCCATGCTCATGGGTTGGAAGAATTCATATTGCTAAAATGGCCATAATGCCCAAAGCAAACTACAGATTCAGTGTTATTCCTATCAAACTACCAACATCATTTTTCACAGAACTAGAAAAAACTATCCCTTCATATGGAACAAAAAAGAGCCTCAATAGCCAAAGCAAGTCTAAGCAAAAAGAAAAAAGATGGAGGCTTCACATTACCCAACTTCCAACTATATTATAAGGTTACGGTAACCAAAACAGCATCACACTGCTACAAAAACCAGTGAAACAGAATACAGAACCCAAAAATAAAGCTGCACACCTATAGCCATCTGATCTTTGACAAAGTTGACAGAAATAAGCAATGTGGAAAAGACTCCATTTTCAATAAAATGGTGCTGGGATAGCTGGCTAGCCATATGCAAAAGAATGAAACTGGACCTCTACATTTCACTATATACAAAAATTAACTCAAGATGGACCAAAGATTTAAATGTAAGACCTCAAACTATAAGAATCCTAGAAGAAAACCTGGGAAACACCATTTTGGACATTGGTCTTGGGAAAAAAATTATGACTAAGTCCTCAAAAGCCATTGTGACAAAGACAAAATTAACAAATGGGACCTAATTAAACTAAAGAGCTTCTGCACAGCAAAACAAACGAACAAAAAAAACTATCAACAGAGTAAACAGACAACCCACAGAATGGGAGAAAATATTTGCAAACTATGCATCCAACAAAGATCTAATATTCAGAATCTATAAGAAACTTAAACAATTGAACAAACAAAAACCAAACAACCCCATTAAAAAATGGGCAAAAGACATGAGCAGACACTTCTCAAAAGAAGACATACAAGCAGCCAACAAATATATGAAAGAAACATTATCACTAACAATCAGAGAAGTGTGATTCAAAGCCACAATGACATATCATTTCATATCAGTCAGAATGGCTGTTATTAAAAAGTCGAAAAAACAACAGATGCTGGTGAGGCTGCAGAGAAAAGGAACCACATACACTGCTGGTGGGAAGGTCAATTAGTTCAGCCACTGTGGAAAGAAGTTTGAAGATTTCTCAAAAAACTTAAAACAGAACTTAACATTTGACCCAGAAATCCCATTTCTAGGTATATATCCAAAAGAAAATAAATCGTTCTTCCGAAAAGACACATGCACTCGTGTGATCATTGCAGCACTATTCACAATAGCAAACGCATGGAATTAACCTAGGTGTCCATTAATGGTGAATTGGATAAAGAGCTGGTACATATACACCATGGAAACTATGCAACCATAAAAAGAACAAAATCATGTCCTACATGAATCCTAGCAGAAAACCTAGGAAACCCAATGGATGCAATGGAAGGCCATCAACCCAAGCGAATTAACTCGGGAACAGAAAACCAAATACCGCGTGTTCTCACTTATAAGTAGGAGCTAAATATTGGGTACTCATGGACATAAAGATGGCAATAATAGATACTGGGAACTAATAGAGGTGGGAGGGAGGGAGGGGAGAAAGGGTTGGAAAACAAACTATTGGGTACTATATTCACTACCTGCGTGATGGGCTCAATCATATCACAAACCTCAGCATCACGCAATATACCCATGTAACAAATGTGCACATGTACCCCCTGAATCTAAAATAAAAGTCAAAATTATTTTTTAAAGGGTAAGTAAAAATGAAAAACTATGGAAGGTGAAATTATTTTCTCCCCTAGGAGCTTGTTCATTGGTTTGTTTTCAACCAAGCTAGAAAGCTTTGGAGCAAAGAACGATCTCAGAAAACGTATTCTATGTCTTTATGCTCTAGCAGAGATAGGATCCCCCATACCAGAAACACTGACCTCAAAGTGCTCTGACCTCTGGCTCCACAACATGACCTCCTGATTACCCCACCGCCTGGCTTCCTTTCGTATCTCCTGCCTTCTGCTCACCTGCTGTGAGCTTTCTTTGAGTGCCTCTCCAAGGGTAGAAAAGCCAGGCTAGGAAGAGAAACAGAAACACAGAAGTACTAGTAGATCAAAACAGAGAGAAGAGGGGGAAAATACGAGGAGGGGAAGCAGCTGCCAACAGTGGGGCCCTCCTCCCTCAGAGCCGCTCTCAGCCTCCATTCCCCTCACCTGCCTCTGGCCCTGAGACACCAGATGCCATCCTGGCCGACCCATTGTGGAAGGACGTTCAGCCCTCAGTGTCTATTTTCTGACCCACAGATGAAAGTGAAAAAGATGAATTTTGCTTTTTTTATGGGATAGCTGTAATCCCACCGTTTCTCTTTCCTCTAAGCCAGGGGGCATCAGAAAGATTTCTGCTGGCCACAGACGGAGCTGTTGCCCTGGCTGTTCTTGATTAGTCAGGGCTCCCAGTGAGAAGGGCCTCATCTTCACAGGCTCCTTATTTCACCACCCCACTCTCAGAAGAGGAGGCCTTCCCTCCACGGTCTCCTCAGGAATCTCAGATTCTAGAAAATAAAAAGAATTTCCTCCTCACAGAAGGCTTAGCCACCCCTGCTTCAGTTGGTTTCTAACCACCAGTGCTAGGGCTTTTTCATGCTCAGGAGGCTGACTTTTTCACAGAGGACAATTCAACCCTTGTTTGGTGACCTGCAGGGTGTCCTTTCTGGGACTGAGAGGTGACGTCTAGAGCATGGCTCAGCCCCACTGCCTCTTGGTCTCTCAGGGATGGGTCACTCAGGGTAATGGCTCAGCCTCAGGGCTGTAGCTCAGGCAAAGGCTGGCTGCCTCCAGCCAGGGGCTGGGTGCGGATTCTGGAGTATGCCCAGTCTCAGGCTCTCAGCCCCTCACTCCCCATCCAAGGAGAAAACTCTCCCAACCATAAAGACATGAGTTGCCTTGTTGCATTAAACCGCATTACAAAGAAATCCATTAGCCACTCTGAGCACTGCTCTCCTTTGGGGCCTCTCTTGCACAAAGATATTTTATCTTTTTAATGAATAAAACATGCTGATTTCCTAAAATTAAAAAGTGTGGTGGTAATGGAGAATTCTCAGGAAGCATTCTGAAACCTGTGCACTGTGGAGCAGAGGACCGAAAAACCCGGCTCTGGGGCTTCCTGTCTCTGCCCCTGAGTGATGCTCCTTCTCCAAAGGTCCTTGCTTCTTCCTTCCTAGAGTCCACTGCGCTTCCCTGCCTGCCTGACATGGCAGCCCACCGACGAGGGAACTGTGGTTCACTGAAAAATCACTGACATGAGGCCAACCGAGTAATAGGAGAGAAAGCATACTAATTCATTCAATGTGTATCCACGGAGGCTTCAGAATGAAGACCCCAAGACACGGGGGAAATTGTCTGTTTTTATGTTTAGGCTTAACAAAGTATGGACAGCCAGGTAGAAGTCTGATTTGACAAAAGGGAGGATGATCTGATGTTAATAGACTGAGTAGAAAACCCAGCAAGACCTGTCTAGATTCTTCTTGGCCTCTCTAAAGCATTCCTTCCTTCTGGGTGTGGGGCAGGGCCTCTCTGGAATGGGGGCTTGTGACCTACAGTCAAACCAGGTAGGTCAGATATGTTCTTTATGGTCAGTTTTCACAGATAATATTTTTAGATTTTATGGCTAGCTTTGGGGAAAAGGGGTTCTGGTTTCTATAACCTGCCTTGAGAAAGAGGGATTCTAGTTTCAGTGGCTGGCCTTGGGAGAAAATGGGACTGAGAGGAGGGCAGGAGAAGGTCAGAGAGAAACGTTCGCTTCTGAGGCTGCTGCTGAGATCTTCCTTTTGGGGTACTGTTTTCTGAGCCCCTACAGAGCCATGCCCTATGCAGCAGGTACTCAGGAAGTTTCTACTGTCCACATCAGGAGAGATGGGAAGCACTGTGCCCTGTCTTCCTGCATTCTCCCTTCTGCATTCTTGTTGGCTCTGGCTTCTCCCTCTCTCCCAAAAGCCCCAGCTAAGTGTGAACTATAATAAATAGCTGTGGAGACAGGCCAGCCTGAAAGCTAAGACCAGACTCTTACTACGTTCAGAAGACACAGCTCCCAGCTAGAAGCCACAGCCATTTTCCCAGAAGTGTAAAGTGACTACTAAACCTGGCTGTCAATGATTTGCCCTTGGAGGAGCTAGAAACACGTGCTGGGAGGACACAAAGGGTTGGAGTTTTAAGGAAAAAGAAAATGAAGTGCACAAAGCTGTGTAACTTTTGCCCTCCCTCCCCACTCCTCGCATTTTGCTGGGGGTGGGAAAACAGGGAAGGAGCTCTACCCCATGTGTTTAGCTTGAGCAAGCCCAGCTACATCATTTGCAGGACATAGTGCAATGAAAATGTAAGACTCCTTGTTCAAAAAGCAGGACAAAGCGCTAAAATTAAAAGCTTTTCACTTTCTTCTGCAGTCTTTCTCTCTCAACTTGTCATGGAGCTTTTTATTTGCTATTTAATGTTGTTCTAAGTAAAGAAAAATTAGAATTTAAAATTATTAGCCCGAATTTTACCATTCTACTTTATATTGTGCAATGCCAGCTTTAAATGCAAATTTAAGAGCATTTAACTCATATGCAGAAGGCCTGACATTGCACAATTTGTATTTCATAGCTTGTACGTGCATACGTATTTTGTCCTTTCCAGAAAAGGGGAGATGCTGTCTTTATTTCCCTTTGTGACATACACACATTCTACTGACATTCTCTACCTTTGACTTACTGATGAGTTAAGGAAGGACTGAAGACAAAAGAAACTATGGGCTGCTCTCTCTTTCCCTTTCTTTCTATGTCACCATTTTCACTTAAGTGGTTGGTCGATACAAGGAATTAACACTAATGCTATGTGCAAATGGGATAGGAAGAAATGGCAGCATGCATTATGCACACCTCTCCTCTGCTCAGGTGGGTGCACTACTTCACAAAAGACAAGTTTAAAGATAAAATGATTATGAATTTCAAGATGGTGACAGTAGAGCATTAAGCCAATCTGTCCCCTGGATGCAGCTTAGGAGGGGAAGCACCAAAGACCCATCCTACACATGGGCACAGCACAAGCCAGAGGAACAGCAGCTGGCTGCCCTTGGTTGTGATGGGCCCTACCTTAAAAGTGGCTTGGAGGGGACCAACAGGGCTTTCAGCATTCAGAAAGAGGCCCACACATAAGCAGGGACATTGACATCCCAGTTTGAATAGGCTGCCTGGAGGGGTGAGGGAAGGAGCATCCACCAGCAGCCTGTGACCCAACCACAAAGAGTCAGGGAATCATCTGTCTCTCTCTGAAGGCTTAAACTAGCCACAGACAGAGGTTGGAAGGGCTTGGGGATTGAATTTAACTGGAAGTCACTATATTGAACTGATTTACGCAAACATCACTGTTTGATACTATCCGCTTGGTGGGTCTTGGAATCAAATATTAAAATCAGTTGTACAAAGAAAGCTCTATTTCCACACACCTCCGTTTTGTGGATGGTTGTAATTTGTGAAATTTTCATCCTGTAAACATCAGTTGAGTGTTGCCAAGAACTATTTTAAACACTAGATACACATTTATCTTCAATTTAAGAAGACCCCTAGCACCCTGAAATTTTGCTTCAAAGCACTTCCCCATTTTGTCATAGTACATGTATTTGGATGCTTATTTTGACTAATGTCTGTCTTCCCAGCTAGACTGAGCTGCCTGAGGGCAGGGACCATATGAACCAGCCAGCCATCCCCAGCAGCTTGCTAAATGCTGCCATCGATGGTGGTGCCGGTGTGCAATTGTTTAGGCCATGTGGTACACAAGAACAATGTAGCTAAAGAGGTAGTCTTCTCACTGAAGACACTGTAGGTTTCAGTTTGTGTAATGACAGCTTTCTGGCAGGTGGAAGTAAAGTGTCTTACTCTAACATATTCAATGTAGTATGACAATTTCCCAGCAAATAGAAGTAAAATGTCTTGAGCAAGGGGTGCCTTTTCTAACTTTCACAAAGACACTATTTAGACTAGTGCAGCATTGACTGATTGTCTAATCAAAACATCTCACTTCACCTTTAGTGACTGGCAGCTCTGTCCGATTAAGTGTTGCCACTAAAAACAAAAAAGTTATATATATGTACACACACACATATATAATGTAATATATATGTGGTTTTGTAATATATACATTTATGAAGGAAATGTGATATATATACACACACATACATATAAATTCCTTCATAAATAAGAAAGTAACAGGCCACCCTGCAACAGCCATTTGGCTGCTTTCAAGTACTGAAGACTCAAAGGAGTATTTGATTTGCTTCAAGCTGAAATATAACTACATGAGCTCTCTGCTCTCTCTCTCTTCCTCTCTCCTCTAATAAATAAGGAAAAAAGAAAGTATTTTCTCACCAATTCTAACAACTGGCCTTACAGATGGGATTCATGCCCCACAATGAATAAATTCCAGGGTGACAACATGCAGATTAATTAGGCAGGAAATCATCTCCCTGCAGCAGCCCGCTCCTCATTCTCTAACAAGACTAAAAATGATTTGTGCCACCTGTTTATGGCTCCAGGCATTTGCCTTGGTCCTCCAATGACTCTATTAAAAACTTTTTGATTAACTTGGTCCAACGGTCAGCTTTTTGTTTGTTTGTTTCTTTGGAGTAAATAAATAGAGATTCTGCATCCTTGTGCCTAGAGAGCCATCTGGGCGAATCAGCAGCAAGTAGTTAAGCTTGAAATACCAGGAGTGTAAACATCACTCTCAGGTCTGACGTTACCTGCGAGACTCAAAATTTGTCTGATTCATAAAAACTCCATTGCACAGTTATGTAGAGTGAACTTTCTTTCCCATTTATTTTAAGGACATTTTAGCTGTCAGGAGTTAGGAAGAAGGTGGCTTTGTTTTTTACAAGGCTGCAATATTTTTCACTGTTAGATGTTGAGAGGTGATTGCATGTGTGTGTATATACAGACACATTCCCCAGTTTGGACCCGAGTCATAATAAATTTATGTGCTATTTACACATGGCTCTAAATCATTTCACTAAGAGAAGCACACAGCCTAGGAATTTAACTGTTCTTTCTGGTGCATAAATAACTACCTCTGTTTAAAAAAAAAAAAAGAAAAGAAAAGAAAAGAAAAAAGAAGGTAGGGAAAGGAAGTAGCAGCTTTCCCTGTCACCAGCAAATTAATGATGATAGCTTGTTCTTGTCTAGCACCGAGTGAAGTGTTCTCCCAAGTATGAGCTCATTTGATTGTCATAAAATCCCTGCGAAGTAGGAAGAACAGGAATTATTGGGCTGATTTTTTTTTTTAATAAATGGAGAAACTGATGCTTAGGAAAGAAACTGACCTTCTCAAGTTCATGCAGTTTGTGAGTGTTCCAAAAAAAAAAAAAAAAAAACTAGACTCTGGGGATTATGCTATCCAGTAGTCCAGCAGTCTTTCTAATCTACACTGCATCTGTGAGCCACTAAGGCTTACCATCCACTACAGGTTCATGCTCATGTGTTTTGGACATTTTGGTATAATACTTAATTTCCTAAGCCTTGGGCAGTTACTGAAAAGTTATACCCCATTGTGGATTTGGGCCTGGATAGGACTAAGCACCATCACAGATGGACACAAGCATACTTATTACTGGACTCATGGAAGACATCACCATTCAATCACCTTTCTCATTGGCTAATGGCTCGGATCAGATCAAAAAAGAAGTTAGATGAAGTTCTTGTGTCCTCAGAAAACACAAGCATGATTTGCTTCAGAACATACTGTTCTTTGATTCCTAGGGTGCCAAAAGAATAATCACTCGCTTTGCTTTAGCTTGCTTCTAACTCCTTCTGAAATTGGAATTCTCATTGAGGAACTCTAAAGACAGTGTTCTAAACAGCCTCTACTAATTGACCAGTGAATGAAACAAAAAAATATTTTACCCTAAAATATACTTTTTTTTTTTTTTATGACAGAGTCTTACTCTTGCTCTATCTCCCAGGCTGGAGTGTAATGGCATGATCTTGACTCACTGCAACCTCCGTCTCCTGGGTTCAAGCAATTCTTCTGCCTCAGCCTCCCAAGTAGCTGGGATTACAGGCGCCTGCCACCACGCCCTCCTAATTTTTGTATTTTTAGTAGATACGGAGTTTCATCCTGTTGGTCAGTCTGGTCTGGAACTCCTGACCTCAAGTGATCCACCCATCTCGGCCTCCCAAAGTTCTGGAATGAGCCACTGAGCCCAGCCAAATATACTTCTTTGGCATAATTTGATATGGCTATTCAGAGAGGCTGCAAGCACAAGAATAGCCTTGCAATTTCCTCCCTTTTCGGGGAAAAGGAGATTTGCATCTGTGGAGGAAATAAAGTGAAGTAACTAGGACATGCAAACAGACCTTTTCTGAGGCAACCCCTTGTCCAAAGCTAGGAAAGATTAAATTATGGGGAGAGAGAGAAAGAGAGAGAGACAGACTCAGAGTCTGACACCTTTGAAGGTCTGACAGAGAAACTGTTATTACAGGCTACTATCTATCTATTCTTTAAGGGTTGTTACCTATGAGGTTCATCAGCATAACAAGACCATCCTCACTAGCCAGGCTAGTGGTCTTATGCTAGCCTTTTTCTCTTCTCTCCCTCTTGTAACCTGTCTTGCCATGCTCCAAGTCCCTATTTTTTCCGTAATCTCAGGATGTTATAAAACTTCAATCATCAACCCCCCATCTTTAAGCCTCATATTTTTGTATGATTCTCATGCCCATATGCACGTCAATAAATGTGTATGCCTTTTTTCTTTCAACTATTATCAATTTGTTTTATAGACTCAAATTATCGAAACTTCAGAGGAAAAATTTAAACTTTCCTACACCAGAATCAGCTTGAGAGAAGAACCTAGTTGCCACCCCAGCCAGGTATTTTTGAGGAAACTGTTTTTGATTACATTGGTTACTATATATTCACTATGTTATTTCATTCCTAATCAAGTCATGACAAGTGCTAACCATTATCCCTCATCACTAGAACCAGGACACTAACACATGAAGCCTCTTAGGGCATAAAACTGGCCGAGCTCAGTGGTTCATACCTGTTATCCCAGCACTTTGGGAGGCCAAGGTAGGAAAATTGCTTGAGGCCAGGAGTTTGAGACCAGCCTTAGCAACACAGCAAGATCTCATCTCTACAAAAATAAAAATAAAAAATTAACCTGGTGTGGTGGTGCATGGGTGTAGTCCTAGCTACTTGGGAGGCTGAGATAGGACGATCACTTGAGCCCAAGAGGTCAAGGCTGCAGTGAACCATGACTGCACAACTGCACTCCAGAACAAAGCCCTCTCTCAAAAAAAAAATTTTTTTTAATTAAAAAATAAACCCTATCCAGACCTGCCACACCCTCTGCTGGGTGTGATTTGAAACCTATGCTGAGCCTGGATCATTGGTTTGCAAATGAATCTAAGACAGGTCATCCCCCAGTAAGCCTCCACTGCTATAGCTGGAACCATAAAATGATGAAAGTAGCATACACTCTTCACACTCTATGTAACCCAGTATCTTAACCTCGAAATGTATTTTGAAGTTTCATTTTCTCTCTTCTTAATCTTAAGAAAACCCTTCTTCCTCTTTCTATTCCAGACACTCCCTTGCACCATATTTGCTTGTCTAATGATGTACTTGCTTAGAAGTTCCAGGGGCTAATCTTGAAATAAACCAGGCATAGAGATCCAGTTGTGGAAGTCTCCCCCACCTAGAAATTGCCTCAAGGTGGTTAATCTTCAACCCAACCATTGTCAAAATGGCCCCAGTTCATTCTACAGGTGGACAACAACTCAAGATAGCCATTGGAGCAAGATATGCCGACCTCCACCCTGCACCACTCCCACATGCTTCCCATACCAAGTTTCCCTTCCCAACCCCCTTCGCTTAGCCTGAAAATTTGAGATGGTTCTTTGAGACCTAAGTCCAGCCATTCTTCTCAATGGCTAGCCTTTGAATAAAACTGCTTTCCTCCATTCCATCTTGCTTCTCTTGTTTTGGCTTCTGAGCGGCAAGCAGCCAGACCTCAGTTTGGTTAAACCTGGTCATTGTGTGTCAAGCTAAACTCTTTAATTTCTCTCATAGAACTATGGATTTGTTTTGAATATCTATTGTCTGTCTTCAAAAAAATAAGCTATAAATCTCTACAATCTCTATTAAAGGGAGGTTGGTGGACCTCTCCATGCCCAAAAGGGAAAGTGAGCATTCCCGGTGGCTTCTTCCCTGGCTTGCTTCATCAATAACTCCAGACCAGAATGCTCCCTCTGTAAAGAGAGTCTGAGACTTCTTTCTTGAACAGGGGAGTGAGCACTTTCTGCACTTCCTTCCCCAGCTTGCTCCAGTGGTGAAAATCCCAGCCCTGCTATCTCTCTGTAGAAAGAGGTTGGAAAACTATGCTGGCAAGAATGACAGCATTTCCTGTGCCATCTTCCCTGGCTTACTCTAAAGATAAAGTCTTGGAATCTGTCATTGGGAGGATGCTGGGGGATCTCTCCATTCCTGAAAGAGAAAGTGAGCACTCGCTGCACCTTTCTCTCTGGCTTGCTTCAGTGATAACTCCAGACCAGAAATCTCCCCTTGCTAGGAAGGTGTGAAACTTCTGCTTGCTCAAACAGGAGAGTGGGAACTCTCCACACCTTCTTCCCTGGCTTGCTCCAGAAATAAATTCAAATCTGCAGACTCCCTGGAAGTAGTTTCTGCATGCTCCAACTTTTACAGCTTTCACCTGAAGGACTAGCTCCTAAATCACCTCACTATGGGAGTTGACACACTCTGCACTCCTGAGTCTCCTAGACCACTGAGAACAAAAAGGTAACTTTTAAACTTGTAAATTTTCAGCAGTCATCTCAAAGTGAGTAGTCTGATCAAGAGTACAAGCATCTGCTCCAGACTCTTTCCTTGATGTAGAGCAGAATGAGTGCAGATAAACTCTAGCTCTCAGTTTCCCTGCAAATGAAGAAGGAACTAGAACATACATCTAACACCATCTGCATCCCAAAGTTCTGGCTTCTGTCCCACCTCTCCTAAGACAATAGCACAACTTGACACTTTAATTCCTTTTTCTTTCTTCTTCTTTTTTTTTTTTTTTTTTTTTTGAGACAGGGTCTCATGCTGTCACCCAAGCTGGAATGCTGTGGCATGATCATGATCATGGCCCACTGCAACCTCAACCTCCCAGGCTCAGTTGATCCTCCCGCCTCAGCCCCGCAAATAGCTAGGACTACAGGTGTGTGCCACCACGCCCACATGACACTTGAATTTCTTGGACCACTAAGAACAAAAATAGCAGGTTGGGGACATGCACAAACAGTTTAGAGGCACCTGGAATGTCTGGTCAGGCAAATTGGGCAGGAGCAGCTCCCAAAAGGGAGCAGTATAACAAGATTAGGGAAGGTAGTTTTTTAAATCTAATGTGCAGAGACCAACACAGAGAGTGAAGGAAAATGAAAAAACAGGAAAATGAAGAAAACATCTTCTGAATAAAAGAACAAGATAAATCTCCAGAAACTGACTCAATGGAATGAAGACAGGTGATTTACTTGACAGGGAATTCAAAAGGACAGTTGTAAAGATGTTCACCAAGGTAAGAACAATGCATGAAAAAACTGTCAACTTCAACAGAGAGATAGAATAAAGTTTAATAAAAAAAAAAAAAAAGGAAGAAGAAGCAGCAAACAAACCGAAATCATCAAGCTGAAGAATAACTGAATTCAAAAATTCAGTAGAAGGCTTTAACAATGACTAGATCAAGCAGAATAAAGAAATAGTGAACATAAAGATGGTTTATAGAAAATCATACAATATGAGGTGAAAAAAGAAAGAAAACAAGTGAAGACAACCTAAGGGACTATGGGACATCATCAGGTGGAATGATATGTGCATTATCAGAGTATCAAAAGATGAGGAGAAAGAGAAAGGGACAGAGGACATATTCAAAAAAATAATGGCAAAAACTTCCTACTTCTGAGGAAGGAAATAAAAACCTAAATCCAGTAAACTCAACATACACCTAATAGAATGAATCCAAAGAGACTCACACCAAGACACATAACAATAAAACTGTCAAACATTAAAGACAAAGAGAGAATATTGAAAGCTGCAAGAGAAAAGTGACAGTTACTGTCAGGCCTCTGAGCCCAAGCCGGCAGATATACATCTAGATACATCTGAAGTAACTGAAGAATCACAAAAGAAGAGAAAATGTCTGGTTTCTGCCTTAACTGATGACATTACCTTGTGAAATTCCTTCTCTTAGCTCAGAAGCTCCCCCACTGAGCACCTTGTGACCCCCGCCCCTGCCTGCCAGAGAACAACCCCCTTTGACTATAATTTTCCACTACCTACCCAAATCCTATAAAATGACCCCACCCCTATCTCCCTTCGCTGACTCCTTTTTTGGACTCAGCCTACTGGCACCCAAGTGAAATAAACAGCCTTGTTGCTCACACAAAGGCTGTTTGGTGGTCTCTTCACACGGACATGCGTGATGGTTACATTTAAGGGGACTCTAATAAGACTCTCTGAGAGTTTTCAGCAGAAATCCTGTGGGCCAGAAGGGAATGGGATGATATATTCAAAAAGCTGAAAGATAAAAAAAAATAAATAAACCTGCCAACCAAGAATACTATACTTGGAAATCCTACTCTTCAAAAATGAAAAGGAGATAATCACTTTCTCAGACTTAAAAAGGGGGGGAGTTGCTAAGTAGCAACATAAAAATATATAAAAATATAAAACTCATTGGTAAAAGTAAATATATGGTCAAACTCAGAACCTCATACTATAATGGTCATCTGAAAATCAATTATATCTCTAGGATGAAGGTTAAAAGACAACTATTAAAAACGACAATAGCTACAATAATTTGTTAAGGGACACAAATTATAAAACATACAAAATGTGTGACCAAACAAATTAGGAGGAAGTAGAAGAGTAAAATTTATGCAAGTGATCAAAGTTATTATCAGCTTAAAATAACCTGCTATTAGTATAAAATGTTTTATGTTAGTCTCATGGTAACCACAAAGCAAAAACCTTCAGTAGATACACAAAAGTTAAAAAGAATTTAAGGCATACCACTGCAGAAAATCATGAAACCACAAAGGAAGAGAAAAACAAAAGATCTACAAATTAACTGGAAAAAAATTAACAAAATGGCAAACATAAGCTCTTACATGTCAATAACTACTTTGAATGTAAGTGGATTATATTATCCAATCAAAAGATATTGAGTGGCTGAATGGATAAAAATATAAGGCCCAACTCTATGCTGCCCAGAAAAACTCATCTCACCTCTACGGATACAAATAGACTGAAAGTGAAGGGATAGAAAAAGATATTCCATGAAGAAACAGAGAGTAGAAAGGTGGTTACCAGAGGCTGGGGGAGAGGGGTAGAGATGGAGAAAGATGTAATCAAAGGGTATAAAGTCTTAGGCTGGAGTAACAAGCTTTAGTGATCTATTGCACTGCATGTTGAGCACAGTTAATAATAATGTATTACATATTTCAAAATTGCTAAAAGAATAGATTTTTAACATTCTCACCACAAAAAATAAGTTGGTGAGAAAATGGATATATTAATTGGCTTGATTGAATCTTTCTAATACAGTGTATATATCGATCAAAACATCGCATCATCACATTGTATCCCTTAAATATGAACAATTATTTTTTGTCAATTAAAAATAAAAAGTAAAAAATAAACTATAAGCTCCTTGAAGGCAGGGAGAACTTTGTTATTTCCTGCACAAGAATAGTGCTAGACATGTGGTAGATCCTTGATAAGTATTTGTTGATTAATTGACAAGAGGAGAAGAGGGAAGAATGCCTATTTGTGCCACGCATGCTGGGAAGTGGATTCATTTCTAGGCATGGGATTTTATAGGGAATCACTAAATCTGGGGCATTTGAGATAATAGTATATATGCCTGGGCTTTCAGAAATATTCTATCCATCTATTTTTTTTAATTTTTTTTATTCAGTCAGCAAATATTGTTGAAACACTTATAATGTGCCCAGACATATATGGTAAACACCTCTGACAGCAATGATTTGCGCATACCCTGAGAATGACCCCGTATGGCTGACACACCTGAATGTGTGTTTGGAGGGGATTCATTCCTTATCTATGAGGAACATCTGAGCCCCCAGCCCATCCTGTGGAACAAGGGCTGTACAGGGGATCAAGACTCTGAGTTTGGGGTTGGATGAAGATTGCCAGGTGGAGGCTGTTAGGGGAAGGGTGCTAAGTGAAAATGCTATATAAACTGCATGTTTTTTGCAAGTGGTTGTGGTTCTTCTGCCCAGCCTACTGCCACTGGGCCATGCAGTTCTCCTGCCCAACCTGCTGCCACTGGGCTGTGTAGTTTTTCTGTCCAGCCCACCACCACTGGACCAGCAGTTCTCCTGCCAGCCTGCCACCATTGGATTCTCTCCCCTGTATGTAAACCCCCAATAACCCCATGTCTCAGTTGCTGTCTCTGGGTCTCTTTGGCGTCTTGAACCTGGTGCCATCCTCATTGGAGTTGATAGGGATTTAGCACAATTGGTGAGCTATCCAGAAGGCTGGAGAAAATCCTGTGAGCACCAAGATGGTGGGATCAGGGAAGGGGAATCCACAGGGGAAATTCTGAGCTGACCGTCCATATCTATGTGGGACCTGAAAGCCACTATCCTTGATGGATGGGGTCCAACATGTGAGCACAGGGATGCCCCCAAAATGCTAAAGGATCTGGAAGAGTTGTTGAAGGAGATGGATCTGACTGAGCAAAGGGTCAGATGCCCAAGTGGTGGCAGCTGCAATTGGCTGGCTGCTCTACAGAGTAGCCACTGAAGCTGAGTTCACATTGTAGGCAAGTGTTTGTCAGTTACAGGATGAACTGCAATTAGAAAGAGATGCCAGGTTAGCTCAGGCTGAAACACTGGAGAGCTTACTGTCCTGCCTGCAGGCACAGGATGACAAGATGGAGACCCTGGATTGTCGGGTAGCCCATTTGAACGGTCACCAGCCGCCATATCAATGGGTCTGAGTTATCATGACTAAATCCTCCTGAGACCCTAAGTCCTGAGACCCTATGGAGAGCTCTAGTGGGGAGGAGAGTGAAGACTGGGATGAGCTTTTAGAGGTTCCCATCCCCTCTGTGCATCTGATGGTCACCACTAAGATAAAAGCCGACCCAGTGTGCCCATAGCTGGTAGCCCTGCAAGATTTGCCTCTGCCTGGAAGACCGCAGTGCACCACCATGTGGGACCACACAACTGTGGAATTGGTGGAGCTGGAAAATAGGTTCAGGCAGAAGGGGAGAGAGTTGACTGTGGAGTGGCTTCTCTGTCTCTGGGACATGGAGGCAGAGGGTGTTGTACTCTCCGTAAGTGAAATGGCATCCATTATAGACCACTGGGTCTCGAGGCAGCCCCTCTGTGGTGCTGGTAATGGGGATCAGGTTGTGCCCTTGGTTGGGTGATTGTAGGCTGCAAGGCAGCCTTGCCAAGTAAGGGAGATGCCCCACATCTCCTTTACAATGACAGACTGTGGAAGAATTGCAGGACATCCTCTAGGAATTAGGGATGAAGCATGCTGTCTATGCGGGGCATTACCAAGGTCCCAACAGTGAGCTTTTCAGTGCTGGTATGAAAGACACCATCTTATAGTTGGCACCAGCCAATGGTATGGCACACTAGTGTCTATCCTGAGCCCCTTGGTACGACAGCCAGTGTCTATTGTGGCTCAAGCAGACACTGACTTGGAGGAAATGGTGGGGGGGTACTACATGGGTGAAGGGTACACACTGCTGGAATATAAAGAAAGGAGACAGCCATGGGGCCCATCAGGGTGAGCCAATAACAAATGCGGCACAACCTCTTAGTGGCAGGGACACCTGCTGTGAAAACAGATAAACAGCCGAATGCTGTTCTGGTCAGACTGGGGCAGAAGCTCAAGTTGGAAGAGCTCCACTAAGGAGCCCCAGGTACATCCCACTGCCCCTCCCACAGAGAGATGGCAGGCACCAACCTCTTTAACTAGGATGCAGGCCAAAGCCCCAGGATCCCAATAAGAGCAACGACGACCAGGCTGTCCAGGGACCAGAGGCCACATGTAGAGCTATATTTTGGTCACCTAAAAATAACAGACTGTGCATGCCTCATGGATACAGTGAGCCAAATGCACTCTCATATATGGTGATATAGTTTGGATCTGTGTCCCCACCAAATCTCATGTTGAAATGTAATCCCCAATGTTGTAGGTGGGGCCTTGGGGGAGGTTATTGGATCATGGGAGTGGATTTCTCATGAATGGTTTAGCACCATCCTCTTGGTACTGTCCTTGCGATCATTGAGTTCTCATGGGTTCTCGTTGTTTAAAAGTGTGTGGCACCTGCCCCTCTCCTCTTGCTCCTGCTCTTGCCATGTGAGACATCTCACTCCCTGTTTGCCTTCCACCATGATTGGAAGTTTCCTGAGGCCTCCCCAGAAGCAGAAGCCTCTATGCTTCCTATACTGCTTGCAAAACCATGAGCCAGTTAAACCTCTTTTCCTTATAAATTACCCAGTCTCAGGTATTCCTTTATAGCAATGTGAGAATGGACTAATACATATGGTAACATTCATGTGTTCCAAGGGCCTGTGATAATAATAGATGGTTATGGGGCCGGAGGGCCATGAAAGTCAGACAAGTTGAACTAGTATTACCAGTTGAGAGACTGCCACCAAAACCCTATTTAGTATACATAGCTCCCATTCCAGAATACATCTTCGGAATGGATATCTTGTGAGCCCCCAAACAACTGCCAGGGAACTCCGACTGAGAGTTGGGGTGGTGAAGCATGTGATCAGGGGAACATGAAATAGACACCAGCACAGTTGCCAGCCCCATACAGTAGCCCTGTATGGCTTGTATGGAAGCCTGATGGACACGGAGAATGGCAGTGGATTACTGGAAACTAAATAAGGTGGTCCCCCAGAGTGTATGCAGCTGTTCCTCCTCTGAGTATCATCTCCCTACATATGAGGGTAGGAGAGGAACTTGGCATGTACCATTCTGTTATTGATTTAGCCAGTGCCTTCTTAAGCATTCCCATTGCCCCAGAATCAAAGCCAATTTGCATTCACCCGGGAAAGAGAATAATGGACCTTTACCATCAGCCCCAGGGATATTTAACTTCTGAGTCTTTTTCCAGTTTACAAACTACAGCCCACACTCTGCTGTCTCAATTGGGTTGGTAGTCCCAACCCAAGTATTTGGCTTGGCAGTCAAATACTTGGATGTCATCTTGTTGGGTAAGACTAAAGTCATTCCATCTGCCATTATGGATAGGGTGCAGGTCTACCCATGTTGTAGCACACCAAAGCAGCTGCAAACCTTCCTAGGCCTTCTATGGTATGGGTGTTCTTTTGTTCCCCATTTGGCCCAACGTCTTAGGCCCCCATACCACTTAGTCAAAAAGGGGGCCCACTGTGATGGGTCCACAAGGAAGGATGAGGCCTTGGAATAAGCTAAAGTTGCAGTGAAACACAGGATGCGGGGACTCTTGTGCAGGTACAGCCTTGTGAAATGGACATAGCTGGTTACCCTGAGGGTTTTATGTGGGGCCTGTGGCAAGGGCAAGGAAATGAATATGTGCCTTTAGGATTCTGGTCCCAATTATGGCAGGGGGCTGAAGGTGGATGATAGTGTCATGGAGCAGTGGCTCTGCACTGCATATTGTGCCTTGCAACAGATGGAGGACATTGCAGAGGGGGTCCCAGTGCTGGTGCATGCCCAGTATCCTGTGGCAAGTTGGCTACAGGATACCTTCCAGAGACTGAGGTCTGGGAATGCCCGGATGCAGACTGTGGCCACATGGCATGCATGCCTCCAACAGAGGAGCACATTGACGGGTAGCCCCTTGAGCACTGAGCTCCATTCAATGCTTGGCCCTGTCACCTGTCACCTGAACTGAAGCAGTCTTTGACAGAGTCTGCTGGACCTCCATGGATTCCCTCCTTCATACAGGAGGGACAGGGCCCCATTCCTAACATGGCTTTGCACTGGCCTGGTATTGGAGACAACCTACAACTGCCCTTGCCTCAGGACCTATCGTCTAGGGAGCATATCATTATGTGGCTCTGGAAATGACAAATTAGCCCACGATGGTTCACTTTTCCCACTCCTTGGGGGAAGGGCCTGGAACAGGATACACAAATCACACCTATTTTGCACCCTATTCCCTCTTGTACTTCTGGAATGGTGAGTCCTGGTCCTTCCTTGGGCAAGGGGATGATTACCCTCTTACTGTGAAACATTGGGTGCCATTGCTCCGGCCTTCCACCACATGTCACAGATGGGAGCCAATCCACTGATGTAAACCAGGCACCAGGCCATTGCCAAGGGCAGTGCTCTCTCAATGCCACGACTTCCTGTGTCTTGTTAAATGGTCATGACTTGCCCTTTTTTGTACCCACTAAACATCTCATCTTCTGCCCATAGATGATGTGCAGCAAACCTCTTCACCAACTGGACACAGATGGTGGCCTCTCTCCAGAACAAAACAGACTGTTGGGTCTGTGGAGAGCTGACCCCTCTCCTCCACAGTGGGACTGCTATGGGCATCCAGGTTCAATTCCCAGCACACGGAAGGACTTTTTGTTTCTGTAGTTTGTATTGCAGCATGGCATCTGGCTGCAATGTTCCTCTGCATGCCTGGTCCCAGGGAAATTGCAGAAAAATAGATGATAAGAACATGAGGGCCACTCAAGGGCATTTTGGGGTGGAGCATACAATAAATTCACCTGGCAACAGTGACTCGAGCATACCCTGAGAGTGACCCTGTATGGCAGACGCACCTGAATGTGTGTTCAGAGAATAATTCCTTATCTATGAAAAACATCTGAGCCCCCAGCCCAGCCTGTGAAACACTGGCCTTACAGGGCATTCAGGCCCTGAGTTTGGGGTTAAATGAAAATTGCCAGGTGGAGGTTTTTAGGGGGAGGGTACAAAGTGGAAATACTGTATAAACTGCATGCTTTTTGCAAGTGGATGTGGTTCTTCTGCACAGATCTCCACCGCTGCACTCTCCCCTGTATGTAAGCCCCCAGTAAAACCACACGTCTCGTTTGCTGGCTCTGGGTCCCTTCTTTGGCTTCTTAAACCTGGTGCCATCCCCACTGAGGTTTATAGGGATTTAGCACAACAAGGCCTGGACTTTTCAGGGTGACCTCAGCCCATCTAGCATAGATGCAAATGCCACCATAACATGAGAATGGACTCAGCCTCCCCAGGCTGATGTCTTGAATCAGGGGAAAAAGCTGAAGTCTTCGTGTCTTCATAAACAACAAGTGTGGACTGGCCTCAAATCATACTACCTTTTGGGTGAATATCTAGAGTGTCAAAAGAAGAATCACTTGCTTTGCTTCGTTTTGTTTGTCCTTCCTTCTGAGATGCCTCTACTCTCACAACTGTTATTTAAGCTCAGAAATAGAAAGAATCTTTCTTAAGTTCCTCTCTTCTTTCCCACCTCGATTCCTAACTGGTAAGTTTCATGAGGTCTCTGCTTACCCCTACACACAAGGAGCCACTGCTCTGAAAGGGCCCAGGGCTGTCCTGCCTAAGTCTCTCTTCTCTTCCATATCCTCATTTATCCTTTGATGCTAATGGAGCAATCAGGATTGGAGAAATATTTTATATAAGGGTATCTAGTGTAGCATTCACTTATACCAGCAAAACCCAGAAATAACATAAACATTTATCATTGGAAGAGTAGGTAATTAATTATGGTACTTCAATAACATGAAACATTAAGTAAATTTTAAATAAACGTATATAATGGCACAGAGAAATGTTCCTAATCTAATGTTATGTGGGGAAAATAATCAGATACAAACTGATGAACCAGTTATATAACTATATGTATAAATGTGTATACATGGAGAAACGACTAGAAAAAAATAAGGGTAATAATAGTTAACTTTCTTTTCTTTGTTTTTTTTTTTGAGACAGAGTCTCACTCTGTCCCCCAGGCTGGAGTGCAGTGGCACGATCTTGGCTCACGGCAACCTCTGCCGCCGAGGTTCAAGCAATTCTCCTGCCTCAGCCTCCCAAGTAGCTGGGATTACAGGCGCCTGCCACTGCACCAGGCTCATTTTTGTAGTTTTAGTAGAGACACGGTTTCACCATCTTGGCCAGGCTGGTCTTGCACTCCTGACCTCGTGATCCACCCGCCTCAGCCTCCCAAAGCGCTGGGATTACAGGCGTGAGCCATTGCGCCTGGCCCAGTTAACTTTCAGTAGTCAGACTTTGTGGGGGTTGGTTTCTTGTTCACACTTTTTGTAGTTTTCCAAATTTTCTACATGAAACATAGTATTTTATAATTATACAAAAAGCAGCACACATTGAGAAGTTGTGTGTATATCAGTCATGGTTTGTGATAAGAAAATAAACATCTCAATAGGTCAGTGGTTCTCAGACTCTAGTTTACATCGGAATTGCCCGGAGGGCTTGTTAACCTGGATTGCTTGGCACTGTCCCTAGGGCTTTTGATTCAGTAGGTCTGGTATGGGGCCCAAGAATGTGCATTTCTAACAGGTTCTCGGATGATGATGATGATGATGATGATGATGATAATGCTGGTCCAGGGCCAGTCTTTGAGAACCACTACTCTAAGTATTTTATGCAAAAAGGTTGACTTTTAAGCAATGCAGGAAGAAGATAAAATGTGAGCAAAATTATTGGCTGTGCTACAGGAAGGTAATTTAGAGGAGGTGCCACTAGTTTTCAGATTACACCACTGTACCTGAAACTTGTAACCTGTAACCTCATGATCCAGAGATTATAAAGTTGGGACATACTAATATCCCAGGGTCAGAAAACTGCAGGAAACTTCTGCTGGCTTTGTAGCTGCCTCTTGGCCCTGAAGTTGTGACTGACAGTAGAATGCGAAGTCTGCTACAAAAACTCATATCCAGCACAGCTGATATTTCTGCCATACCTCTTTCTGCCAGAGGAAGAAGACCCTATTCTCTGCCTTCCTGGAATCAAGGAAGCCTGAGAAATATGAACTCCAGGTTTCCAGCCCCTGAGATATGAAGAAGGGTATATGTGCAATTGCAAATGAATGCTGATTGACAAGAAACAATATCTAGCAGAGAGGAAGACAGAAACAGAGAGAGAAAGGGAAGAGAATGGAAAGGAAAGGAAAGAGAAGAAAAAGAAGGGAAAGAAAGAGAAGAGAGCTAAGGGGGGAACAGGAGAGAGAGAGAGGAAAGAAGTGCATATCACATATGGGTGCAGAATTCCGTGAAATCACCAGTTTCAATGGGAACTGACAGGGTTTAGGGTTGGTGTGGGGAACAAGCCAGTGGTTGCATCAGGCTAACAGCACCACAGAATTCATTCAGTTCTACAGGCAAAAAGGTGCACTGGAATCTGATCCAAAATATGTTAACAGAGAGGTCAACATTAGCTTGGACCAGGACAAGACAAACATTCTCGCCTGAAATTTGTGATTGGAGTAACGAAGTTTTGTGATTCCTCCTGTTAATTTCCATCCTAGGCCTAAAGCGATACAGTTTAGGTAGGGAGATAAAAAACGCTCTTACAACTATAAAACACTACATAAATGTAGAGAACCATCATCTTTCTTTTTTACTTTAAGGTGGCCATCTAAGAACAGCTACTGAATTATCTGAAAAGCAGGGACAGGACTTCTTCCTAAAAGCCTCTGAGAAGCTGAAAAAGGCAAAGGAAGGCAGGAAGGTCTTGGATTCCCTTGGCCTCCTCCTCATCCCTTGCAGTTGTCTCCGTGGAGAGTCTTGCTTTGCTGCACAGCCACCCATAGGAAGAGCTGTGCCACACCACAGGCTGATTGGAATTGCTCTGTAACTCTACACTGATGGGCAGTAAACCCTGTTTCTCTTTTTTCTTCAGAGCAGCCCATTGAAGTAATGGGTCCTCAAACGGATGAGCAGGAAGCTTCCGGTCAGGATTCTCAGGGCAGCTTAGGGCTGGGGAACCACGTTCTGACAAGCATCGAGGTATGGGAATGCCTGGGAAATTAGGTGAGATATGAAGAACAAAAGAACAAGAGGAAGCCTGGAGTGTTCTCAAAGAAAGCAGGACAGGAAGTTCTCAAAGCCAAACGATGGAGCAGGTGGAATGTTCCCTTACATGATTGAGCAAGGAGACAGATTCAGGCTTGGGGAGGATGGCAGTGGGATTCTCAGGTGCATTCCCCTAGGTGTTTCTCCATGCTGCCCACCTTCTGCTCTCTCCAGCATCGGTGATTCAGGCTAACTCCCACTTTTGAAGCCAGAGGTCTGCTGAAGCTAACGAGGCAATGGTAATGACTGAAGAGGACTGTGATGAGCAGGGCCAATTGCCCAGGGCTCAGGGCAGTCTGCAGCCTCTCCTGTGGCAGTCCCCACCCATTTGGCATCATGGAAACACCAGCACCTTACAGCCTTTCTCTGGGCAAGGCAGCACCTCAACCTGCCAGAGACTCCCCAGAAAGCTACCCTTCTCTCTTTCACACCTTGCTTTGCTGTTGTCATTTGCTTTACTTTGCTTTGTTTACTGAATGGCCCTTGCTGGTCTCCAGCAGCAAAGCAAGGCCGTTCTCCTCCACTCCCCCTGCTCCTTCCACCCCTCACCCCCAGGCAAACAAGGACCACGTCTGCATGTCTGCCCTCTGCCAAGGTCAAGGATGCTGATGAGACCTTAGGATCAGCCCTGTCTTATCTCCCCTGCTTTCCCTAGCTGAGCAGGGAGGTCAGACCTCACACTGCTGAGGAGGCCCAGGTTGGGTGGCACATTCTTTTTTTTCTCTGACTCTTGTCCATGGCTTATGGACTCTGGATTGCCTTTCCTCAAAAGAGAGTGGTAACAAGTGCAACTTGGGTATAAACTTTGGGAAGGAAAAGCAAAAGCAAACTTTTCAGACCTCTATGGGTCCGACCACCACATTCCTCATGACCCTTCTCCTCTGGACTTAGGGGCCACAGCCCCAGGGAATACTGGACTGCTCTCCTGCTTTGCTGAGCCCCTTGGGATGTCTCAGGTGCACATGGCAACTGAGCATCAACTTGAGAGCTGTCTTCCGGCCATGGGGCTTTACATGAAAGCATCCATTGCCACTGAACTTGCAATTCTGACCACTCACTCAAGGCAACAAGTGACTTTTGATGTCATCCTGAAGAAATGTGCCCTTTCCTGCCAGCCCTTGAAGCAGTCAATCTCCCATCCTGCGTATTGTTTTTGTGGCCAAAAACTGCATTGCTTATCACACATGATTGATCGGATAAAAATTATGAGCAAAACATTCTGCTAGCTTTTCCTTGTCCTGTCATCTGGTAGAAAGAGATTTTTCCTGAAGCAAGTCAGTACCTTTTCTTTCCAGAAGTGGTGAGGTTGCTGCCTTCCTCACCCGGACACCTGGAGGGTTTTCCAGGGCTGGTGTTTTTAGACAACAGCATTCACAGCATGTCTTACAGATTTTGAAAAGGCTACAGGGTAGTATACCATCTATCTAGACATTTAAAAGGCATTTAAAAACGCCAAATGTCTGTTCTCTGGCTGGTCAGGTGAGCTTCTTTCTATGCTTCATTTCCAGAGGGTTCCTGTGGAAGCCACCAGCACATTGAGAGAAGGGAAAATGTGGTTATTCTGCATCCATTTTACTGCAAGGAGATCGGGGCTGACGTGGCTGGCCAATTCACAACCTGTCTCTAATGTATTCCCATTTGAGAAACTGATCATGGACAGCTAAGTGAAATGTGATTGCAATATATGATATGCTCCCAGGAAAAACCGAGAGTAGATGAGAGAGGTTCAAGCAGCAAACAGCTCCAGGGGAAGCCCGAGAGTGGGAAAGAACTTTTCTGCTGAACGAGGCTCTTACATCTCATTTGCAGTGGGTTAAGCTGTTTCCAGGATGCCATTTTCTGTCTCTGATAATGTGTGTGTTTTGTTATATTAGCCCAACATTTGGCAAATGGTTTCCAAGTCCAAACATTTGGTATTATTTTATGCTAGGTGAACGTGGCGCTCTAGGCAGGCTCAGGCTTGATTCAGAAATCTGGCTATGAGTGTGCAATAATTTGTCTGGATTGTTTTATTTCACAGCCAGGCTGTCCTTGAAATGCTTAATGCATAAAGAGGGAGAGCTGCTATTTGTTTTAGTAGCCCACAGTCGAGGAAAGAAAGTGGGATTGAAAAAAGGCACATGTCTTTCTTGCCAAAGACCTGGATGGCCTAGCTTGGTTTCTCCCAGGTTGCCCCCAGTTTTGGCCTGATAACCTCAGTCATATAAAAGTTGATAGGCATTGACTAATACCGAGAGATACAAAGTAGCTATAGAGTATAACTAAGGAAAGGTTGTTATTATAACTAAGTCCAGTTACTATGTATAACTAGACTATACATAATAGACTAGTTAGAGAACTGAAGCATGTAAATAGGGTGCCATGAGGAATAGTACCAATATTTTAATCAAGCATGTAATTAATCAGCAACTATTGATTGCATCAATCCATTATTTTTTCAAAAATGTGAATTGAGTGTCTTCAGCACCATGCCAGGTGCTGGGAATACATCAGTGAATTAGACACTAGCCTGTCCTCAAGGAGGTCACAGTCCAATTGGAGAATCTTAGAAGTAAATCAACAATCACAGTACACAAAGACAAGGGCCAAGATGGAAAGTCCAGGCAGCTGGAGGAGTATGAAGAAGGGTTCCTAACTCAGTTGTGGGGGAGAAGAATGACAGAGTCAGAGAATACTTCCCAGGCCAGACAATATCTACTGAGTACTGAAGGGCAGACGATAACCAGATGGTAGCTAAGCACCAGGTATCAATTAGGTTCACGACCTACTCTGGTGCAAAGAACTAACTGGAAGCAGAAGATGAACACAGGATGTGTGGTTTAGTGCTGTTGGGATTCAGAATTGAGCAAGAGTCAGAATTTCCAGAGGATTTGATGTGGGTCCAAGAAGATTGAAAAGGTTCATCCAGGTAGGCAGAAGAGAAGAAGGCCCTCTATGAAGGAAACAAATTTACAGGAATGAGAAATGGGATGCTTAGAGGTCAATAAATGTTCATTGAAGAGTACATGGTTCTGTAGGAAAAACAAAGTCATCTATGACACGCTTCTACCCCCAAGAGCAAGAGTCAATAAACTTTTCCATAACGTGTCAGATAGTAAACATTTTAGCTTTATGGATCATACAGAATTAGTCCACAGGCTATGGTTTGCCAACCTCTGCTCTACAGGCTCACACTCTTATTGGGAACACAAAATAGAGATACAAAAAATGTCTAAAGCCAAATGATCTTGCCCGGAGTCTTGGAAGATTAGTCTAGTAACAAGGCCTGGGTCAGGTTGTGGAGAGCTTTGTACGTCAAACTCAGTGTTTGGAAGTCAGCTGGTAAGCAGTGAGGCACCATTGATGGCTTTCAGCAAAGGACTGTTTTTTGGAAGATCAATTTTGCAACAAGATGCAGAATGGATGAAAGCATAGAGAGCCTGGAGGCAGGGAAACTTGTAAGAACTCTGAAGTGGTACTCAAAGCATCAAGTGAGAACTCAGATTCTGCAGGTAGTCGGGGAATGGAATGGGAAGTACAGGGTGAGAGATATGTCATAGTTTGATGACCGGATATGAGGTCTGAAGGAAGGAAGGAAACAAAGATTCTTTGGGTGGCTAAATGGTGGTGCTGAATGAACAGATACAAACATTTGGGAAAGGAACATTGTATGAAGGGACAATTCATTTATCTCAATGTATGTTACTTTAGAATTGATAGTGGTACACCCACATGAAACTGTTCATCTAAAATACTAGGAGAGCTCATCAGTGTGGCCAGTACTGCAAACTAGAATTGTGGGCCATGCATGAAAAATCAATAGCAACAAAAGTAAGAAGGTTAGTAACAATGGACACTCATGGACAGCCGTTATCCTGCCAGGTATCGATTTAGACATATTACAATGGATTATCTCCTTTAGTCACCCCTACAGTACTCTGAGGCATATATTATTATCCTTATCTTACAGATATGGAGATTGAGCCTTAGAGAGGTAAAGTGATTTGCCCAAAGTCACACAGTTAATAAGGTGTCACACCACAACTAGAAGTCATGTGTGTCTGCCTTGGAAGGCTGAGCTCACAACATCAAACCTCAGCCTCTTGGTTCAGGGGATTTCCTTCCTGCGTGCAGTTTTCTTTCCTCTCCACTAGCCTGTTGAACTCAGAGCCTGTGTTCACTCTTGGTTTCCCAATGCATATGGAAAAATACCCTCTTTCTTCACTAAATTAACCAAAACCCCCCATGGTGCTACTCACACACCTACTCATCCTTTGCAGGTCTGACTTCTCTCCTGGAGGCTCCCTCACTCTCTTCTGCCAGAAATGAGACCCGGGGAAAAACAGCGGTATCATCTATATCCCTGCTGTACGTGAGGTCACTGAATTCCCCTGATCAGTCCCTCTCTCACAGCTTAGCATCTAGACTTCACGGTCATGGCCTCTTCCCCTCACCTTGTCTGGCAGCAGGGCCGGTTCACACCTTGCATGTGTTCCTTCATGTTTTAGCTCCCAGAGGTAGATGGCAAAATAACCACAACCCTTCTTCTTCCTGCAACCATGCCCTTGAAACATGACCCTGAAGCCCCTTTCATCAAGAGGTAGAGTCTGTTTCCCTTCACTTTGGGTCCAGGCTCGCCTTGTGACCTGCTTTGACCATTAAAATATGATGGAGTCATATTTTGCCCATTCCAAGCCTAGGCTTTAAGATTTCTTACACACATTCACTCTCTTTCGAGACCCCTATGTCTGCCTGGGCTAGCCTGCTGTGGGAAAAGAAGCTATTCGGAGCAGAGAGGCATAGCTCATTGTCCCAGCCAAAGCCTGAGACATGAGAGAGCCCAGCCAAGATGAACACAACCACCCATCCACCCAACACACCAACACCACTGACTGTGGGTGCCTGACAGAGCAAGCTGTGCCCAGACTAAATTGATGACTTACAGAATCTTGAGCTAAACAAATGGTTGTTCATCTTTTTTAAACTACTAAGTTTAGAGATTTCATAGCGGTATCTAATACACTACCCTTTTCTCACTAAGATATCAACAATATCTACATTTGAGTAGCAATCAGCTAACTGCATTTTATTCTAGAACTTCCTGTACTGCACATATTGGAGGACTCAGTCACCGACTTGCCTGTGGTTGCTATGAGTCGCCTACAGAACTGAAAATGGGAAGCAGAACTAGGCTGGTTGTACTCCTAACCACAAGGACACTCTCCTCCTCAAATGAAAAGGCTCTAATTAAAAGGCAGGAAAGATCAGGTATCTCTGGAGTTCACTTTTAAAATTGTCAAAAAAAACCTCAAAGTCGCTTTGCTTCTGACTATCCATACATTGGAAGACTAATTAACTATGACAAGCTGACCAGTGGAGACCATTTTCATAAGGATGACACGATGATGGATGGGTGCATGCTGTTACAATGTCATTGCTAAAAAAGACGTGATGAGTCCAAGTTCCAATTACTAAGATTCATATACAATACAGAGGTCTTTTTCAAGCCACAGAACCCCATTGCAACAGGCTGACGTGTCGTCTTTTCTGTATTTAAGAGACACATTCATGGGCCGGTGACATACTGAGCTATGCATGCTAGGCCTTCTCTGCATCTGGCAGCTGGAACGAGACACAACTAAGTCTTGTTGCTTCAGGGCTTTGGGTACCAAATGAGGCATTAGCACAATAGAAACACCCAACCCAGAGCAATGTTTTCCCATCTTCAGACTTGGAGGCCAAGAGGCAATAGCAAGGACATTATGTAGATATTTATACAACCATTTAAAACATAACCACTCAAAAATGTCAAAACCATTCTTAGCTTACTGGCTGTAAAAAGTAGGCAGCTGGCTGGATTGGGCCCACGGGCTATAGTTTGCCAACCCTTGCCTTAAATAAACAAACTTGTTAGATTTCTCACTAGTGTTATATTTCTGCAGCTAAAGTTCTCTTAGTTACAGAAAATTTCTCTTAGGTACAGAAAATCTGGTCACAAGAAGTTTGAAAAATAAATTAACATAAAATTATATACAGTCACATATTACTAAGATATGTAACGTATTATATTAGTATATGTTATTATAATATACAATTTTATATTATAATAACATATGATATATATTAATATATTACTTGTATTAAATTAATATATGGATATAATAATATATTAATATATAAATATGCTAATATATTTTATATCAATATAAAATATACTATAGTAATCAATTATATACAGTAATATATTAATTATTATTTGTTTCAGCTAAAGTCACAAACTGTTTTCTTTCCTTCACACAAAAGCTAAAGCTCCCTTATATGGTTCCGGATGTTTCCACTAACTCACGGCTTACCTAAATCTCTCAGTTTTGTAAAACAAAAAATACTCCCTTGTTTTACAAAACGGGGAGATTTGTCTAAAAAAAGCAGCAAACAAACACTGATTTCATTATTGGAGGTGGATGGAAGGAAGAATTTTGCAGTCTCCTATTTTTGTCATCTGTTGATCTAAATGTCTTTTCTGTAAGAAAGTTGAATACTCTGTGACACTAACATTTCGAATTTAAAATTTTTACTTGGGAATACATTCACATGATTCAAGAATCAAATCCATATAAAGAAATATCTTCTAAGAAATCCTGCTTTTCCTCCATTGCCATCCACCCTGTAGATAATCCGGTATGTGTTTCCAGGGCAGTTCCTGTTTGCCCCCTTTTATTTTCCAAAGGTAGCCTATTGTGCATGCTGTGTTGTACTTCCCTCTTTTTTCGTTTAACTTAGGATCTGTCCTGGAAATCTTTCCATATCAGTACATAGAGATGTGGGGATGGATCTAAGAGAATTGAAATTAAGCAGATTTATGTTATAAGCAGTTTATTGAGATATTTTAACTCTATAGGGGTACAGAATTGAAATAATGTTGTTTTCTAAACTGTCTCTAATTCTGCTGAATCCAATCCCTTTTTTGCACTGGGTAGTGGCTCCCTCAACATTTCAACCTGACTCCAAAACTTGACAATTACTTCTGTTTATTAAAACAGTCATTTTCAGTTTTTAAGAGTGGTTTAAACACTTATTCCACACACTGTCCCACGGGCCGGATTTAAGTCTCTTGAGGCTTGGCATGGAGCAGTCGTTGGGTGGCAGGGGTGGGGTGTCTGTACTCACACTCTCCCCCTTTCCCTTCAGTGTTGGGGTAAGAACGGGGACAGGGAGGGAGGACTTTCTCCTTCTGTTGTTGCTATGGAGAAGCTGAGGCCCTCCTTTGGGGCCAGTCACTAGCTGCTCATCTGGCTCACTGCCTGTGGGCTTCACAGAGACAGGTGGTGGTGGCTCTATCTCTTATAGGCAGTGGTGGTATGTATGATTAAGGATAAAATGATGTTATAAGTAGCAGAAAATCCAAACAATCATGGCTTAAGTAAGAAAGAGGTAATGAGAAGTCTGGGGCTATTACGATGGCTTCACAATGTTGTCATTGACTTAAGCTCGTTCTGGCTTGTTGCTCTGTCATCCTAGGGTAGCGCTCTCATCCTCATTCTCACAAAATAGCTGCCAGAGCTCCAGCTATCTCATCCAAGTTACAAGAAATAAGGAAATAAGGAAGAGCGAAAAGAGCTAAAGGAGGAAAGAATATTGTCCATCACAGGAAAACAAACCTTCTGAGATATCCCCAGCAGGCCTCCCCTCATTGACCTATTTTACTTGAACAACCTGAGCTGCAACTAGGCAATGCGATTTTTAGCCAGGCATTTTAGCCAGCAACGTTTTCTCCAATAGAATTGGACTTCTCTTCATAAAGTAGAAGGTGAGAGTGGCTGTTCAGTACCTAACACACCACCTTTGCCATATGGTTCCTTGCAAGATTCAGCCACATTTTCCAGTGAACCACCAGCACGTGACCTCACAGTACGCTGCTGGCCGTGCCTCTTGCAAAATTGTAACCATCAAGTTCATCCACCCTCTACCACCCCCACCTCCAGAATCTACTGGTGTGTGTGGTGTGTGCAGGATCTACCTTCAGTCCTCCTCGGACACCAGAAACCGCAGAGCATGCCCTTGTCCCTTGTCTGCCTGGCCATCCTGCTATTCCAGCCCTCTCTCGCCTGCCTCTTCCTCCAAGTGCCCCCTACAGTGCCAGGCACCCTACCCTTCTGGAGGTCGGCAGTTTGCAAACAACTTAATGAAGGGGGATAATTGGGGCAGCCCAATCTTTATGAGGGGCCCATTCAGGAATCACTCTCCTCTCAGCAGCACTGCACTTCCCCATCAAGACACCTGCCTTCAACCCAAGTTCTCATAGATTACCAGAGGGCTGGATAGTAGTACTGTGACTATAACCAGTCACATTCGAGGGTGGTTTCCTGAACTTAGTTTGTCATCAATTTAGAGCCTTTTATTCTGAGTCTTAGGCTTTAGATGAAACTCTGGAGTGACCAGAAAATTCCCCTTGTCTCCCAAACATGCCCTATTATACTTTGTGTGGACTTTTTCACACCCATCTGCTCCCCACAAAAGATGCTCCCTCACCTCCCTGATGGTGCAGTTCTAGGGTTAATGGACTATTCTGACCTTCAAGCCCCATTATTTTTTTCACAAGTATTTATAACTACAGATGCATCAGCCATAAATGTACATCCCAACCACCTCAAATCAGAGGGAAGCTGTGTGGCAAAGCTCAAGTCCAGTTAATGGGTTTGAAACAGTTGTTGGGCTTCGAGCCTCATTGCTTCTATCCTTTTAAAAAGCTTTAGGGTAGTAAGTCATACCAGAGGAGATGCTGTAATCCATGTCACAGATAAAATGCCTAGTTTATTTTTTCTTATGTTCTGAACTTTATTTAATGCATAGGGGCTTTGGGAGCTTCGAGAGGGAACCGGGGTGTATGTGTAAGTGCTGGGTGAAGCTAAGAGAAAAGAAAGAAGAATCTCAAGTAGTCTTTTCATCATCAAAACTCCTGCCTCTGCAGGCTCCCTCTTTCATCCTATTGGCTGTTACCTTCCCCCAACTTCCTCCAGGGACAGATCATTCCCTTAAGCTCAGACTTTCATTCTTCAACTACCATAGCAATTTGGGTTGTTTTTATCGTGAGTTCCACAAGTGAGCAACATTTGCAGCCTTGCCTAGGAGACCTAGGTAGTACCAGGAGGGACTGATTCTACAAAGCATGCTTGGCCAGAGGCCTTCACAGAGGCAAAGTCCCTTTGGAGACCACATAAGGAGTTCCAGCAGAGGCCAGGCCTGGCTGACCCACCCCTGTTCCTGGGCCCCGGATCCTGGACCAGGCCAGCTCAGCCCTGAGGAGACAGGTCTGGAGAAATGTCCTGCTCTCTTCCCTGATCCACCTCAGCCCTGGAGACTCCGGGATCAAAACTTATGTCTTGTCTATTACCCCTCCTAGAATGTAAGCTCCATGCATGCAAGGAATTTTGTTTGTTTAATCATCTACTGTAGCCCCAGTGCCTAGAACAATGCTGTCACACAAAAGCAAAATAAATAGTTGTCAGATGAATGACAAATCTAAGGTCTAGATTTATCTGTACACTTTGGGTAGTCTCCATTGTGCCTGCAAAATAATTGTTCTCTTCCATTGAGATCTTTCACAGGGTTCCACAGGCTGTCCCAAATTCCTGGTTGAATGGGCCAAGTAAGAGGCAGGCTAGACTCTCAACAATAGGGTAAGAGGGCACAAGAGGAAGCCAGGCCTGGGCAAAAAAGAGTGTGGGAACATGAAGTTCTGCAGCTGACTTAGGGCTTAGGCCTGGATCCTGGTCACAAGCGGATCAACTGGAGCAAGTTCAGATCTGATGGGTCCCATTAGGGTGTATGCACCAGAGGCATGTCCAGAATCTTACAGAAATTGTGGAGCTGAGTAATACCCTCATTACTTTTCATCTCTGCAGCCAGTGGCCTGGGATGGAGCAGAGACATTGAATGAAGGGTGAAGGCCATTCCCCTCAATCCCACGACATTCACCTCCTCGGCGTGGCTGGGTCACTGGGTTGTTATTGCCTCTCAGGGCATTATACCAAGTCACCTCAGTGCACAGTTTCTTGTTCTAGACAAATAATTCATCTCCTTTTTAAAAAGTGAGGATAATTCAACTCACTGATCAGGCTTCCAGATGAGTCAGTTGGGCACTGAAGATAGTTTCACTATTATACAGAAAGAAAGAGAAGGTGGGGGAAAAAAGACAAGACTGAAAAGAAAGGCTTATGTGGTTTACAGTTTGAAGTATTTCTTTTCTGAACCCTTAGAAAATTTTCCAGTGAGGCTTAGTACAGCAAAGGCTAGAGTAGAAAATGTACTTATCTGAGATCTCGGATGCCGGGCAGCCTAATAAATCCAGGCCTAGGTTAAGATTAACATTGTCTGAAGCCACAGCGTCTTGGTCTAATCTATAGTCATAGGGGTAACCAAACATCTTTCATGTGGATCACTGCTTAGTTTTTAAAAATCGCACAAGTAGGACCAAAGGAAAACTTTAAAGCTGACGTCATTGAACTTTATAAGCTGAAAATCACCTGTCTCTGCTGAATGGAGAAAACGAAGATTTGCATGAACTACCAAAGCAGCACGCAGAGAAACCCCTAGTTTTCCTAAGCAAGACTCATTCTGAGTCCCTAAGAAGCTTCTAGAGTTAGAGTCCAGGATGGGATTTGGGAAAACTGAGGCAGATAATTGTTGATTTAATGGAGGGTAAAAGACTTTGGAATTGATTTTCTCAGTGCTTAAAACCCTGCACTAGCTCCCCGTTATAAATGGAATGTCTGTGTCCCCAGATTTCGTATGTTGAAAATCTAACCCCCAAGATGATGGTATTAGGAGCCGGGGACTTTGGAAGGTGATTAGACTTAGATGAGGTCAGGAGGATGAGGCCCTTGTGATGGAGTTAGCATCCTTGTAAGAAGAAGAGGAGACACCAGAGCTGCTTCTCTTTGCCATGTGAGGACACAGCGAGAGGGCAGCTGACTACAAAGCCAGGAAGAGGCTCCTCACCAGAACCTGACCATGCTGTCACCCTGATCTCAGACTTCCTGGCCTCCAGAACTATAAAAAATAAATGGTTGTTGTTTAAGCCACACAGACTATGGCATTTTGTTATGGCTCCTCGAGCTGACTAAAACAGTCCCTATTTCATTCCCCCATTCCAGAGGCCTAAATCCACCTACAGGTGCTGAATCCTCTCCCCACTTCACCTCCCCCTCATTTTCTCTGTTCTAGCCAACTGACCAGGTATACGCCTACCTCAGGGCCTTTGCACTGACTGCCCCTTCACCTAGAATGCTCTCTTCCAGGTACTCATAAGGCCCAGCTCACTCCCTAACATCTCCCTGGTCTTTCCTCAATGTCACCTTCTCTGTAAAAGCTTCCTTTGCTTTATTTAAGATCACAGCAGTTACCTCACATTGCCTGCCCTCTCCTCTGCTTTCTTTCTTTCCATAGCATTTATATCTTTTTCTCACTTCATCGTTTTTATTGTCTATCTTCTCCCTACCAGATCATAATATTCATAAGAACAAGTATTTTTGTGTTTACTGCTATAACCCTAGCACTTAGAACAGTGCCTGGTACATAAGCCCTCAATAATCTTTTTTATTGAATGAATGATTCAATCAATTCTAAACATACCTAAATCTAAGGTCTAGATTTATCTGTACACTTTGGGTAGTCTCCATTGTGCCTGCAAAATAATTGTTCTCTTCCACTGAGATCTTGCACAGGGTTCCACAGGCTGTCCCAAGTTGCTGGTTGAATGGGCCAGGTGAGAGGCAGGCTAGACTCTCAACAACAGGGCAAGTGGGCACAAGAGGAAGCCAGGCCTGGGCGAGAAAGAGTGTGGGGAAATGAATGGGGCCACAGAGATCACCTCCAGAGAGGACAGCAGGCATCTCAGATGGCATCGTACTCCCAGTTATCCTGTGCATCCCAATAGGATTCCTTGCACAGCAGCAAGGAATTCAGATGTCAATCAAATATTCAGGCAAGCTGTGGGCTTACTTCCAGAAAATCTGTCCATGTTGGACAGGACTCTAGCCTGGGGCTCAAGGGCAGAATTCGGCCCTTAGGGGAGGAAATTGGCCAGAAGGATGGATGGTATCAAAGCCTTAGACAGACAGTCCTAGAAGAGTATAGACAGTGAAGAAATTAAGAGACTCCAAAGTAGTTCACCCCAGGACCTAGGATGGAGCATGTCACCTGTGGGGAGGGCACCTAGGGATGGGGTAAGGACGGGAGAAACCCCTTAGCTGGCCCTCTGGCCCATTGGTCTGAGAATGAGAAGTGGCCACTTCTTTTGGTCTTGCTTGCTCAGGAAGTAAAATAGATCTGAGCCTGGGAGTGCAGACAGCCCATGGATTTGGCTGTGAGAAGCTGGGAAAGGCAGAGGAAAGGAAAGGAACCGGGGCTGCTGATACCACTATGGTTGTTCTAATATTATTATCATCTTGTCCCTAAGGAGGGCTTAAGGAATTGCACTTCTGTTCTCAAGAGTTGCTTCCTAACAGCACTCTCGTCATTTAGCTTTTCTTCTCTATTCCTGGTGCTCTATTCTGTTCGATGGATGAATTTAAATTCACTATTTTAAATACCGTTGCTTTAATGAAAGCTTATCCAGGGTCCAGAGGACTTAACAGCCCCCCAGAGTCACAGCTAACATTCCATTCAGAGCTCAAGCCAGCGGTAGATTAATTAATTCTGCCTTTAAACAAGAGAAAGAAAAACCCTCGCCTTTCTTTTAGAACCACGATAAACTACTTCTTTATTTTTTGTCGGTTTTATCAACCTTTTTTTTTTTAAGAGCTGGGCTCAGCTTTATTGGTTTTTTCTGTGCCCTTTCAAGTCAAAAGAACTTTTATTAACACTGTTCCTTACCTGTTAAGCACCTGGGCTTCTGAATAGGATCTCCCTGGAAAGCCCTGAGTGATAGATAGCATCCCCGTGCTGTGCTGGATTTGCACTTGGCTGCCTCAGCCGGGGAGCCTGTTCTTACAGATGCCACAGGGCCCCAGAGACTTCTGTATTGATAAAGGTACAGATGTTTGGAAAGTGACTGACAAAGGACAGAAGGGAAAACACTACCCAGGGCTTGGCTTCTTTCATACCACTTTGTGCTGCCCAGCTTGGATCTGCTTCCTAATTCGGGGCCGATCAGAAGAACAAACTGCTTTAATCAAATTTATTCTACTGCTTCCCGATGCCCTGCTCCAATGAGCTCATCCAGAGCGGCTTCTGCCCGAAGATCTCCAAGCTGCTCACAAATGCCAGGTCATTCTCATAATGCTCTTTCTCTCCCTGCCCTGCCCAGCTCCTCTCCTAAGGAGCTCTGTATTGTTTTCTGAGGAAGAAGACATAGTCTCAACTGGTCATTGCTTTTCTTAAGTCACCAAAATGTAACAGGGCCTGGACATCAGTCCTTGTTCAACCCAGGTCCTGGGGACCAGCTAGGCCGGCTGCTCCTGCCCCTCCTTGATGCCTTCACTGCAGCCAGAGCCAAATTCCCCTAGTGTAGGCCTGAGTCCCTCTGAGCCCAATCCTAGGATGGACTCTTGATTTCTTGATTTCTTCTCTGTCCCTATTCTTCTAGAACTGCATATCTAAGGCCTTGATACCTTCCAGGTGCTGGTCAATTTCCTTACCTGAGAACCAGATTCTGTCCTTAACCACAAAACACTGTGATTCTGGCCTCCCTGAAGCAACTGGCCTCATCACAGCCCTCACCCTTTGGTCAATCTGCAGCAGCCACGCTTGGGGTACGTTCCCCAACTGTGCTTCTGCATCCAGTCCCCTTCCCCCTGGCCATGGCAGAAAGAAACACTGAGCTGTGCAGCCTGGCACCCATTGTCATCTTGGACCTGCCTGGCCACTGGATCTCCTGGGATGGCACCTGCTGGGAACAGCTCTTCCTGAAGAGATGTTTCTGCTACTTAGCCTCCCAGGACAGAATTCTTGTCTTTCTTAATTCTTTTTTCTGAGCAAGCCAGAGCCAATTCCCAACCACCATATCTCTGTTGCAACTCTGCACTGCTTTTCAAGGTGGATTTTATGGCTGTTCACAGCAGAGACTGCTCCCAGCTCTGTTTTCTGTCCTATCCCCCAAAGAGCCAGGCTTGACAAAGTAATTCTGAACAGCTCCCACCAGCAGGAAGAACATCAGCAGTTCAGACACGATACAATAAAAACCACCAGCTTGTTTTCTCACCAGTCGCCTTGTAACTAAGTGCTAATGGTGTCTTCTGTTGAATTGATTAGGTCTGTTGGCTGGGTTTCTAATACCCTGGCCGATCTGCAATTATAGAATACCCGCTGCTTTTTCCGTCTTCTTACCTAATCATAACATAGCTTCTTAAGGCAAGGTAGGACATTTCCACCCACTCCTTTGTTTGGAATGAAGAAACCCAGGCATTTCACGTAAAAAGCCCATGGCAGAATTGAGCCAATGACATTCCAAGGTTCACCAGAGCACTTTACCCACAGTCCTCTGCCATCAGCCTACTTTAGTCAATTACAGTAAACAAGCCAATTTCCCTGCCCCTTGCAGAGACCCCTCAGAGCATTGTATGACCTCACCATCATGCAGCCAGGGGGACTTGTTCCCTGCCCTCAAAGCTGGCCAGTAACCGATGCAGTGGCCTGGAATGAAAATTTTGCCAAGTAACGACAAGGAGTTTGAACTCAAAATATACAAAGGGGCCAGGTGCAGTAGCTCACACCTGTAACCCCAGTGCTTTGAGAGGCTGAGGCAGGAGGATCACTTGAGCCCAGGAGTTTGAGGCTGCAGTGAGCTATGATCAAGCCACTCAGCTCCAGCCTGGGTGACAGAGTGAGACTCTGTCTCTTAAAAAGAGAGACAGAGAGTAAAGAATATACAGACCATCCTGGCCAACATGGTGAAACCCTGTCTCTACTAAAAATACAAAAATTAGCTGGACATGGTGGTGCATGCCTATAGTCCCAGCTACTCAGGAAACTAAGGCAGGAGAATCACTTGAACCCAGGAGGTGGAGGTTGAGGTGAGCTGAGATCGCACCACTACACTCCAGCCTGGCGACAGAGTAAAACTCTGTCTAAAAAAAAAAAAAAAAAAAAAATTAAATATATATATATATACACACACAAAGGTAGGATCAGTTTTCTTCAGGAGCTGCAGAGACTGTGGAAGCAGGGACAGAGGAACTAAGCACTAAGACTTCATAAAGCAGAGAGCCACTGCAGCAACCCGGCCTGCTGCTACTGCATCCCCTGATACACCTGGCAGCCATGGGATGAACTTCCTGAATGTGCCTACAGTTAAGTTATCAGTGCTTCCTTGAGGCCCTTGGAAGTTTCAGAATTCCTTATTTTTTCATGAATCCTTACCATCAGCCCTCATTATTAAGATAAAACAACCATTGTCACCTGAAAGAACCCAGCAAATATTGGCAATCATGGAAACAATTTGTAATGTCTGCATTTCATTTGCTGATATACTTTTTTTTTTTTTTGAGATGGAGTTTTACTCTCGTTGCCCAGGCTGGAGTGCAGTGGCATGATCTCGGCCCACTGCAACCTCCGCCTCCCCGGGTTCAAGTGATTCTCCTGCCTCAGCCTCCTGAGTAGCTGGGATTACAGGCGCTTGCCACCACGCCCAGCTAATTTTTGTATTTTTAGTAGAGATGGGGTTTCACCATGTTGGCCAGGCTGGTCTTGAACTCCTGACCTCAGGTGATCTGCCCACCTGAGCCTCACAAAGTGCTGGGATTACAGTTGTGAGCCACCACGCCCAGCCCATTTGCTGATATACATTTTATTAGAACCATGGAAGATGTTTGAGAATCATATCAGGGTTTATACTTTTAAAATGTGCAGGTACAGGTCCTGCCAGCCTTCCTGAATTGAATCACAATTGAATAGGTTACTCTGGTTAATATTTGTGGGAGCAGCTAGTACAATGTCTGGAAGCTAGTTAGGAATCCAGTAAATGTGAAACTTTAATTTGGATATTGAAACTGATGATTGGCATATGACAGGAGAAATCTGAGTCAGAGTTTCTGGAGGAAAGATGGTAGAATGGTCCCCGGGGAGCACCTGGCCCAGGTGCCTCAGGCCTCTGAGTGTGGGCACAGCCTCCAGGACGCTATCAACCACAGGACAGGGCATTGGGAAGGGCTGAGGAGCCAGGTTCCAGGTCTCCAGGCAAGATGCGTCTTTAGTCCCTATTGGCTCCTCTGATGATCTATTTTCTCTAGAGCAGGACTGAAACAGAAGCAAGGAAGTGGATGAAGGAGACAGAAACAGACAACATTCAAGAGGTCTAGAGCCCAGGACAGGACATGCCAGAAAAAAGAAAAAAAAAAAAAAGAGCTAGAAGGGGAATGAGGGATGAATGAAAGAAGGATAAGCTAAGCCAGATCTCTGAAGCTCAGTGGGGATAAAAATTCAGACTAGGTTTTAAAGTTGCTTTTGCTTCTTTAGTTCAGAACCAGCAAGCAATGAGTGCAAAGGCTACCCCCATCATAAATACATGTGATGGGGCTGAACTCTGGTTCCTCGGGGTTCAGTGGTCTCACTGGGTTGAGGAGCTCATTGCACAGGCTCCTTGCCTTTAAAGCATATGGCCAGCTACAGGACCACATTAGCCCTGTAGCCCGTAATGTCTTCCTAATCCCACATAAACAAGTTCCTACTCTGCCATGGTTACCTCCATGTCACACTGTTTTTATAGGTCATCAGGCCTATCTGGTGGTCATGGCCCTCCAACAGGTCACAGCTGCCAGAAAGTAACTTGGTCTCTATCCGGGTCCTCTGTCTCCTGCACCCTGTCCCATCATCTCAGTGGGGGGTGGGGGAGTGGAGTGAGGGGGGCGGAATGTCCTGGAGATGACAGTCTCTGAAACTAAGCCTGTGCCAGGAACAGTTTCCCGGCCTTCTCTTCATTTTCCATCACCAACGCAGGTCTGGATGATTTATACAACCCCTTACAGGAAGGGGAGAGGACAATCAACAGTTCTAGGGCTGGATGACTGGTATTTTATATGCATTACCTCATTTAATTTTCACAGACCCTGTAAGAGAAGCGTTATTACATTATCACCCCATATGACAGACAAGGAAACTGAGGTGCTGGGAGATCAAGCAGCTTCCTCAAAATCACAGAGCAAGTAAATGCCTTTAAAACCCAAGATCATCTGATGCCAAATACCAGGCTCTTCCCACAGCACCCCAATGCCCTACAAAATTACCCAGAGCTACCCAAGTTTATAACCTGTAGGTGTCCCCGAACTACACTGGCATTCACATATGTGGCTTAATATTAGATTGTGAGTGTATCTGGTTTATTTCAGATTTTCTTTTTCCATCCTTCCAATTATTCCACTCTGTTTTTTCTTTCTGTCATGCCCCACATACAATCCAGCAGGAAATCCTGTTGGGGCCAGTCTCAATGATTTATCTAGAAGGTCACTCTCTACTGCTACCACCTTGGTCCCAAGCAACCAGCCTCACTCTTCTGAATTCCTGCCATAGGACCCCTGGCCCCAGTGCAGCTACAGATGGATTTGAAACCTAAGTCAGACATGCCACACTGCACTCCCAACACTGCCATGCCTCCCCTGTTCATGCAGAGTCAAGCAAAGTCTCTGATCTGGTCTACAAGGCCTTAGGTGGTCCGGCTCTGTTTTTCTCTGTTGTCTCTTTCTCCCTTGCTCTCTCTACTCCAGCCACATGGGCCTCCTCGGTGCTTCTCAGCACTTTCCCACCTTTGAGCCTTTGCCCTGAGTGCCCCTCCCCCTGCATATCCAGTTGGCCAATTCCTTCACCTCCTCCAGTCTTTGCTCACACATCACCCTTTCCCCGAGGCCTCCCCTGCCTACCTTTCTTAATACATTTCCATTTCCACTTACCCTGCTCCAGTTCTTCTTTCTCACTTATAATCTTGCATCTTACTTATTTACTGTGTTTGTGATGTACATCTGCCTCCCTCCACTAGAATGAATGCTCCATAAAGAAAAAAAATCTTTGTCTGCTTTGGTCACTGATAAATCCCAAGTGCCCTGAACAGAGCCTGACACTTGGTAGGTGTTCACTAACCATTGGTTGAAGGGATAAAACGGATACAAAGCTGACAAGATCCCAAAGTCTTTACGTTCACCTCTCCCTGGGTCTGACTGGGCACAGCTGCAAATCCATTATCCCTAATGTTCACTTCTAGGGCAAGATGCTGGCACATCGTCGACTCCTCTGCTTCTCTGCTTAACTTCTTCTCTCTGGGAGGAAACTTCCTTCTATGTATGTGTCTCAGTGAGCTATCTCAGCCCTCCAGTTCTGTTAGAAATGCAAAGCATTTTGCTCTCACACAGGGGCAGCTCTTAGTTCTCTCCATTCACAATGAATGAAGACTTGAGGCATCTGAAACTCCAATCAAGTGAAGACAAAACAATGCAAATCCCAGCATGCAGTAATGAACAAAATCCCCCCTGCGATTCTTTTTATTGTAGTCAGAAATGGCTAATGGTGAACATCATTAGAATAACACAGGCTTAAAAACTGAATGTGGGTTAATGTTCATAACAAGAGAAATAATTAGGTTCTCCACAGACATTTACACTTAATTTCTAAAGCTTATTATTTATTATATTTTGTCTTGTTTAGGGCTGGCCCTTGGTAAACTGTTTGCATTTAACAAGTTGTTTGATTCTCACAAGTCTTGTATTTCATACTCGAGAAGTCAAAGCAACACCTTTAATCAAAGTGAAATGCTTTAATTAAATAATCATAAAATTCCCCTCAAGGAAACAATTACACCCAAAAGCACGGTTAACATAATTTCTTGTTGTTCCTCTCAATTCTTGACATTGGCCTAGTCTGGTCAGTATCCTACTGTAACGTATTTATGTGAAGTTCAATGTTGTCTTTTTCACTCTAGTATGCTAGGGCAGTGATTGCCAAGGTCATCATCAAAACCTTGGGAGTTTCCCATGAATAAGGAGTCTCTGGAGGCTCTAATCCAATATGCAAGTGATGGGGCCCTGGAATCTGCTCCCTGGAAAGCTTCCTGGGTGTTGCTGGTGGAAATCCAATGTGGGAACTTGTCCATTAGTGACTTACTCCAGAAGAGACTGAGCAAGGCACTTTGCACATGACAGTATTCACTCCAAAACATGCACTGACTCAGGTAGAAAGAAGCGAGCATTATTGAGAGTTATGGAGTATTCAACATGGAAGCTGCAGTGTTACAGGAATCAGAGGACCAGAGAGACCAATATCGGTGAATAAAGGAGGATGTTTATTAAGGTGTGCACCGACTCAGTGGATTCACATCCAAAAAGCTGAGCGTAGAGTGCTGGTACTCCAGGAGAGCAAGAACTTGGCTAGTCCTATTCATAATTTTATCTCCAGTACTTTGCATAGTACTGAGAACACAGTAGGTGTAATAAAAATCAGTTGGATAGGTGGGGCAAGCTGACTCACACCTGTAATCCTAGCACTTTGGGAGGCCAAGGTGGGCAGATCACCTGAGATCAGGAGTTCAAGACCAGCCTGGCCAACATGGCGAAGCCCCGTCTCTACTAAAAATACAGAAATTAGCCGGGTATGGTGGTGCATGCCTGTAATCCCAGCTACTTAGGAAGCTGAGGCAGGAAAATCGTTTGAACCCAGGAGGTGGAGGTTGCAATGAGCCAAGATAGCACCACTGCACTCCAGCCTGGGCAACAGAACGAGATTCCAACTCAAAAAAAAAAAAATCAGTTAGATAAATGAACTTACTCTATGCCAATCACTTTATATACAGTAATCATTTAACTTACACCTTACAAAATCAGGTAAGGTAGACCCTATCTGACAGGTGCACATGTTAATATTCCAACAAGTTAAGTCAGTTGCTCGATTACCCAGGAAGTGACTGAGAAAAGATAGGAACTTGGGTTTGTTTAGCTTCAAAGCTGTTGCCTATTGCGTACTCCGGGGTGGCCAGGTGGGCAGGTTGCAGTGGGTTCAAACTGTCCCAGTTATTGCCTCTCCCAGGCCCACCTGCTGCTGTAGCTGAAGACCTCCACCCTGCAGGTTCAGTCCACTCACCTCCTCCAAGGCCCATCCTGAGCCCATGACCATCAGAAGGTAGATTCTGGAGTACATCACACTGCCCTGAGTTCAGATTCTGTTGTACTCGGGATAGACGCACCCATCCAACACGTTCACAGAGCTGGGCAATCCCCATCTTGTCTGCTTTCTTCCACTCCCTGCCAAGAGGGACCTGTCTGTAAAATACAACTTCTCTTGGGTCCTTTCTTGGAATTCTCATCTCTAGTTGGGCACCTTGACAATCTGTCTGGCCCTTATTAATTCCCTTCCCAGGCTCTCCAGCCCTGCACCTCTCTCCCCACCTTCTCCTGGTCAGATTCTACTCATGTTCAAGACCTCCTTGGGCTTCCTTTGGCACATTGTCCCAGACTCCTTATTGGTCTCCTGGCTTCGAGAATTGTTCCACCCTCCAGACTCTCCCAGTCTGATTTATTAAAGTACACTTTAAGCCTTGGCACTGCCTTGTTTAAGATCTTTGAAGGGCTCTCTTCACTTACAGAGTATTGTCCCAGCTCCTTAGCAGGGCACATCCATCCTTCCATGATCTGGCTCCTGCTTCTCTGGCTTCATTTCTTGCAAGCCATGGTGTTTCCACATATCTCTGATGTCCTTGCTCTTTCCTCTGCCTAGGATGTCTTCCCTACTGTTGTACAATTATAACTCTGTTTGACTCGTCTTCTAAACTTCAGCTCAAGTGTCATCTCCAGAAAGCCTTTCCTCCATTCCCACCCAGGTTTGGCTATCTCTCTTCCATGCACTCATAGCAACCTTAGCAGGTTATGTTAAAGTCATCTTGTAAGTTCCTTAAGGGAAGGATCAAGTTTAATTCATTGCTAAACCTAACATGGTGCCTGGCACATAACTGATATCCAAAAATATGTGCAAATCTAATTACACTGAAGTGTAGTGGAAACCCCACCGCCACCAGAGAGCTCAGCCCTCCCTCCTACATGCCTGAACACCATTCTAGCTTTCTGGAGACTTCTGACCACCTGCCCACTAGATCAGTACCTCATGGTGTCAAAGAGAATCTGGAGCTAGTGCAACTTTTTGCACACGGAGACACAGACCTTAGGCTTTTGCTGTGTGGCGGCTTTGTAGGCAGAGGGTCCTGTCCACTCCCAGACTTTCCTCCATGTTAATTCCTGCCCTCAAACCAAGCCCAGCATAACCATGAACTCCATCCTTCACACAGACCAGGGCAGAGGCCACCTCTAACCCAGGTCACACATCTAGCAAACAAACATCACTTTTAGCAAAAGACAAGGAAGGAAGGACTGGTGGCTCAGCACACTTTCTACATGAGTAACTTTAAAATGGATTATCTCCTGAGTGGAGGCCAGGAGCTTCCATTTTCTACATGAGTAACAGCACATCAATATGGTAACTGCTGGGTCAGTATGGCCCGGTTTTCTTACATCACGGGAACGAGAGCTCCAAGGCACCCCTAAACCTCCAACCCCCTCAGGCTCCTATCGCTTCTGTGCCAGGGTCCTGATGATGAAGGATGATGGTGATGGAGAGAGTTTCCGTGCTGCTGAGACACTCACTCTACTCCAACACTAACATCTTCGAGCCATAAAGGCACACTGTATTTTCAAGGCTTGCCTGATCCTATTTCTTTGTAAGTTGAATTAAGCTCTTTACTGTGTATTACCAATATTAAAAAAGAATGAATTCACATCTTGCAAATACAGCAAAAAGCAATCACTCCCATGACAAGGAAGTCATTGGCCAGCATCCACAGAACTCAATTTTAACTTTCGAGCCCAGTCAGCAGGCAAACATGCCGGCGTATGGCAGGGTCAGCCCTAGGCAGCATCATGAGCGGGGTAATGTGAGCTGTCATCATCCCAGGTCTCTTGTCTTTCCTCTTTTTCCTCACCTTCCCTTTCAATGCCTCTTCAGCCCAAGCTCTCCACCCTATTATCCTTCCAGGTCTTTCCCGTGTCTTGGAGAAAGGGGCCTGTACAGTTTCCACATGAAGGTGAGGTAGCTAAGGAGCATAACCCAGGTAAAAAATGACTTGTAAAGTGCTAGACAGGAATAATAATAATGTCTTCTCTGTGAGTTGTCTCTACACTTTGCAAAGCCTTCTTGTCATGGTGGTGTAGGAACTATTATTAATGTTTTATCCGCACTCCTTTATACCCCCAGTTCCTCTGCATTTTAGAAGAGGATCCTTGCGGTAAAGAATGAAGAAACAAAGACATAAAGAAATGAAGGTTAAAATCTCATAGCTTCAGGAGAGCAGTGATTTTGGGTACAGCCTAGAGAAGGGTCAGGTAGCTTTCTGCACTCCCCAAGTTGCCAGAAGACAGTACCTCCCTATCTGTCTTTTGGCTTTTCTTTGAATATTTTAATGATTGGGATCAATAAAAGGGGGAAAGGAGCATGGCCTACTTTGGTATGAAATTTCCGTAATCTAAACGTCAATGTTAAGAGAATGATTAAATAGTATGCATCCACTAAAGGAATAAGGTAGATCCACATGTACTGACATGGAAAACTCCCCCCCAAAAAAGCAAGTAACTGAATAATGTATCTAGTACAGTAGGATCTCATTCACACACACACACACACACACACACTCACACACACACACGTATAAGCCACGTCTATATGTTACATATGTGATAATACATAAAATAGGTCAGGATGGATTCACCCCAAACTATCAGCAGTGGTCATGGATGGGGAGGGGAATGAGATTATAGGACTAAGGATTAAAGGGAATTTTTCTTGTTTATTCTATATACTGCTGTATTGTTTGAATTTGGGCTTATAAGGAACATGCATTGATTTTGTAATTTTTTTACAAAAACAACAAGATATTTCTCTTCCTAATAGAATTCATGTTGAGAATCAAGGAAAATATTTTGCACATCTTTCTGTGGCACCTGGCTAAACACATACACATACACAGTTACCTGACTAATGATCTTGCTTTAAGATTGTTTTTTCAAGGAGCTGGGAGGAGGGTAATCACAGAAATTGTACCTTCACTAGGAAAATGCTGTCAGATTTTAATCAAATATGTGCAGAAAATGCCAACTGTGGGGTGTGTGTATATATTTCTTCCTTACATTGAATGCAAGTGAAGATTCTGATTGATGGCCCTCAGGTGTGTGCCCATCCATCCTGCTGCCTACACCACTACAGATGGAGTGGACCTCCATCTCTACCTCTCCCTGTGATGGCTTCTCCAGGCTGAGTCTCCAGGCATCTGCTTTTCTGGGATGGATATTTGGCCTAAGCTATGGCAGGGCCAGAATCTCCTGTTTCCTGTCTCCTGCCAGGCTTAATCAGGTAGATACCCATGATTTCTCTGCTTCCAGCTTTCCTTCTAAGAGGAGAGAACACATGGCTCTCTAGGCTACAATAGGGTCAGGCTGCTCAACCCCAATGTGACATAATTTCTAAAAACGTCTATGTTTCCTTCCTGACAACCCTATAGAAGCTACCTATTGTTTCTCCTTAGGGCTCTGGGTAGCCACTGCCTGGAAACATGAGTGTCTATTGGTAGAACCTTGCCCAGGGCAGTTAGGAACCCAAGAATAAGAATCATTGCAATGAGATATCCAAAAAAGGTAGAGGGAAAGTTTTGCTCTGGCTGTAGGCAATCACAGCCTGAATTAGGGATGAATTATTTATGGAGATTTGACAAACAATGATAGAACCAACTAAAAATTGGTCTGCTTTGTATTATCATTATGCAACTGGCAATTCCAAGCAATTTCAAAGAAAAAATACTCATCCCTGTTTAGGTAGGCCACTGTCAAGTCCCACCCCTTCCCTGTTCAGCAATGCCCAGGAGCCTCGTAGCATAGCCAGGTCAAGAACCTAATGTAAATGACGAGTTAAGGGGTGCAGCACACCAACATGGCACATGTATACATATATAACAAACCTGCACGTTGTGCACATGTACCCTAGAACTTAAAGTATAATAATTAAAAAAAAAAAAAGAATGTGCGGTCTGGGATGGATGCGGTGGCTCATGCCTGTAATCCCAGCACCTTGGGTGGCCGAGAGGGGTGGATCACTTGAGGTCAGGGAGAGGGGTGGATCACTTGAGGTCAGGAGTTTGAGCCCAGCCTGGCCAACATGGTGAAACCCCATCTCTATTAAACATACAAAAAGTAGCTGGGCATGGTAGAACACACCTGTAGTACCAGCTATTTGAGAGGCTGAGGCAGGAGAATCGCTTGAACCTGAGAGGTCGAGGTTAGAGTGAGCCGAGATGATGCCACTGCACTCCAACCTGGGTGACAGAGCAAGACTCCATCTCAAACAAACAAACAAAAAGAATGTGAGGTCTGAAGTTAGACACCCTGGTTAGAATCCTAAGCCTATCACTTATTATCTCTTTGAGTTTGGCAAGTTACTTAACATCTCTGAGCCTCAGCGTCTTCTACCATCAAATGTTAATAAAATATCTCACAGGTTCATTGTGAAGACATAATAAAGGAAACTACGTAAAAAACTTTGGTAAACTGTTAAGTGATATAAAATGTTATATAATTTGTAGTTAAAATTAGGTTTGAACTTAATATGGCTAACATTTTCACTCTTCTGTGCTTTTACACATGTTGTACCCTCTAACTGTTAAGTTCTCATCCTCTTTATCTATATAATCTGTATTGTCCCGATGTCCCCAGCCTGCCATTTCAAAATGAGGCCACACTTCCTTTTTAAACCAAAATTGAGTTGGCCAAAGCCCCTACATCACCAGGTAGTGTATAAGATCTGTCTTTACCTGGATTTTCCCTCCCAGGGATCCCAAAGAATCACCTTCACTAACTCATAAATCAGTTCCCCTTGCCACTTACCTACTGTCACCCTCCAGGAGCTCAGACACCCTCCAGGCTAGACTCTGCCACCATAGGTTATGGTCAGCCTCCGGGCCCTGTGGCCAAGTGAAGTGCTGCTGAGGGCCTTGTTGGAGCACAGGTGATCCACACAGATGCTGCTTCCTTCAACCTGAATGAGCATGAGCAACCTGCCTGAGCAAGAGCCAGCAAAATGGCCTGGGCTCCAGGGGCACAGTTCTGAGCATTCCCTCTTCTAGGTGACATTCACTATCATTCCCCGAGGCTACCTCATGGTACCAGGTGACTAAGCCAGAGGGGCTCAAGCATCATTTCCTTCCCCAATCTAGGCCAAGTGGCTGAGTCCAGGTTATTCATCCACATCCCCTCCCTTATGTGGAATGCACTACCCAGCTCCATCTGTGCAACATTTGAAAGTGACCCCATTCCCTGAAATAATCCCCTATTGCACACTGCCTGTTATTTTACCTGAATGAATAAAAACCTGATCCACCTCTGACATGATTTGGGTGCAGCACTTAGGCCAGGTTTAATCAGGTTGATGCCCACAATGCCAAGCCCCTGGGCAGTTCCATTGCCAACACTCCTGGGACATCCCTGGTGGCTTGATCAGGAATCTGGCAAAGCCTTAGGGCATTAGCAGGCCCCTACTTCTCCTCACACTGTGCAGCCACTCACTGAAGCAAAGGAAATTGGACTCTGGCTCAGCCAACAATGAACTATGAGAGGATGAGGAGTCAGATCGTGTCCTTTTGAACTATCTTAGGCTGTTTTGTTTCTCCAAATGGGTATTCTTTATAGCTAGACTTAAGAAAGAAAACCTTCCTTGACCACTGTTAGAGGCTGAATTGTGTCCACTCCCAAAATTCATATGTGAAGTCTCAACCCTCCGTACACCTGAAAGTGACTGTATTTGGAGATAGGGTCTTTAAAGAGGTAATTAATATTAAATGAGTTCATTGGGCTGGGCCGTCATCCAATACATCTGGTGTTCCTTTAAGAAGAGGGAGTTTGGACATAGACAGGTACAGAGGAGTGACCATGAGAAGAGGCAGAGAGAAGACGGTCACCCAGAAGCCAAGGAGAGAGCCCTGGAACAGATGTTTCCCTCACAGCCCCCAGAAGAAACCAACCCTGCCAACGCTTTGATCTCAGGCTCTAGTCTTCAGAACTGTGAGAAAAGAAATTCCTGTTATTTAAACCACCCAATCTGTGGTATTTTGTTACAACAGCCTTATCAAACTAACGCAACCACTTAGTGGGGGAGAAAGAAGAACTCCATGAATCAGGCAAGCTTGGGGCCTGAGGCCCTCTTCTGGTCCACTGCTTCCCCATCTGGGTGGCCACAGTGCTCGCCAAGGTTACCCCAGGCTGCAGCTCTGCATTTGATTCCCCCAAACACTCATAGTCTTAGCTCCTCATTTTTAACAATAGGTCTTCCTTGCAGCCACAGGAATTTGAAGCAAGACCGAAGTGCAGCAGATTGGAGAGTGGGGTCGTGGTTTGTTAGCAAGGCAGTGGAAGTGGTCACGATCCTTCAATGACTGTTAAACCTTCATCCGAGTCTGACTCCCATGAACGAACTACTCAGGCAGATGCAAACAACCAACCAGCCTTAGAGACAAACGGACCAGCGAGGAGAGGAGAGTTGTGTGGAGACTGGAGAATGTGTGTTGCCAGCCTGTTTCTAAAAATGGAATAGAAGAATGGTGAGTATCCTTGAGGCAGAGAGAAAGAAAGAAGCTCTCCCATGAATGCTGCTGTAAGGGAAGAGGCATCTGCAACTTGCCTTTCTAACCTACCCAGACTTGTGTTTTACAACTGGCCTGATACTTGTACAGGTAACTGGCCAAGAGAAAAAGTGATCATTTGGGTCTGGTGCTTCTTCCATGTTTTTTTTTTTTTTTCTTAAAAGAAACATTATAAAGCTGAATGTCTGAAATGATTTTGGATTCACACCTACTGTCTATGGAACAGCTTGAAGCTGACTAGTTTAGCTCATTGAAACACTCGGATCCGCTCAGACTCTGCCCACACACAAGAGCTTGGCACTAGCCAGGCTCCAAGAGATCTGGTTCTTGCAAACAGCTCCTTTTGCTTTCTCTCCTTCTGTCAGATTGGGCTGCTCCTTGCTGTCTTTTTCTGGGTCTTGAGGGCAGCTCTTTCCATCCCTGTCCAAGCCCCTCACTTCCAGCTTCCAGGATATGCCAAAATTGACCACTCTACCTCCCTAGGCTAGTCCATAGTGCCACACTCCTATTCTCTCTCCTCCCCTTGATTAAACTTGTATTTCCACACATCTGAACAGGCTGCTGCACAAGCTTCCTTCTCACTCACTTGCTTCCCACCAGCTCTTGTTCTGCTTCCTCTTCTCTCTCCCATAACCAATTCACTCAGACAGAATGGATCTTATGTAACACGCCTCCCTGTCACTTCCCCAAAAGGTGGCTTCCAAGCCCTGGTTGAGGCAGAGACATCTGCATTTCCACTTGCAGAAACAAACACCATGTGGGGCTCCCTGGCACCTCTCCAGGGCTGTGAGATCAGGCACACGCTGAAAGAAGTGCTATCCTGCTTACAACCCACAGTCCCTCCCTGGGCTACCTGGTCACAGATTACACGAGCAATTGTCACATAATCGTCCTGTAATGTCTTCCCAGAGATTTCAACTAGCTCCAAATTGTTTTGGCTAATAAAAACTAAGGAGATTTGCAGGAAACTCCAGATGCATTCAAACACTTGGGGGGATTGAGCAGCCTGAAGGCAGATGAAACTTAACTCAAATAAACATAAGGTAATGTGCATTGGCAAAAGTAATCTAAGATGTGAGTGTATATCTGTGCACTCCAAATTTGCAGCCGCCTCTGAGGAAGGAAATCTGGGAATAGCTCACAATGGATGAAGTGGGCAGAACAGCCAAGGCTGTCCCAGAGTAACTACTCCTTGACAAGGAAAATCGGATCTCATTTTGTACAGACCCCATCAGTGGTCCAAACTGGACTGTGTTGCTTGGTTCTGCTACAGATTCCATAGTGTCACTCTTACTTTCAGTTGTGGGAAGACAACAAGAAGTGGTTTCCAGGTGCTAGCCTCTGAGGCCAGGAGGCTATGCGGTGTTCCTGGTGGGGTAAGTTGAAGTACATGTCTGTGTTTGTCCATTTTTACCATTGATCGCCAAATCCTGGAAGGTGCCGAGTTATCTGCACCTGCTGATTAACCCCCAGGGCCGTGTTTAGATGAAGGACCAGCTTCCAAATTACAGTACCCCCTGACTTCAGACAACTCTCTAATTTGCTACATAAAAATTACTGAAAAGCCGTGTTTTGGTGTGCCATAAAGGGAGTTTAGTTCTTGGACTGGGGGAATATACACACACATACATATAAACACATGTAATAAATATATACATATATGTGTGCCTGCACACAAACACACACATACATCTGCTAATTGTGATTTCTATGGGTATGACCCTGCGTGGTCCAAGAAACCCAGTAGACAGGTAAGTGACTTTACCGGCACTTGAGAAGTACCGCTGTTTGCAGGGCCGGAGGAGGTCGGCACAGGCCTGCCAATCATGCCTTGTTCAGCCAAACCTCTCTCCTCCAAACCTCTGAGAGATAGGGGCAGATGACCACCAGCCCCATATCTTCAGCCTCCTCAGAAAGGTGCTGATACCTGCAAACAGGAGGGGGAGCAATGGCCTATCACTTCCCTCTTGCTGCAGCACCAGGAGCTGAATAGTCTCAAGTCAGCTTGGCTTACCTCCCTTCTCCCACAGTAACCATGCACAGAAAAGGTGCGATAGCACTGAGGGAGGCTGTGGATTGGGAGGAGAGGTGGGGTCTGGAATATTCTCCCTTCTAGAAAGTAGCAAAAGAGTTCCAGTGCCTGGCAGTCCAAAGGCCCCTCGTGGCATAGAGGAGAAAGGGAGACATGGCCACAGCCCCAGCACCAGGAACTGGGCAGGTCCATTTGGCCCACCCATTGCACATGGCTCTATGTCATCATTATCCAGCTGATCATACAAAAGTCCCACCTGGCACGTGGGAGCAGTTCACAGGGTCAATGTATAATGTGCAGAGCTTCCAGGTGTGTGAGAGCCAGTCACTGAGAGCTTTGGGCTTCTTCCTCGGTCCCCAAGAACTGAAGCCATTGCTCCTCTTCCTCAGTCAGCACCAGTGCTTCCTGGGGGCTATATCCTCAGGCCTGCTGGTAAGCAAAAGCCTCCTCAATTTCTCTGGTACCATGATGCCACTGAAACAAGCATACCACCCCATTTGAGGACTTTAGGAGTCTTTTATTTTTAATAATATAGGGAATGGATTCATTTTGTTTATGCATCAAATATTTTTCTTCTGCTCCATACAAAACACTACACTAAGTGTAGAAGACAGTATAGATTTAGCAGCCAACTGGAAAAGAGAAACTGTACACAATTTGCAATGTCCGTAAGAGCAACAAAGCAAATAAAATGCTCTGAAGAGCAATTTGTCTTGGGACTAACAAAACAAAAATTTACCTGTGAAGTTCTAATAAAGAGGACACCAAGCAATGTCATAAATGAGGAATTGATCAGTTCTCATATTTTGCTGTGATCACTGGAGAATCTGCTTCTAAAGTTCTGAAATAGGGCTTGAGATTTTGCATGTTTCTTTTTTTTTTTTTTTTTTTTTTTTTTTTGAGACTGAGTTTCGCTCTTGTTGCTGAGACTGCAGTGCAGTGGTACAGTCTCGGCTCACTGCAACCTCCACCTCCCGGGTTCAGGTGATTCTCCTGCCTCAGCTTCCAACATAGCTGGAACTACAGGCGCCCGCCACCATGCCCAGCTAATTTTTTTGTATTTTTATTAGAGACGAGGTTTCATCATGTTGGCCAGGCTAATCTCAAACTCCTGACCTCAGGTGATTCATTGCCTTGGCCTCCCAAAGTGCTGGGATTACAGGGATGAGCCACTGTGCTCAGCGATTTTGCATGTTTCACAAGCTCCTCGGTGTTGGTGATGCTGCGATGCTACTGGTTGTGAGACACACTTGAGTAGCAAGGCTCTAGACCAAGTGATATTTCGCTAGGCTGTCTTATACAAACTCTTAGTACTGGTCAGTGGTGTAATTATACTGGGCAGGCTGGCCAAGGTAGCTCACACCTATAATGCCAGCACTTTCAGAGGCTGAGTCAGGAGGATTGCTTGAGGCCAGAAGTTCGAGACCAGCCTGGACAACATATTGAGACTCCATCTCCACAAAATAAAAATAAAAATTAGCTGGGCGTGGTGGTGCCTGCCTGTAGTCCTAGATACTTGGGAGGCTGAGATGAGAGGATCAATTGAGCCCAGGATTTCAAGGCTGCAGTGACCTATGATCAAGCCACTGCACTCCAGCCTGGGTGACAGAGCAAGCCTCTGTCTCTGAATAATAATAATACGGGGCATTAGCACTCAACTCCAGCAATGGATTGGAGGCTACTATGACACCCAAGTAATCAGCTCCCTACCAACCTGGTTGTACCCAGAAGAAGGTTCAGAATACTTAGAAGAATGGTAGAGTGAATAAGTTTTAAAACTCTTCCTAAATATCATTTTTCCCAGTCTAACTTCTTTATTCTTAGCTGGCTATGAACCCAAGATGGTCCTCCCCAACAAATAACTGGAGAGCTGCCAGGGCACCCTGGGAACATAGGCCAGGGGCAGACCTCAATCTCCTAGGAAGCCGAGGGACCTGGAAGGGATTGGCCTCAATTCACAATGAGAAGGATATGGGTAGGATGAGGAGGGAAGAAAGGAGTTTCCAGGTCCTTCATATAAGCCACTAACGCAGGAAGAAAACCATAGAGTGCTTAGAAGACACTGTTTGCAAGGAACACGCCCGGGCCCCCTGCCCCCACTGATACGTGTGGCTTGCTCCCTCACTCCCTCACCCTTTGAGTTCTCTGCTCAGATGTCCCCTCCTCGGACCACCCCATCTAAAACAGCCTCCTCCTGCCCCCGCCGGGACTCACTAGCCCCTTATCCTGCTTCACCACAATTATCACTACCAGAGCTCCAAACAGGTAGTTGAAGGAAATAAAATTATAAGTGGAGGACACAACAAAGGCAAAACCCTGGGGCAGGAACACACTGCTGGAGCACAATCCATGAGGGCGAGAGTGTACAAAAATGCTGTCAGAGAGGACACTCAGGACCACGAGGTAAGGCTTTGGATTCTGCATCAATCAGCTCTTGCTGCATGGCAACGACAGATGTTCAGTGGCACACAGCAGCAAGCGTCTCACTGCACATCATCGGCTCAGCCCGGACAGGCCTCCTCCACGTGTTTCATTCTGGGACCCAAGATGCAAAAGGCAGGAGCAACTGCTCTTGTTCTTGTCCTGGCAGTGGCAGACATGAGGAGCGTAAATCCAGCCGCACAGGCTCATGACAAGCATCTGCTGGCGTGAGGGCCACTGCCGTCCCAAGGACAAAGCACATGATGTGACTAAGTCAAATCAAGGGACCGGAAATACACCAGGGCCACGGTGAGGCTGCGGCAGAGTACGAGTTATCAAGTATCATGAAAATGGGGACAGGAATTCATTCTATCACAGGGTAACGTGACGGGGGAGACATTGTGTGTGGGAGGAAGGCATTGGGCAGAGCAGTGGCATGACTGGATGTGCATTTTTTGGCATCCTCTCTGGCTGTTGCATGAACAATAAACCCATTCCAGGGGGCCACAGTGGAGGCAGAGAGACCCTGCTGAAATATATCCAATGATGAGCACCGAACATAGGCTCACTGAGGTCTTGCTGTGTGCCAAGAGGATGTTGACCTTGCCTTAGACACCCTGCATGAAACTAGGGGGGCACCAGGAACCACAGCCTTGAGGAAAGGGATGACATGTTCGGTTTTTATTCCCATGGTACTCCCAGCCCTAGCACAGACCAACTAGATGGGAGACCGAATAAGAAAGCAGGAGGCCCCTGCTCCAGTGCCCAGGTGGCTGATAAAGGCCGCTGTGGACATCATGGGAGTGGAAATAGCCACGCGGTCTGGATGGGAACCCCTGGCGGTACTCATGGGTGTGCAGCGCTCAAAACGAAGGCTGAAAGCAAGGAGGATGGCGTTTGCCTCCTTTTCGCTGTAAAAATAAGACAGCAGGATGGTGAGTCAAAAGAAGCCGGCTGGCTTCACACCCTCCAGAAAGATATGCAAGGGCTTCCCATCTCATCCCATCCCACTTCAACCCTGCGTATGTCACGGCTCAGATCCCCCGACAGAGATGGCAAAGTGAAATGCTCTGAGAAAGCAGCCTTTTGGAAAGCAGACCGTTTTTATAAAAGGAACACATTGTAACCAGGAATTTTTAACTGTGGAGAAATAAACAAGTTCTCTGTGAGAGGGTGGCGACAAGCAGAAGCTGTAGCAAATGTCAAGGCAGAGAGATTCCTGAACTGGGCAGGGTTGAGCAGAGAGGCTTGGTACCTTAGGATCCCCTGGATCCTGGATAGCAGAATCAAGCTGATCAGCAGCCAGGTGGACAGGCAACAGCGTTGATGAGATAGCCTCTTTGTAGCACCACAGAGACTTACAAAAGGACAACATTTTAAGGTCCAAAAGGAAAGCCAAGTTATTCAAAATTTCAAATTAACAGAAATATCAAAAAAATAAGCACACACAACCAAAATGGAAACAGAAGCCATTCAATGTGTCAGATCAAGTCACAGAACTTCTTTCAACTTCAGCTTTTTTCATCTTTAGAATGGGGTGTTTGGACCAAACTACATTTCAACATTTCTTTTACTTCTGAAATTCTATGATCTATTAAAGGGCACCTTGTAAGAAACTCCAAAGAATGTCAAAAACAAAAACAAAAAACTGAGGGCATTCATGGAATGCACAAAGGAATGAAAGAAAAGATAGAAGCGACAATGCATTAATGCTTTGCCTTGCCCTTTACCAAGGAAGATGCATGCCCTTGAAATGGACAGGTTGGAGCATTCAATAAAATCATAGTAGATGCACAGAATGTTCTAGTCTTCTCTGACAAAACAGATATCAATAAATCACCCAGATAGGATGTGATACACCTAGGAATTTCAAATGAATTCATGGGCAGAACTGTGGAACTGTCGACTATGATGTGAGACCAGTTGTTGCAACAGCTGCGGTGCTGCAGGACAGTCGGGTTGCCAATGTTAAGCCTCAGCCTGCTTTTCCAGAGGGGACCCTGGGAAACCAACTGTTAGTTTCTCCCTTCCATACCAGCCAGGCTGCTGGAATAAAGTACAAATTTATCTTTAAATAAAGTACAAAATTGCAGAAAGTTTGAATCAACACACCCATGGAGGCAAACGCAGGATGGGTTCTACATGGAGGAATCAGGTCTGATTTTCAAAGTTCCTTGGGGGTACACAGGGTAAGGGGAGTGAGTCATTTTGCAGGCTTTGAAAATGTCTTTGTCAAGTGTCTACACTAAAACCTGATTATGGGTGAGTAAAGAATGAATGGATCACCATAGGAGTCACAGACTATTCGAAGTGGACAAATAATTAAATTTCAGCAAGGAAAACTGGGTAATAAAAAAGACTCATTTCTTTGTAAAAGGTAAGATCTCTCAGAGGTCAAGAGGTGCCAATCTTTGGTGAATAATTTTATTAAGAGATTTGAAGAACTAGGTGTGCAGTGAAACTCTCAGAGTGGTAGATGACCCCGAGATATTCTAAGTGAAATGGTAAGTCAATAGGAGAGAGCCTTTTCAAGGCTCAACAGAAAGTGGTACAGAAATTTCAACTTCAGGGCAAGTTCAAGTTAAAACACTTTAAGAATAAGCAGTTGTAGAACAATAGCCTAGAAATGACCTATAATGCCAGGAGAAGACCCTGGGAATTATTTGCTCTCCTGAGAACATTAAGCCTAACACAGGACAGTAGCATCCAAAACAATAAAATGCCAGGCACTCCATAAATATTTGTTAAATGAATGAAATGCTGAGCCATCAGAATGATACATTATAGAAAATATGTCCCAAACTTGAACAAAACTATTTGTAACAGGATGTTAAAATGGAACTCTTCTTGCCTCCCCTTTGGCTGACGCACGAAAACAATAGATGTTACCTTCCAAAATGAGACCATTATTTTTTATGGGACTTGGAAAAAGGAGATGGCTGACAATCTCAAAAAGATACATACTGAATGATTCCATAAAATAACAATTATAGAGATGGAGAACAGAGCAGTGATTGCCAGGTTAGGGATGAGAGGAGAAGGGAGTATGCTATAAAGCGGTAGCGTGAGGTCCTTGTGGTGATGGTACAGTTATGTATCTTGAATGTGGAGGTGTTTACATGAAACTACACGTGTGAAATAATTGCACAGATTTGCAAACCACACACAATTGACTGCATGCATAACTTGTGGAATCTGAATAAGCTCTGTGGATTGTAACAATGTCAGTTTCCTGGTTCTGATACTGCTCTACAGTTATGCAAGATGTTAACTTGGAGGTGAAAATTGCATGGGATGTCCCTGGATGTTTCTTCGCAATGCAGCTTCCTATAAGCCCATAATTATGTTAAAATACAACATTTTTTAAAAAGAGGTGGGGGATGAAAAACCAGTTTCAACCCTGAGCTGACCACCCACCTCTAGCCCATAGAAGAGATTACAGAAGTCAAGAAAGGAGAAAGCGGAGGTTGAGAGAACATTTTTAGAGAATGCTCTATGTATATTATGATTCTGATCCTGTCCTTGGAGTAAGGACTAGAGTGCTGGTACCTCGTGTTAAAATTAGTGAAGAGCCTTCAATAGGAACACTCTGAAAGCATGGTCTGTGTCCCCTGCAGTTGAGGGACACATTAAACTGTGCCTAGCCCCTAGCTGAGAAATTTCAAGAGCAAGAGTTGGTCTGGCCATCTGCTGACATACAATCCAAGGAGAAGGGGCTGTGTTGGGGGCCTGCTCTCACAGTGTAAAAAAATACACTGTTGCTTTCCGTGAGCCAGATGTGGACCATAGTCTTATCCAAAAGGGCTGCCTGAGAGATGAAGAGAGAGCAGCAGAGATAAGACAGAGATAATGCCAAATGCCAGGAAGCAGGGATAGAGTGTGCAATGAGCTGGAGAAGAGTGTCTTGCCCATGTCAATGGACTGCAGGTAAGAGAAAGGTCTCTGGTGATGGGAATGTCCTAAAACCCCACAGGATACAGATGAGAACAAGTCAGCTTTAAACACTTCCCAAGCCCAGAGAGGGCCACACCAAGCTCACAATAGTACCAGGCAAGATAAAACTTTTCTGGCCAATGTTATCTTTTCTCCCTTCCTATGATCCGCTGAATAGGGGCCAGAAATCACAGTTAATGAGATGGAGGAGGGAGATGGGAAGCACGAGGTGAAGAAAAGTGAAAGTGAGTGTGTAGTCCTGCTCCCAGCTGCCAGACTCCACTCGCAACAGGTCACGATCAGGAAAGGAAGGGAAAACAACATTGAACCAAGTCCAAAGTATTATCTGTTACATGAGACTGGATTTTTAAATTATTGATTGGAGAATGCTGTGACTAGAAAAAACCTGCCTGAGTTTTTATCCAGACACAAGAGAAGAACTAGACCCACATAGCAGATTTAAAGGGACAGTGGGAGGCAAAACGTTAGTTCATGGTTATATGCCATAGTCTTGCCTATTCAATGTGATTGCTGCATAGAGTGCGTACCGAGGACTGTGTGCATTCCTATTTCATCAAGAAAGATGTCACAGAACTGGAGGGGGCAATGAAAAAACCCATAGCATGAGGGGAGGGAGGAGGGCATACATGAAGAGATTTAAAAAGATGATGACTTCAACATAAAGGCAAAGGTTGAAATGGAAAGTTTATTGAAATCAATACAATCATAAATGATATGAATAATGTCAATAAAAATCTTTGCCAGACCCCAGAATACAGTAACAGAAGGGCATCACTCAAGGTAAGAGAAAGACCCAGCAAGGACAAATATTCTTAGGGAAAACATCGCTTCTCAAGAAATGATATAGGTTAAACACACAAATGGATACCTTTAAATTTAAATTCAATTGAACTTGAAAAATAAATACATTTACAGTACTTTTAGAGAGAAGGAAGAATCCAAAATTATATAAACAAGATGAAAAGTACTGAAATGCAACTAGAAGTATCCATATTATACTGATATTTAATGTACTTTAATAATAAGCATTAATTTAAAAAAAATCCTGTGCAACTCTTTTATGGAACAAGAGATATCTATGAGTTATAACCACACCAACAAGGCTCATAATAAAAACCTGAAGTATCAATAACTACCATATTGATAAGAACATTTATTTCATGAATACATAAAACCACCAATGGAATGTCACGAACATTGTTTTTTTCATTGATGTGACGCAGATTATATTTCTGTAGCCATCTGAACAGGCTACAGAAGAGTTTTAAAGGTTTGGATCAGTGGTTCTCCACTAGAGTGCACATTGCATCAATCTGCCCCAAGGTCCTAGTGGGTACATCCTCTTTTCCTAGAATGCTTGTTCCCAACCTCGTGCATCAATCATGTTTCTGCTCAAATGTCCCCTGCTCAGAGGGACCCTCCCCTTTTTCAACCTATTTACAATTGCTACCATTACCCATCACCACCTGAAATTCTATTATTTATTTTGTGCTTATTTATTGTCTGTCTTCTTGCTGGAACATAAGTGCCAGGAGGGCAGCAGCCTCGCCTTTTCATCACTGTATCCCCAGGGCAGTGACTGGCACCTAGCAGGCTGTGGCAAAGGCTGCCAGTTTCCCACCTAACGTCCATGCTCCCTTTCTTCCTTAATAATGGAGTCCCTATATTGTCAGGTTCAGCAGTTGTGCCCAGCTATACAATTACATCTACAGCCTCTCTTGTCAATAGAAATGGTCAAACAGAAGACATGGAGTGGAGCTTCTTGGAAAACACATTGAAGGAGGCTTACTCTTTAAAGAAAGTACACCCTTTTCCCCTTGCTCCTTTCTCCTTCCTACTGCCTAAAACATGAATGTAATGGCTGGAGCTGCAGCAGCCACAGTTGTAACCACGAGGTAAGCTTACTTAACAGGAACCATTCTAAGAGGGGTATGAGTCTTTGATGATCATACCAGGCCTAGGGGGCATACTTCTTGACTTCTTTCCCATGGTAAAATAAACCTCTACCTGTTTAAATCACATGATTAGTGTTAATTGTTATATGTAGCCAAACCTAATTCTGATGTAAGAATGCTTAGTAAATATTTGTAGGATAAATGAATGTGTTTTTTTCTTTTCTTTTTTCTTCTTTTTTTTTTTTTGATGGAGTTTTGTTCTTGTCTCTCAGGCTGGAATGCAGTGGCACAATCTCAGCCTACTGCAACCTCCACCTCCCGGGTTCAAGCAATTCTCCTGCCTCAGCCTCTGGAGTAGCTGGGATTACAGGTGCCTGCCACCATGCCCAGGTAATTTTTTGTATTTCTTGTAGAGACAGGGTTTCACCATGTTGGCCAGTCTGGTCTCAAACTCCTGACCTCAGGTGATCCACCTGCCTCAGCCTCCCAAAGTGCTGGGATTACAGGCATGAGCCACAGCACCTGGCAGCGTTTTTTCTTTTAAACTCTTAAAAACTTTATTTAAAAATATACATTGCTACATTCCCCACTCCAGATCTCTGATTAAGCAGTTCTGGAAGTGGGAACTGGGTGACTGTGGTTACCAAATTAGTTTGCAGACCACTAGCTGGATGACCCTTCCATTAGGCTAGATCTACACAGAGGAGAATCAGAAAGAGTTCTGGGATCCTGGTGCAGTCACTTACCTGCTAGCTGTGTGACCTGAGGCCATCGCCTCTCACTAAACTGTCTTACCGTCAGTAAATCAGGTCAATGTTGTAAGTAGATGTTTCATAAATATTTATTGTTGTTGTTATACAAGCTCTAAGGCAAATGAGGATGTTATAAGAAAATGCCATGGCTTTCCCCAGATGGCTGTCTTTGAGACAATGCTGGGAAAACCACATGGGGAATCTAATCTATCATGACAATTCCTCTGCTCTAATGCTTGAAGGAAAAGAAGGTGAGTCATATATACAGAACTGTTTTACATGCAAGCTACAGAGACCCATTGGGACTAGCTAAGTTAAGTTGGGAAATTTTGCTGAGCCTTAGAAGCAAATGAACTAGGGATTGAACATCCTCAGCCTCTCTCCATCTCTGTTTCATATCCATTGTTCCTCTCTTTGTTTCTGCTTCACTCTTCTCTTCCTCTCTGTAACCTTTCATCCTCTGCTTTTCTGGTTCATATAAAAATATAGCTACGGAGAACTCCCAAATTCACACCATCCACGAGGAGACTCAGTCATCTGCATTTCAGGTTTCCAGGGAAGAGACCCTGCTTGGCTCAGCTCAGTGATATGACCCCCCCACCGCCATGCCTCATATCCTATTGTATGGGTGCAGGATGCACTGAGGGAAGTGGCTGGTCCTAATAACAACATAGATGGAGACAGGAGCAAGGCTGTGAGCTGGAGGGTGAACGTGACAGAAATACAGGAAGTTCATTATGAGAAGTGAAGTCAAGTTTAGTTTGGGTAAGCAGAGAACCTGAGCCAGAATCAGTGAAGAAGTAAGGATAGGGAGATGCCAACTCTTCAAAATGCTGGCCCACCTCAACTGGTTCCATCAAAGTAGGGGCTCATAACTGGGGGTAATTGAGAGATTGACCTGAATTAAGGCATCCTGGATACTGCACAGACAATTGAAGGAGAGGTGATTGGTGAATAGAGGGCTTGCAGTGCTCAAATGTTTGGTTTGATAAATATTCAACCATAGTTTCACTCAAACACCAAAGGCCTGTAATGGACTGAACATAAGAAAAAAAGGATGTTTCAGATCAGCCACTTTTAGCCTATCTTATCTTTGGAAATAAAAAGACTATTTATAGATTGCTCATCCCCTTCTGCAAGGGCTGCTTTGAAGACGATGTGCAGGCAGTCTCTGTGCCCCTCCTCTAACACAGCTCCCACTGGGCAGGTGTCCTTCCCCACCGAGCTCCAGAACCCCGGCCCCTCCCCTTGGCCCCATCAGGTCCAGGATTAGTAAGAGCACACCTGTCACTAGTCTCTGAGTCCTCAGTGTTTTTTGCTGGTTCCTCTAACTCTGCCCACACCTCCGTAAGTCTCTTCCTTTGAGAACGAAAAAGATGATGTGTATATTGTTCCTAGGCTATCAATGGACAAATGGCTTTCTTGCTTTCCATTTCACTGATGGTTTACTTTATGTGTCCATCAGTGATATATGGCTTGCATCACAATTCTACCTCTCAAGGAAGGTTCCTGGGCAACAGTGCTCTGATGTTTGTACCAGGGTCTGGAGCTTTTTCAGTGGCCAAGAGCATCATCACCCATGAGTTCTCTGGGCCACATGGAAATAGCTGTTCCAGAAAAGACATTCTGTAAAGGTGGCTTAATCTCTTTCTAGATAGACCCCTCCAGGACTTTTTATTTTAACATTGATAGAAGCTTATAAGATCTAAATAGCCTAATTAAAATCAGGAGTAAGTCTCCGTGTGACATCAGCTTCCGAGGGAGTAGAATAGGAAACACTTTTGAAGTTAATGCCATTGACTCTGAGAGATGTTGGAGGCCTGAAATGCAGGTAAAAGGAAGAGGAAGTCTGGTCTGGCCTTGCTTTTGTTGAAACATCTATTGATTCTCTTGCAGCTCATGAATATGCTTGGTTTTGAGGTTGCAGGCACCGGGACTTGCACTCTGGCTCTAACTCATAGCACTTGCAAGTCCTGGGGAAAATTTCATAATTTCTCTGGGTTTCTGCTTCCTCTTCTGTGAAATAGGATTAGTGTGAGGATTAAATGAGATATCACGTGAAGACTTGATACTGGGCCCAGCACAAAGTAGCATATCAAATAAATCACATCTATAGTTGAGAATACAGTTGAAATAGCAAAAATACATCAGACTTTCAGAAGATCTTAAAGATCTTCTGCATCTCTGTGATCCTTAAAATTTTCTCTTGCATATTAATAATGCCCATGAGTCCTTGTCTCAGAGGGATGTTGCATTCACATCTACAGCTGAGTTTGTCTGATCATGGTGCTCATAGCTCTGACACCTGTTAGGCTTGTAAGACTGCAGAATCTGAGGTCCCACCCCAGGTCTCAAGAATGTGGGGTCCAAGACTCTGCAATTTAACAAACACTGTAGGTGAGTATAACATATGAAAGCTTGAGGACTTCTGCGCTATATGCAATGGGTTTTTTAATTAGTGATTTTTTTCTAAAGGCAGAATCAAAGAAGTGGCGGGCAGGGACATGGTTCTTTTAGCTGGTGAGGATTATCTTATGATGGCTGGAGGAGGTCCCCCAGGCCCTAGTCCCTGGCTGCTGGTTGGAGTGCTAACCATCCTCACGTTCCCAAGAAAAGATGCTCTCCTCCCTAGAAAATGTGTCCAAACAGCCAGGAGCCCACCCCAGATCGGACTGTACTGTCAAAATTTCATAATATTTTGGAATTTTTTTGAATTCAAAACTACTTTCTCCTTAGCAAATTTCAAGGTTTATACTACATCAGCAAATTCTTATCAATAAGAGAAACAAGGCTGAGGACTCAGTAAAAGTGAGTCCCACTCCAAATGATCAGTCTAAAACTTTTAGGTGCATATTAAGTTAAAAAGTACCCCTGACTGTTCCTTATCAAAAGGCAAAGTGTCAGGAGACCTCCTGACTTACATTTGGGTACCAGTGAGGAAGCACAATAGTTTTGGTATTTTGTGGAGTTCCTTTTCCTTCTTTCCTTCCTTATTTTTTTCTTTATTTCCATTCATCAAAAAATGCTGTGCACCGTGGTCTAAATATTAGGAAGCAAATGTTGTCTGAGGCCATTTCAAACTAGCACGCCCGTGCACCCCCAGCTTCTGTGCATCTCCTCAGCCTTGATACCTGTTTGCTGATCTCTTGCTTCTAACTAATGAAGAACAAGCAGTTTTCTCTTCCAGATCTCTGTTGAACTGTCCTTGTCAAACAGATTGGATCACACTCAATACAAGAGGGTCTTTGTGATCAGAGCCACCAGGAATTAAGGACCCTATTTTTTTTGAAAGGATCAAATCTACAATTAACATAAATAAAAATAAAAATACTTTTTTTACTGATAGTCCTGTTGCTATTTGCCAAAGTAGCTTTGTAAATAATTAACCTTTATGTTATTTCCTAATGACTGTCTAGGAATAACACTGTGAGGGAAGATGAGGATTATCTTGGGGCAGAACAGCATGAAGAGTACCCCAAGTTAGTCCTTGAGCAATATTACTCTACTGGTTCATAAAGTCTTCTTTTTGGCTGACTCCAGAACAATTGCTCCTTAATCAGCCCTCCTTTATTGCCTCTAAAAAAGAAAAACTGAATGTGGTTACGTCATAGGGGAGCCATGCCTACATCTAGTGATGAGCTTTGTAACACAGCTGATTATGCCAAAGTTTTCCATCTCACAAGAGCTTGTGAGAAGGAGGCAGATCCATTTATCTCAGGGATTTATTCTCACCACATGTATTTATCTGATGACAAAAGGGACCAGGAGAGAAGGATGGATAACTTATTCAATATTCAATAACTCATTCGACAAATATTCACTCTATTCTAAGACAGGCTCTGCACAAGGCACAGGGGTTAGAGTGATGGACAAGGTATATTTCTGCCCTCAAGAAGCTCACAGGCTAAGGGGGGAGATGGGCCAACTATCACAGTGAAGTATGAGTACAGAGTGATCAAGATGCGATAGGAGTGAAGGAAGGGAACACCCAGCCCTGCCTGAGGCAGCTCAGAGGATCAGCCAACTACTGAACACAGAGCTCCAGACTGAGATCCGTGGCAGGTCAGTAAGGTTACTTTGTAGTCAAAGAAGGGCATCCTTAGCATAGTCATTTGAGTGGCAGGGAAGAAAGAGTTGCCTGTTGCTCCTGTAAGCCCTGACTCTTTGCTCAACATTATGGAAAATTACAGCCTACTTGGTGGAGATCATTTCTCCCTGATATGGGAAATCATGTTCCTGTGAATCACTCCACACCCCACAGCCACTATTTTTCATCACATATGAGCTATTATTTCCAGCTGGGTGTTGACAAGACAAAACTGTTCCCTAATGCTTAAGTAATAGAGTGGAAAATAGTTGACAAAATATGAAAATGTTGATTTTGATTATACATACAATCTCTTCTTTTAAGAACAAAATGTACTTGAGCAAGCATGAATCATTCCTTACAGGGCTGTGAAGTGATTTATATATATTTAGATAGTTATTTAATTGGTTGGTTTTAAAATAACAACTTTATTGGTTTTTTGCATACATGTTATAAGAACTCAAGATATATACAAAAAATCAATGCATTACTCAAATCCCACTACCAACAATTCTAGTGTTAATATATGATGAGCACCAATTCAAACATAATTCTATCTATAATTGGGTGAAGGAATGGATAATGGACAAAAATAATTTTATAAGAATGTCATCATGTTATGTTTCTCTTCAAAATAAAAATACTGAATTTAGTTTTGCATGAACTTATTAGGAGACAAAAGAAACTAAAATGAAAATAAAGGAAATGCTAAAATTCATAGAATTAATTCATATTAATTCATTGAATCCACACACACAAAAAAAAAACCCAATGAAATATTGACTATTATTATCCCCATTTTACAGATGAGGAGACTGAGGCACAAAAAATGTTACTTAAGTAACTTGCCTAAATCACAGAGCTAGTAAGTGGCAAAGCCAGGATTCAAATTCAGGCAGTCTGACTTTAGAGTCTGTGGCCTTGAAAGCTTTCTTCAAGAAGGTTCTGGGTGCTATATTCCCTGAGCACTATTACATTTGCAAATGCTCTCCGTGTTGCCTTCACACATGGATAAAAATTTGACCAAATAAAAATATTCCAGGTCATGGTCCTTTTCCTGTGTTAGCTATTTTCCTAGTGTTCTCTGGTGCTGGGAGGTGATGGGGAGGAATCTGCAGCCCCTTAATATTTTTCCCCTTTTACTTTTTCTGTTGGATGGCCAAAGAATTCTTTATCTTAGAGGCTGATTATCTTAATCACTGTATGACTCAATGTTGTTCATTCTGCATCAATTGTGCCTAGGATACAGTTTCATCTTTCAAGTGTGTATTAGTCTGTTCTTGCACTGCTATAAAGAACTATCTGAGACTAGGTAATTTATAATTCGTAAAGAAAAGAGGTTTAATTGGCTCACAGTTCTGCAGGCTACACAGGAAGCATGGTTGGGGCAGCCTCAGGAAACTTACAATCGTGGCAGAAGGCAAAGGGAAAGCAGGCTCATCTTTCAAGGCCAGAGCAGGAGAAAGAGAGAGGGAAGGTGCTACACACTTTTAAACAACCAAATCTCATGAGAACTCTATCACTTCTCATGAAAACAGCACTAGGGGGATGGTGCTAAACCATTAGAAACCTCCTCTGTAATCCAATCACCTCCCACCAGGCCCCACCTCCTTGTAGCAGAGATTACATTTCAACATGAGATTTGGGCAGGGACACAGATTCAAACCATATCAAAGTGCTGATTCAGTCCTGCTATCACTTCAGGAAAAGTTTCCTGTATTATGTTTCTCAATATTTTTCCTGTTTTATTTGTTGGGTTCTTATCATGAATATCAAATATCCTTATATTGAATTATCTTTGAGCTTCTTAATTAGTAGCTAATTCTTTTTCCTCTGTATTTGCTGTGATCCCAAGTGCTATAATTAATATGATTTTTAGTTATATCTACTATCTCTTTCTATTTCTAAGTTACTCAGAATTTTATTTTGTTCCTTTAGTTCTTTGGTATCCTGTTCCATCTTATTTTGTTGTTTTATCATCTTTATTTTGATATTTTGTTTTATTTAACTTGTGTTCTTATTAAGTTCTATATAGCCCAATGCACTTACAAGGAATCTTCTTGCTGTTTTGGTTTTGGGTTCCTCCCAGACAGGATTTTTCATATGTTTTTAACATACATTATTTTCTTAGAATATTTTATTGAGATTGTGTGATTTATTTTCATCTTACTTATGCCTAATATGGACAATTCTGAGTGATTGTGTATCGCTTCAGTGGAATACAGTGTGGGTGAATTTCCCTTGTCATCCCCCTGCCTTATATAGACTCTTTATCTTCCCCACCCTGACCCCATTTTCAAGTGTCCATCTGGTGGTATTTAGTACATTCACATTATTGTGTGACCATCACCTCTATTTAGTTCCAAAGTGTTTTCATCAACCGAGAGAAAGCCCTGTACCCACTGAGTAGTCACTCCCCATTCCCTGCCTCCCCACCCATCTGCTTTCCATTTCTATTGCGTCTTATTTCCAATCCCCTTCTCTGTAGCCTGAAAAGGTGGGGATAAGCAAGAATAGTTCAGCCGGGCCTGAGCACAGTCCTCGCTTAGAGCCCAGTTCCACTCCTTTTTGAGATGAAGCTAACTTTTTACTGGTGTCCAATTGATCTAGCCGAGAGTACAGTCCACTCCTCTAGATCTCAGCTTGTTCCTGCAGCTCAACATATTGACCTGATAGCCCTTTCTGCCTCTAACAAAGCCCCCAGGGTCAATCACGGAGAATTCTTTTCTCAAGGACTTTTTCTGGAATTTTCCCAGAATTGTTTACTCACTCCTTCAATCTGTTTCTCTTGAAGCTGGAGAGCATTGGTGAGAGTCATCCGGTTTCCATTAATTGGCCATCCTTCCTGTAAAGGGCTTGGCTTTGGGGAGAGGGAGGGAAAGGGGCTGTGAGGTCAGGAGCCCTGTTCAGCTCCAACAGCATCTTCTGTTTCTTTTTGTAGCTGCTACTTCTTGACACTTATGGCATAAAGTTGTTCCTCCTTCCTTGTTTATTTGGTGCTGGGAAATCGATCAATTAATCTCTCACTCACTCATGCTACTTTCTGAGCATTTTATTAGATGGTAGGGAAAAGAGATTCTATGATTACTACTACATTTTTTCATCCTTGTTTGGATTTTTGAAACAGAGAAATTTTCTGCCCAGCTTACTGTATTTCTTAAAAGTAAGGTAAAATTCACATAGTAGTCATCATGTTAACCATTTTCAAGCGTCCATCTGGCAACATTTAGTACATTCACATTGTTGTGTGACCATCACCTCTATCTAGTTCCAAAGCATTTCCATCAACTGAGAGAAAGCCCTGTACCCCACTGAGCAGTCACTCCCCATTCCCCGCCTCCCCACCAATCTGCTTCCCATTTCTATTTATTTGACTATTCTGGCTATTTCATACAAATGGAACCATGCAGTATGTGATTTTTTTTTTTTTTTGGTCTGACTTCTTCTGTTTAGCATAATGTTTTCAAGGTCATCAATATTGTAGCGTGTCTCAAAACTTCATTCCTTCTGTGGCCCAATAATAAAAACTAATTATATGAATATAACACATTTTGTTTATTTAGACATCCATTGATGGACATTTGTATTGTTTTCATCTTTTGGTTATTTTGAACAGTGCTGCTATAAACATGTGTGTATAACTTTTTGTTTGAATACTTGTTTTCAGTTGTTTTGGATATATACCCAGAAGTGGAATTACTGGGTATACAAAATTGCATGTGGTAATTCTCTGTTTAACTTTTTGAGAAACTATCAGGTATTTTTCCATGGCATTGGCACCATTTTACATTTCTACCAGTAATGTGCAAGGGCTCCAATTTCTCTACACCTTTGTCAGCATTTGTTATTTTCCTTTATTATTATTACGTTATCCAGTTCACTTTTTAATATTATTAGACTAACATCCTGGTAAGGATTTATCAAACCTTGGTCCCCTATTTACCTCAGTATTTCACATATTGGTCCCTCTGTTAGCCAGAGCAAAGCCATTTGTCATGCCTTACACAGACATTTGTTGACTAAATCACTAAATATTTATTGAGTACCTACTGCATGCCAGATTCTGATTAGACAGTGGGGATAAAGGAGTGAGGGACACAGGGTCACCTTCAAGTTGCTCATTAGAGAACAGAAGAGACAGACATTTATTAGTTTCCTGTCACTGCCATAACAAATTACCACAAACCTAGTGACTTAAAACAACACAAATGTGTTATCTTGAAATCCTCTAGATTAGAAGTCCATCATAGGTCTCAAGGGGCTAAAAATCAGCATGTTAGCAGGGCTGTTTTCCTTTCCAGACACCTTGGGAAAGAATCTCTTTCCTTGGCTTTTCCAGCTTCCAGAGGTTGCCTACTTCCCTCAACTCATGGGCCATTTCTTCACCTGCAAAGTCAGCATTGAAGCTCCTTTCGATTGTCACGTCTCTTTCCCTTACCACAGCTAAGGAAAGTTCTCCCCTTTCAAGGATTCATGTGATTAGGTTAAGACTATTTGGAAAATCTGGGATAATCTCCTCTTCTAAAGGCCTTTAAAAATCCCTTTTGCCGGATTCCCTATTTAATAAATAGTGTTGGGAGAACTGGCTAGCCATATGCAGAAAACTGAAACTGGACTCCTTCCTTACACCTTATACAAAAATTAACTCAAAATGGATTAAAGACTTAAACATAAGACCTAAAACCATTAAAACCCTAGAAGAAAACGTAGGCAATACCATTCAGGTATAGGCATGGGCAAAGACTTCATGATTAAAACACCAAAAGCAATGGCAACAAAAGCCAAAATTGACAATTGGGATCTAATTAAACTAACAAGCTTCTGCACAATAAAAGAAACTATCATCAGAGTGAACAGGCAACCTACAGAATGGGAGAAAATTTTTCCAATCTATCCATCTGACAAAAGACTAATATCCAGAATCTACAAAGAACTTAAACAAATTTACAAGAAAAAAACAACCCCATCAAAAAGTGGGCAACGGATATGAACAGACACTTCTCAAAAGAAGACATTTATGCAGCCAACAAACATATGAAAAAAAAGGTGGGAGTGTAAATTAGCTCAACCATTGTGGAAGACAGTGTGGTGATTCCTTAAGGATCTAGAACCGGAAATGCCATTTGACCCAGCAATCCCATTACTGGGTATATACCCAAAGGATTATAAATCGTTCTATGATAAAGAAACATGCACAAGTATGTTTATTGCACTCTGTTCACAATAGCAAAGACTTGGAACCAACCCAAATGTCCATCAATGATAGACTGGGTGAAGAGAATGTGGCACATATACACCATGGAATACTATGCAGCCATAAAAAAGGTTGAGTTCATGTCCTTTGCAGGGATATGGATGAAGCTGGAAACCATCACTCTCAGCAAACTAACACAGAAACAGAAAACCAAACACCGCATGTTCTTAACTCATAAGTGGGAGTTGAACAATGAGAACACATGGACACAGGGAAGGGAACATCACACACCAGTGCCTGTTATGGGGTGCGAAGATAGGGGAGGGATAGCATTAGGAGAAATATCTAATGCAGATGATGGGTTGATAGGTGCAGCAAACCAGCATGACACGTGTATACTCATGTAACAAGCCTGCATGTTCTGCACATGTATCCCAGATCTTAAAGTATAATTTTTTTTAAAAAAAAGTCCCTTTTGCCATGTATGCTAACATATTCTGGGGTTTGTTTCAGAATATTCTATTACAGGTTCCAGCAATTAAGGACTAGGGTGTGTACATCTTTGTGGGGCATTATTCTGCCTACCATAGACATGTAAACAAATAATGACAATAAAAAGAGCTGACATTTATTAAGAGATTACTGTATGCCTGATACCCCTCTAAGGATTTTACCTGGATTAACTCATTTAGTCCCTACAATATTTCTATGAAATAGAAATTATTACTACTTGGATTCATAACTGAGGAGGACGCTGAAGTACAAAGAGGTAAAATGACTTGTCTGAGGCCCCACAACTGGTCAATCGCAGAGCAGGAATTTTAACCCAGCAATCTAGCTCCAGAGCCTGTGCAACTGAAAAGAGGTCCTCTACCTAATAACACTGGGAACCCTTGTCCTACAGCGTGGAGTCTTTCCTAATCAGGCTCCCGCCTTAGGTCCTGGCTGGCCCTCCCACTCCCTCAGGTGTGGCTGTGCACCAGTCAGGGAGGTGGTCCCATGAGCCAGGCTCCAGAGCCAAGCTAGGCTTGGGGCTCCCAACCAGGATAGCCAGGAGCCCTTAAAATTTTGTGAATTCTGACATATTTGTTGTCTTTATGTCTAGCCATTGATTGAGAAAATATATAATGGCAAAAAGACCCATTAAATATCGACACTCATTTATTAAAGTATCTCTTATTGATCAGTATATTCATATTTTTAAAATAAGACAAGATAGGTCTACAATCTCTTACCCACAATCTCGAACTTCACAAAGCACTGAAAACAGGATTTTCTTTTGGTTACTTTGTCACAGACTAATTTTTTGGGACAAAACCTGACCTGAACTAACATGAAGCTATTTATAGTCTTTCTTTATCCCATTAGTAGTGAACATTCCCATCTTTAACTGCAGAACTATTCATGTGTTGGATTATAGGGTACTGCTCAGACTCTGCTGGGAATATTATTAATATATGGTATATATATATTTATATATCCTATTACCTTTCTACAACTTGAACTGACTTCCAAAACACATTTGGTCCCCAAGGTTTGAAATAAATACTTGTGGACCTGTAGGAGGTACATGTGTAAGATGTGTTATTTGTTTAGTCTATAATCAGTGCTTAGTGTACACACAAATCCATTGACACCTTGCAATAAGTTCCCTCATGGGCACAACAAGCTTCCTGGCCTACTTTGCAGTTTTACCTAGGGTCTTTTGTCCTAATTTAAAATGCCTGACTACCTAATCCAGGAACTACCTCATCTCCTAAAGGCTAGTACCCTTCCATTTAAAATAAATACTATATGACTCCAATGCATTTAAAGGAAACATTTCAATATAATAAGAAGCTACCATGCTGCAACTACAGTATAACATAGAATGGCTTATAATCACCATGTGGAATTATAGAGAAGAGTAGGTCACTGCAGATTATTTATTATAGCATGACTTACACAGCGACAAAGAGTCAAACTCCCTGGCGTGGAAGGCTCTGATCCTCTGATCCTCTGATCCTATGGAGCACGGCAGAGAGAAGGAGCACTGGCTTGAGGTACATGGATCCTGATTCTAATTCTGCCTCTGTCATCTCATGCTGAGTAATTGGTTCAAGGGTTGCTTTTCCATTCTGGGCCTCTATTTCCTCGCTTATGAAAGGAAAGGAAATGGGTTTGATTAACGCTGCAATGCTAGATCCTGTGATTCTAAGGAGCACCCTTTGGAGGGCATATATGCCTTCAGGATCACAAATTCTAATAGCATTCCAGACCCTCATTTTTAACCCCAGTCAGCTGCCTGTAGAATGAAATGTATGTTTTACATAGATAAAGTTTAAAATTTTTACCAACTAATACAACATGTTCATTTATATGCATGTTATAACTCATAAATAACCAAAGGAATCAACAGTTTATCAAATGTTTATCTGAGGTCAGTGAGTGGACAACTCTTTCTTACTTTGTCTGGGACTGTTTCTGAGAAGTCATCCCAGCTCAGAGTTGCCCCCCAGTGATGAGCTCATTAACTCAGTACTTGCGTGCATTGAACACTGTGCTTGGGAGAGGAGAAGGAACGGAGGTTTTGCGTTTATTAGCTTGGGGTACTGAGTAGCTATGTAGATATTATAGAATAATAGTAGCTGCTGTCCCCCTGGGTCTGATAATGATGGAAGGAGTTGTTGATTGGCATGTCAGTTGATTCCCACCCCTTTTTGATGTATCACAAATAATTAAGTTATAATATTGATGGTAAGGAGATTATTCTGGAATCAGGTTTTGTTTGTTTGTTTTAAAATCAGAATACTGATTTTAAACTGACCATCTGAATGTAGAAAAGCATCTCATTATAATTGCCTCTACCTAAAGAAGTGGGCTTCACTCAGGGGTGGCAGCACTAACCATCAGACCCAATTGGTCATGCACCTGGCAGCAAGCTCAGGGCCTCTCAGCAAGCTGGGGGTGGCTAGGCTGTGGCCTCCTTGGCACTGTCTGTGCCCTGCCTAGAATAAGCAGAGGACATCAGCTGCCCCAGAATATGATTCATGGCCAACTCCAGCGCCCTCTGCACCCTCTCCACAGCTGCAGAGGGACAATTGGGCACTAGTCTCAGCCACATCTGGCCAACAGACCTCTCTATGAGATTTGCCCACTCAGAGAAGCAGATGGCAGGTGAGACAGGTTGAGTTTTTGAGGCACATGGCTCTCTTGGCTCTCTGAACCTTATGATGGCTGGCAAATGGGGACCTGGGCGTGCTTTGGGGAGTGAGAACCTACTGAGCAGAAGAGCTGCCTGCCACAGCCCTCGCTGGGAGCCCTGGCTGCTGCCTCACCTACTCTCATCTTTCCCACGTTCTGATTTCCCAGGTAGTTGGACAGCACTGCTGGCTTCTGGTACCAGCCTTTTCTTGCTAAAAATCCATTCCTGGGATCTGTGCTAGAATTACCCATGAAGGTCAGGGATTGAGTGGATTTGAGAAACTGGCACAGGGTATATCCGAAGCTTGCTGGTATGTTTGTTGAGAAACACTTTCAGTCCTCACTCCTAGGGCCTGATTCCTTTCTGCTCCTTGGGGACCAGGCAGAGGCAGCTCTCTGGTCTACACTGTAAAGCTCCACTGTAGGCCTGGTTAATCCTCCACCTGTTACTATCACCCAAGACTGTTAACTTCCCTCTCTCTTCTTTTTTTTTTTTTTCCTTGTTTCAGGCTCCCTCCTCCCTCAGGTACCCAAGATTCTCTTTCCGTTCTCTTCTTTTTCTGCCCCACGAGTGAGGCATTTGCTGGAGGACTCAGTCACTTCCTGGGAGATTTGGGTGATTTGAGATGTTCTTCATCTGAGGAAGATGTACATTTGAAGAGACCCAGGAAAAAGGGCACCACTTACCTCTGAGGAATAAACCAAAACCAGTGACATTTCAGCCTCCAGAGATGAGCCAAAGAGAAATTACTTTCAGATTGGAGCTGCCATATCTTAAATCAAACCACAGAGACAGATCCTCCTTCTCTACACATAAGCCTGTACTGGTTGATCTGCAAAGTGGACTTGAAAAACTGGGAATGAAGCCCAGGCTCTTTATGCTCTGAGGCTGAAGCTGGATTGCAGTGGCTGGTGGGAAGGCTTGGCGGGCAGGTGTCCTGGTGGACCTTTGCCCCCTCTTTTTTCCCAGACATTCTCCTCCACTGGTTCCCTCTAAGAGGAGTGTAGGAGTATGTTTGCCTTCTGCCATGGCCACTGCAAACCTGGCTCCTTGCTCATGCTGGGCTGCAGTGGGGAGAGGGAGTGACACAGGCTGCTGTGGGGATGCTGCACAGGAGGCTGTGGCAGGAGAAAGAAAGGTGATGGAAACAGTGATCAATAAACTCCATTCATCCCCTACCCTTGCCCACTGGCCCAGATGTTGAAATAAGTGGATAATCAAAGATAAACCCAAAAGGGGGAGGGGGTCTCCTGAGCTACTTTTAAAGCTGAATCTGCCCCGTCCCCTTCCTCCCATGTAACATAGACCCCTCTGGGTGATCTGCTTTGACTGGAGAGGGAGCCAGGGGCAATCCGGGGAGGCAGTGCGGCCACGTGGAACGGTCTTAACATCGCCACATACAGAGCAAGGAGGAGGACCTGAGGCCATCTGCCTTATCCTCCAGAAGGCCACTTGCTGTGTCTGTACCCAGCTTGTTACAGAAACGGCAGGTCATTTTCCTCACCAGGCTGGAGCTGGAGAAGGAGCTCAGGGGAAGGGGCAGGCAGCGCCCTTCCACGGGCTGTCAGGAGCAGAGGGCAGACTTCCTCGGGGTGCTTTTGATGGTTTGTTTTCTACATGATTCCTCTCCCTCTATCAGCCATTCTCTTTGTTAAAGGGAGTTACTTTCTGGGCTGGATTTATTGGCTATATCTAGAATCTATTTTCTCCGAAGGTGTTGTGGCAGATTCCCACTCTTACATTCTATCCTGTGGTGTAAAGAGATCTGAAACGGACAACGAACTGGAAGAAATGTAAAACCTAAGAGAAAACTAAGCAGAATGATACAGGACAGCCAGGTTCTCCCTGAGTCAGATTATTCCCACTACTGGTGCGGCTCTTTGGCAGAAAGAAGGATTTCTCAAATCCATTCCCCTCACAGTCCTGCAGAAAACCTGATGAGCGAGGCTCTCTTATGGGTTAAAAAAGTTTTTTTTTTTAAATCTTCTCCATTTCCTTAATGTAACAGATTCAGCCCATTTGTGGGAAATCCCAGCCATGTGTATATCCAAGAGGCAAAGTCTAGATTTGTGGGATCCCACTCATTTATGCAGTAAACACTTTTATGTTTGGCCCTGGAGATATGATGTGTTGATGGATTGGATTGGATATGAGGGATGTTTGTTCAGTCACCCCATCGAATTGTGAACATCCCAAAAGTAGCAAAAACAAAAAAAAACCTTCAAATCTGTCCATTTCTCTCCATCTTTACTGATATCATCTCCGTCAAAGCCACCATTATCTCTTATTTGAGTTACAATATGGCCTCCTGTTGTACATTAGTTAGTACATAGAAATCTTTCCAAGGATTTCCATGGCATCTAAAATGAAATCTGAGCTCCCTGACATGACTCCTGTTTGGGACCTTGTTTTTTTCCTACCCTCCTCTCATGTCACTAGTTGTGTTCCAGTTTCCTGAAAGACAATTTTTCCACAGACTGGGGGTGGGGAGGATGGTTTAGGGATGATTCAAGCACATTACATTTATTGTGCACCTTATTTCTATTATTATTACATGGTAATAGATATAATATTACATTGTAATATAAATAATTGTACAATTCACCATAATGTAGAATCAATGGGAACCCTGAGCTTGTTTTCCTGCAACTAGATGGTCCCATCTGGGGGTGATGGGAGACAGTGACAGATCATCAGGCATTAGATTCTCGTAAGGAGTGTGCAGCCTAGATCCCTCGCATGCACAGTTCACAATAGGATTCATGGTCCTATGAAAATCTAATGCGGCCACTGATCTGACAGGAGGCAGAGCTCAGGCAGTAATGCGAGCGATGGGGAGTGGCTATAAATACAGACAAAGCTTCACTCGTTTGCCTGCTGCTCACCTACTGCTGTGCAGCCTGGTTCCTAACAGGCCATGTACCAGTACTAGTCAATGGGGTTGGGTTCCCCTGCCCTACTGCAGTGGTTTTTTTTCTTCTTTCTTTCTCAAATATCCTCTAATAGAATTTTGAAAAACTAATATATCCCTTATCTTAGTTCACTTTGTGCTGCTGTAACAGAATACCCTGGACTGGGTAATTTATAAAGAACAGAAATGTATTCTCTCACAGCTCTGAGGCTGGGAAGCCCAAGATCAAGGCACGAGCATCTGATGAATAGAAGGATGAATGTTGTGTCCTCACATGGCAGAAGAGTGAAAGAGAGCAACCCCCTCCCAAAAGCTCTTTTTATAGCAGCCATAATCTATCTATGAAGTCAGAGCCCTCAGGACCTAAACATCTCCCAAAAGGCAACACCTCCCATCACTGCTGCACTGAGGAGTAAGTTTCCAACACATGAATTGTGGGGGCACATTCAGACCATAACACCCTTCAACACATTTAGTATTTAAATTCTTCATTTGTAAGTTTAAATATTTGCAAAGGATGTACTTTTTTGCATTATTATTTTAAATGCAGGCTTAAAAAATCATATCACTCTTACATTTACCTAATTGAACTAAAATACTATTTTGGTGCCCATCATTTTTTAAAGTATGTAGATGTGATCTTCCCTTACAGTTCCAAGTTTTACACCATTCTTATTTCTCTTTGAACTCATATTTTTATTCTATTTTGCCCACAGAATTTTATACGAGTATAAACTTCTTGGCAATAAAATATCAATATATTATAAATCATGGTAAATAATTGTTAAGAGGCAAATTTTATCCAAAATGTAGCTTGCAATGAGATAAATGAGGCTTTGTTTTTCAATTATTGATGAATCTATGGATTCACATTACTTTTTGCTAGAATAAGACAGTTTCAGAAACGATTTTACTTCTACTTACTTTGTTTTAAAATATAATTGTTGAGATACTTTCCTCATATAAATATAGATATTTATGCATTTATGGAAGGTATGTATGGAAGGCAAATATGCATGTTTTATAGATACTAGTCAATTCTTTAAACCCTTTCTGATATTCATTCCATGAATAACAAAGTTATTCTTTCATCATAAATTATTTCAATGTCTGAGAGCTGACAACTCCATTAAGTCCTCCTTTAATGTTATTGAAAGCAAAGAGTTGAAACCCACCCAACTAACCAAAGAATTTGGTAACCACTTACTAGAATCATCTGCTTTCTTAAATGCTGACACATATACTAAAAAGTTTCTATCAAAACTTATCAAATTACTATCTTTTTTAAAACTATATAATTCCATTTACATAAATAACAAAAAGAAGGGAGAACTAATCTGTACTGGTACTGATGAGGATGGTGGTTCACCTTGGACGGTGGGTAGTGATTGGAAAGGATCACAAGGAAGGCTTCTGAACTGCTGACCTTGTTCTGTTTTCTGACCCGGGTGTTGTTACACTGGTGTGTTCAGGTTGTGGGAATTCATTGTGTTGTATGCTTGCAATCTGTGCACTTTTTTAAGCTTTTATTTCAAGTTCAGAAGTACATGTGCAGGTTTGTTACATAGGTAAATATGTGTCTTGGGAGTTTGTTGTACAGATTATTTTGTCACCCAGGTATCAAACCCAGTACCCATTAGTTATTTTTTCTGATCCTCTCCCTCCTCCCACCCTCTACTCTCTGATAAGCCCCAATGTGTTTTGTTCCCCTCTTTGTGTCCATGTGTTCCCATCATTTAGCTCTCACTTATAAGTGAGAACATGCAGTATTTGGTTTTCTGTTCCTGCATTAGTTTGCTAAGTACAATGGCCTCCAGCTCATTCATGTCCCTGCAAAGGACATGATCTCGTTCTTTTTTATGGCTGCATAGTATTCTGTGGTGTATATGTACCGCAGTTTCTTTATCCAGTCTGTCATTGATGGAATCTATCATTAGGTTGATTCCATGTTTTTGCTATTGTGAACAGTGCTGCAATGAACACATGTGTGCATGAGTCTTTATAATAGAACGATTTATATTCCTTTGGGTATATACCCAGTAATGGGATTGCTGGGTCAAATGCTATTTCTGTCTTTAGGTCTTTCAGGAATCTCCACACTGTCTTCCTCAATGGTTGAACTAATTTACACTCCCACCAACAGTTTATAAGCATTCCTTTTTCTCCACAACCTTGCCAGCACCTGCTATTTTTTGACTTTTTCATAATAGTCATTCTCACTGGTGTGAGATGGTATCTCATTGTGGTTTTGACTTCCATTTCTCTAATGATCAGTGACACTGAATTTTTTTTATATGATCTTTTGCTGCATGTATGAAATGACTGTCATTTGTACAGTCTGCTCATTCACTGAGGAGTACCTTGTTTAACCTGATACATACATAACGATTGGGAAAACCAAATTATTGCTTATTTCACTAGGCCTTTTCTAATATTTATATTTCTTATTAAATGCCTTAGTATTATCACGTTTTAAATATTTTTAATTCAACTTAAGAGATACACGTTTACCTCACTGATTAATGGAAAATATCTGCCATATAAAAGGTCCTCATTGTCAAAGCAGTTGGCCAAATCAGGCTTATTTTTTGTCACACATATCTGGCTTCATTTATTAATCCAAATAAATGTGTTGAGACATACCTCTGTAACAGCCACCTCTACAGATAGACAGGTAACCCTCCCAGCCTTACCACTGAAAAACATCGTGCCCTTGTTATTCCTTTTCAGAGTCACAGGGATCTCCTTCAGCAGGAAATGTTTCTTCAGAAATATGTGGATTATGGAAAATTCAAGGTCCTTTAAAAAAAATAGTGTACTCTGTACAGCCATAAAAAAAGGAATGAGATTATGTGCTTTACAGGAACGTGGATGGAACTGGAGGCCATTATCCTTAGCAAACTAACGCAGGAACAGAAAACCAAACACTGCATGTTCTCACTTACAAGTGGGAGCTAAATGATGAGAATACATGGACACAAAGAGGGGAGCAACAGACACTGGAGCTTTTCACAGGGTGGAGGGTGGGAGGAGGGAGAGGATCAGACAAAAATAACTAATGGGTATTAGGCTTAGTACCTGGGTGATGAAACAATCTGTACAACAAAACCCTATGACATGAGTTAACCGATACAAACCTGCACATGTATCCCTGAACTTAAGATAAAAGTTAAAAAAAAAAAAAGTAGAGGCCCGGCTGAGGTGGGCAGATCACTTGAGCCCTGGAGTTAGAGACCAGTCTGGGTAACATGGAGAAACCCCATCTCTACAAAAAATACAAAAATTAGCCAGGCATGGTGGTGCATACCTGTAATCCCAGCTACTCAGGAGGCTGAGGTGAGAGAATTGCTTAAGCCTGGGAGATTGAGGCTGCAGTGAGCTGAGATTGCACCACCTGTCAAAAAAAAAAAAAAAAAAAAACCAACCAATCAAAAAACAAGCAAACAAACAAAAGGTAGTACAAAAAAAGTAGTGTATTTCTACTTGTCCCTTTGTTTGGAGTCACAGAGTTTTTGACATCCTGGGCAATGCACTGTGGTATGTTTTGAAATAGGTGAGAGACACTTGCTTTTCTCTAGTGAAGTAGAAGGGAGACTATTAAAGGGAATATGGAAGAGAGAAACAGTCTTGTTTTCAGGTCACCACTACTTAGTTTAGAAGAAGTACATATGAAAGTTGAGGAACTGGAAATAGAGTCCCTTAAATCTAAACATGCCTGTGTATCTCTTGGAAAGTCTTCATGGACCTCTAGATTTGAAGACCAGGGCCCTGTTGCTTCCTGGAGTGGCCTAACTTGGGCTGCAGACTGAGCCAAAATCCTCCCCTATGATAGATCCAGACAGCCTCGGATGATGAGGAACCACCAAAGGTTGCCCCCATCCATCCTGCTCTGGACCTGCCTTTCTTCTCACCATGTCCAGAATATGAGCGGTGGCCACAGGAGGGGGACTGCTGTGGGACCAATTACTGCTGGATGCTTTGTGTTTAGGAGCAGCCGTTCTGTTCACTGAGATGGCTCCATCTTCTTGGAATGGGTAAAATGGGGAATGTGCTGACCTCCTGGCATCTGCATTTTCAGCTCAATATCAACCCAAGGGACTTGCTAATTTTACATTCAATGACTAAGTCTAAATGAGTCAAAGCAGTTGGTTTCAGTAAATGAAAACTTTACCCAGAAACTAAGTCAAAGTAGGATACAAAATAGAAATGAGATTTTGCATTTATTATCCATTGGCTTGTTAATAGTACAGTTTCAAGATGCCAAACATTTTGCATAATTATACTTAATCCTCTCAATGACCCTGCAAGGAAGCTATTATTACTTCTATCTTATAGCTGAGGAAACGGAGGCTCCGTGAGGATGGTTATCTTGCCCTGTGTCTCATGGCTAGCCAAGGGCAGACTCAGAGCCACAAATCCTTGCAGTCTCCACCAGGCTCTGCTGCCCCTGCATCCTTTGCCCACCATGGCCACCACACACAGGAAATGCAGCTGCATCAATAATAAGCAGTTCATGCATCTTTCTTTTTGGCATTCTATGCCAATTATTTAGACTTATGAGTCATGTCCCAATTAACTATAGAAATTGAATACCATGGAGAAATTCAAATCGCCTGTAATCCCCAAATCTCATTTTGGCCAACAATCTCAGCTTCCTATTCCATAAGGACTTTTAAAAGAGTTTCTAACAAGTGACAGTATTTGACAGATTCTATTTTCACCACCTTGCTTTTCCATCCCTACCCTTGGGTAGAGATAGTAGCATGCAGAAGGGATATTTGAAAGTTAAAACAAGAAGAAGGAAGAGAGAGGAGAATCCAAGGATTTAAATTACATCTGTATAAGATGTAAGATGGCTATTGTGATGTTAGTCCTCACTTTGTTAACTTTAGGTTAACACCAATTTTAAATTGTCTCCTTAGTTAAAAATATACAATCAAATGCATTGATGGGCCAGGCGTAGTGGCTCACGCCTGTAATCCCAGCACTTTGGGAGGCCTAGGCGGGCGGATCGTGAGGTCAAGAGATTGAGACCATCCTGGCCAACATGGTGAAACCCTATCTCTAATAAAAATACAAAACTTAGCTGGGTATGGTGGTGCATGCCTATGGTCCCAGCTACTCAGGAGGCTGAGGCAGGAGAATCACTTGAACCCAGGAGGTGGAGGTTGCAGTGAGCTGAGATCGCACCACTGTACTCCAGCCTGGCAACAGAGCGAGACTCCAGCTCAAAAAAAAAAAAATGCATTGATGACAGCCATGAGGCCTAAATCAAACTGCTGAGCATTAACTGAGTTCCAGTTCACAGTCAGAGACTGCAGCAGACACCTCTGGTACCCACCTTCTCCCTCCCCATCATTCTACCTCAATCCACCTCTGACTTTAGCTGTAGCTGCAGCAGACAGCCCCGAGTAAATGCCAGACTCACCTTGTTCTGTCATTGTCCATCTCAATCAAGGTCTCATGAGCCTTTCTGCAAGCCAGTAATGAGCAGGGTTCTCTGATGTCAGGGAGTACTCTGTCCACACAAATACACAGCCCCAAAGTCAGGGGCTGCTGTATGCTAATGCCCCTGGGGCAATGCACAACCAATAGGAAGGGTGCCAGTGCAGAAATGCGCCAAATTCCCATACTTCAAAGTGACAATTCTGGGACATATTTGTACACTTTTCTGGGTCCTGGTATAATCAAGACCCTGTTGCCCATAGTGTGACCTCAATAACACACTCATATATTGGATTTTCCTCCTTCCCTGTCTTAATCTGTTTTCTCACTCCTCCTTCTGAGACCACCTCCCAGATAAATAATCTGCTTCCAAGACCCTTAAACTTTGTTTTTGAAAGAATCCAAACTAAGACCCAGAATTACCAGATATTATTTACAAATGGGCCATTCTCCATGGATGCAGCTAAACAAGACAAAAATTAAACAGCAACGCAGATCATTCCAATAAGGCAATAATTCCTGACTCACAAGTGGGTAAGTCATGAGAGAGAGGGACACGTGCCCCAAGGGATGTGTATGAGTCTTTAAGGGGGCTTTTCAAACCATACTCTGAAAATTCCAGTTTATCTTTGTGGAGAGTTGCAGAATTCCCTCCCTCTGAAAGAATCACAGCCTCATCAAGTCACTGTCTTGTCACCAAGACTGATGAAATGTGTTGTGTGGGGCACAAAAAGAAGGTTGCTGCAATGACAGCTTTTTAAAGACATCATTTTTTAGATGCAATTTGGTGCTTTACTCAATAGTCTTAGCTATTTTTAATTGTAGTTTAATTTAACTCTGGCCTTTTTGTCCCCATGCTTGGCTTGTTGGAGCTAAATAAAGAGAAAGCCTAAGCTTTTCTTTCTAGCATTTGTGTTGAACTTGAAAAGCCCTTATCACTCCTCTAGGCCCCCTCTTGCTTTCTAAATGAATCAGAAGATACACATGTCATAGAATTGCATCTCTGTTCTGACAGCATAAGACTCATAACCTGTTTTTCCATTTTGTCTTTTAAAGAAAAGCAAAACTCTCTTTTCCCAGCAACTTTCTGGTAAGAATTTGCCAACTTGGAATTTGCACATAATTCCTTTAGCAACACTCTGGAACCCTGCAAAATCTACAACTGTGCAAGAGAGTTCCACATAAGAAAAAAAAACTTGCAGAGAATACTATCTTTAGTTAGAATAAAACACTGGACACAACAAATTTAAATAAGGCCTTTTGGCATATAGATTTAAACTGGCTTTATGGTAGCCATACATTTCTCAGCATTTTAGTTGCAAGCTCATGGTTGTAGAGAATGCTTAAGCCAGGAACAGTAAAACCCAACACACATGGATGGACCACTGCAGAAAATATTAGTTGATCAAAGCACTCTTTCTCACTGAATCTGAATGCAGTGTCTGTATTCTTCTCAACACAGCAGTCTGGTTGATGTTCTTAAACTACTGGAAAAAAAGTCAGAGAAGGGAAATATAAAATAATATTAAGGGTACAACCATGAAGAAAACAAAGTCTTTGCCCATGTGGAGCTAGTTTCCAGTGGGGGAAACACAAAATAAATTGATAAACACATACATATTTAATACTTGGAGCAGAGTTATCTAATGACATTCCTGTTCTCTGTTTCTCTCCCAAATTAACAGAATAATGATTTTTATCAAGGCACATGGCCTCCCAGCTAAAAGACCACATCTTCCAGCCTCTCCCGTAGCTACGCATGGCATATAAATAAATTCTGATTAATGAGATGTAAGCAGATATACTTTGTAAAAGTACAACCTTTTGGAATTTCCTCTGGCAAGTTTTTTCTAAAAGAAAAAAAAAAAGAAAAGTGGCAAACTCTTCTTTTTTTCCATCCTGCTGCTGGGAAACTGGATTTTATGGCTAGAGAGACCCAGCAGTTGTCTTGAACGTAGAGGATGAGCACCACATTGTATACTCTGTGTTTGAAAATCTGGAAGAATCTTTAGTTCTCAATAACTATGGAGGCATTCTACTGGCCCGGGGCTGTCCAACTCCATACATTATTTTTTATTAAGAAATAAAAACATTTCTACCTTATTTAAGCTACTACTTTTCAAGTTTCTGTTATAACTTAACCTAATTCTAATGGATAACTTAAAAATACGTATACATACCATACATAATATTGAACTAGACACATAAGAGTGAAATAGATGTCCAAGAGTGGATATCAACTGATTATAGAAGAGAAGCAGGCTTCAGTGTTTCAAGTGGAACAAACAATTGTAGATTTAGATTTTGAAATTTGGCAGGAGTAAAAGCACAATTTTCTTTTGTGTTTTTTTCAATTTTTTGTGGTTGTAGATTGTATTTATGGGTAGCATCATTTCTGAAAGTTGCAGTGTTTGCACTGAGTAAATTAATGAATGGTTAAGCTGCTATATTAAATTGAGGTATTGTTTTATGTTTTAAAACAGTTTACAGAGCTATAAATTTCCCATTTGCATTGGGTAGTCCAAGGAAACATGTTTCATCTGCATTCTAGCCCTCTTTGTCTTCGTTAATCAAAGCATCAGCACCATTGAAATGCCAGTGCTGCAATCCTATTCTCTTGTTTATAAGCACCAAAGCCAACCTGATTTGCATATTAGTTGGCATAAATTTGAATATTAATTTCAATAGGCATTGTCTCTAAATCCAGAAAATAAACACAGCCTGCTGCAATTATACAGATAATTGGTATTTAGGGCTCATGAGTGCCTAAAAGTTTTAAATCTTCTACATTTATACTCAGATTATTCTTACAGATACTCACACAAACTCACTCACACAGTGGTCAAATTACAGGTTGTGAACTTTATAATGAATTTATTCTCTTCATTTATTTCTAGGTTTCCAGATGTCGAAGTTTCTGGTTTGGAAGATCTGATGATCCAATTTCAGGAATATATTAGTCAGAACCACTTTTTTTTTTAAGCTACAAATGACAAAAAACTAACCTAAAACTGCTTTCAGCTAAACTGAATTTACTGGCTCGCTCAACTCGGAAGTCCCAGGGTTGTCTGCCTTTGGGCACAACTGGTCTCAGGTGCTCAAATGATTTCTCTCTCTCTACCTTTCTGCTCTGCCTGGCTCCTCTGGCTTCATTCTCATGCAGATTTTCTCTACATATGGTAGCCAAGATATTCCTGCCAGTCCCAGTCCCAAGCCTATATTTTTCCTGCACCTTAGGATTTCAGAAGAATAAAGACCCTCTTCTCTAGATCAATCCCCAGGAGAAAAAAAAATGTTTCTAGCTAACCTCAATCAAATGCCCAGCCTATATGGCTGACAGTCTTGCCAGAATCACATGCAGTGAGGAATTGTTCCCAAAAGGAAACAATGAGAATGGTCAAAAAATTAAAGAAAAAAAAAAGTAATGAAGGAAAGCATAGTCATTCATTGGCTATTACTGAAATGAGAATGAGATCAACTTTTCACTGGGCTAAAAAATCTGTGTCCCTTCTTAGCAAGTTCAGGCTTCTACCATGGGAAAACCACTAGGGAAATGGTGGTGTATACCAGTGCTTCTCAAATCTTCATGTGCAAACAAATCACCTGGAGTTTTGAAAAATGCATATTTCTGATTCAGTAAGTTTGAGGTAGGGCTCAAGATTCTGTAAGTGACACAAGTTTCCAGGTCATGCTGATTCTTCTTGTGCGTGGGCCACACTTAGAGTGGCAAAGGTGGACCTTGATCACTACTGAAATTCTGTCCGACCCCAAGAGTGCAGCTCCCTGGCTTCTTTTCTTCAGAATTGTTTCACCATCTTCACTTTGCCAGAGCCCATGGATAAAGCTGTCTTTACTGCCACCATCTGAGGGTTAACGTGGCTAAGGTCCCTGCCTTTTTTAACCTCCTCGAGCAGTTTTACTGGCTTCTGCTTTGGGTATAAAAGAATCCCTAGTGGGCAAGAGCCTTCTCTGTGACAGGCACCTGTCGAAACTGATACACTGTGCTGTGCAATTAGGCCTTGTGGCTGTTTGACTGCCTTTCAGTTTGCATTCTCCTAAATTATGGAGAGTTTAGAAAAACTGTACTACTGACAGCACTACTTTCTGGACATACAAAATTACTTTTTGCACAATTTACACCAAATTCATAAGTCTTACTCAGCATCTGGGTGTTCTTGCTCATTTAACATGCAGGTGTATAAAAAAAAAGATGTATAAGACCTTCGCTGGGATGCTCTCCAGACATAATACCCATCAGCCGCATCCCGAACAACAAGAATTTCATCTAGGCTTTCACACAGGGACATGAGAATGTGAACAACAAGTGGAACAAAGCATTATTTGGCTGAACGTTACACTTCTGTGCCTTCCTCGCTGCTTTTTTGCAGGCATAACCTGACTTCCTCGCCTACCACCTCCCCACAACTGAGCCCACATCAAACTTTCTGCTTGTTATCTCTGTGAAGGAGCAAGGGGTGAAGAAACAACCTAGCAGGATTGAGGAAAATCCCATCATGTGCTTTTCTCCAACATCTTTAATAGGTGAGTGACAATGAACTTCAAGGATGGTCTCAATGGGGGAGGAGAATTCTTGAATGGTACATGTGGAAGCAGAGAGGCAATCCTACCCTGACCTGGGAGATCTCAGGAGTTTATGGGCTGACTCTATGTAGAAGAGTATATATAAATTTTACTTGGAGAAGCTATCTCTTCCTTCTCTGCTTTTCTCCCTCTCCGAGTCACTGCCCAAAAGCAGCCATGCTGAGGAAGAAAGCAGGACATGTGGAGTTCAGGCAACACCAGCCGACTCCCTCACCACACCCCACTCCCAGCCCTCCAGTTCAGAGTTGCATGCACCACCCTCTCGCAAATATCTGTCCCGGAGTCATAGCTCAGTACACAGTGCCTAAGAAGATGAAAATGTCAGGCTAGTCAAGTGTTTGATCGCAGCCACTTGCTTGAGGTACAGGATTCAATTTCCTTTACGCAAAATAACCCATTCTTGGGAATAAAAAATTCATACCACATTTTGTGTAAATCTGATGGGAAATTTTGTCTGGGGAAATTCTTGCAACTTAAGATATGCAAATTCGCTATTTGATTGTAATGCCAACCCATGATCCAGTGCTACTACCCTGCCTTTTATAAGATGAGAGGCTATAAACACCAGTATATTAAAAATGTATCCACCAAAGTAAAATTAGTGCTCAGCAGACGCTTATTTTTCTAGAATTTTATTTCTCAGATGGATTGGTATAATTTTTAGTGGTATGTATTGCCAGCCTATAATAAATATGTAAGCCCATCAAAACCTGATAGAAAACTCCATCAGATAATACACTGGGAACTGGGGATTAATTCTATACTAGCCCCGGGGGATGCACCTCGTGACCTAATAGAATGTTTCCAATTCTAATTTATCTGGTTCTGTGAAATCAATTTTTCTATAAACTATAACCAGTACATGAGTGTTTTGCAAAAACTAATCATATTGGCATAATAAGCATGTCAAGTTACAGTGAAATGGACATTCTGTTGTTCTTTTATTGAAACTAATGGGCTAGCATTAGAAGGAATAACATACTGGAAATGATAACAGTTTATGGCTTTGATTTTTTTGCTTTTTAAATTTGATGGTATAGCATATTGGCTCTCAATCTCCTTTTATGAGTATTTGAGTTTGACCCTGTTAAAAATGACAAAGAAATTGCTACGAAAAAGCATTTTCTCACTATCTTACCTTCAGCAGTGCAGTCGAGAAATAGCCATGCTATGGCATCTTCATCTGCGAGGTTCATATGTCAGCAGCTGCTGCTGGGAAGGTTCAGTGAGGGAGAAGAGTTACAAGGATAAGTCTCCTGCTTTGTAATGTTGACAAATTAGCCGATCTCAGCTCTTCATCTCAAAAATACTTCTACCCAAGGAGAATCAGATGAAATTGAAGTTGGTCATGCCAACCCAGGATGACCTTGAATGAAATAGATCTCTCTGTTTACCAGGCATAGAGATTACAGTGGACTCATCAATCAGGAGGCCACCAGTGTCATAGATTTACCTTACTCATTTGAACTTCCCAGGCATTGGAAGCTAAATCCTGATTCTTAATTATGATTGTTGTTGTTATTTAATGGGATTCGGAAGCCTCGCCCAAAACGGATGGGCTTTCACATTTGATACTTTCACAATTGTGGCTGATGAATAATTTGGGGATTATATATTTAATGTGTGACTCCCCCATGAGCCTATAGGTTCTATGAAGGTAGAACTACATTTGGCCTTTCTCACCATACAGCTCCAGTTGCTAGCCAGGTGCTCAGTAAGCAGAGAGTCCAGTTTGTTCAATAAAAGTTTTCACATGTTGTCCTGACATAAAATATTATAACACATGTTGTCCTGACATTAAAATATACGGTCACATTAAAATATCATATGTTGTCCTGACATTAAAATATACAGTCACTCTCTCAGTAAGTATGTGTTAGATGGATGAATGGATGAGCCAACACTTGGCCATGCTTGGAAATGACACTGGGCTTGGATCAAAAGAAACTGGATTGAGTCGTAGCTCTGCCCCGTATCAGTTATATGACTTGAACAAGTGACTTAAGCTCTTTTCTTCACAGTGAAATAGTTAAAAGAGAATACGATGTCTATCACATTGTAACTTCTCAATAAATATTGATTTTCTTCTTTAATTAAGGCAGCACTATCCAATACAGGAATATTTCATTGTATTGCACTTCCCTTTATTGCATATTGCAGATATTGCTTTTTTTTTTAACAAATTGTATGTTTATGGCAACGCTGCGTCAAGCATCTTTCAAGCATTTTTCCAGCAACGAGTACTCTCCTTGTGTCTCTGTGTCACATTTTAGTAATTCTCATAATATTTCAAACTTTTTCATTATTATTAAATTGGTTATAATGATCTGTGATCAGTCTTTGATGTTACTATTATAATTATATTGGGGTGCCATGAAACATGCTCATGTAAGATGGCAAAAATTCATAAATGTGTGTGCTCTGACTGCTCCAACTATTTCCCATCTCATTCCCTTGCCTCAGGCCTCTCTATTCCCTGAGACACAACAATGTTGAAATTAGGTCAATTAATAACTCTACAAAAGCCTCTAAGTGCTCAAGTGAAAAGAACAGTTGCATGTCTCTCACCTGAAATCAAAATCTAGAAATGATTAAGCTTAGGAAGGAAGACATATTGAAAGCTGAGACAGGCCAAAAGCTAGGCCTTTTGTGCCAAAAAGTTAGCCAAGTTGTGAATGCAAAGGAAATTAAAAGTGCTACTCCAGTGTATACATGAATGATAAGAAGGTGAAACAGCCTCATTGCCAATATGGAGAAAGTTTCAGTGGTCTGGATAGAAGATCAAATCTTACAACATTCTTTTGAGCCAGAGCCTAATCCAGATCAAGGCCCTAACTCTCTTTAACTCTATGAAGGCTGAGAGAGGTTAGGAAGCTGCAGAAGAAAAGTGGGAAGCTAGCAGAGGTTGGTTCATGAGGTTTAAGAAAAGAAACCATCTCTATAACATAAAAGTGCAAGGTGAAACAGCAAGTGCTGACATACAAGCTGCAGCAAGTTATCCAGAAGATCTAGGTAAGATAATTGATGAAGGTGGCTACACTAAATAATAGATCTTCAATGTAGAGGAAGTAGCCTTTTATTGCAAGAAGATGTCATCTAGGACTTTCCTAGCCAGAAAGGAGAAATCAGTGCCTGGTTTCAAAGCTTCAAAGGACAGGCTGACTCTCTTGTTAAGGGCTAATGCAGCTGGAGACTTAAAGTAGAACAGTGCTCATTTACTATTCTGAAAGTCCTAGGGCCCTTAAGAATTATGCTAAATCTACTCTGTCTGTGTTCTCTCAAAAGAACAACACAAGAGCACATCTGTTTACACCAAGATTTATTGAATATTTTAAGCCCACTGTTGAGATCTACTGCTCAGAAAAAAATATATCTTTCAAAATACTACTGCTCATTGACAATGTTACTGATCAACCAAGAGCTCTGATCAGGAAAAAATATATCTTTCAAAATATTACTGCTCAGAAAAATATTACTGCTCAGAAAAAAATATACCTTTCAAAATATTACTGCTCATTGACAATGTTACTGATCAACCAAGAGCTCAGCAGAGGTCTAAGGGACTCCATAGGTTTTAGAAGCCCCTTGTTTGGAAATTACAGAAACGGCAAGTTATATAGAACTTTCAGTAACTGTTCTGGGATCTTCAGCCTCTAGGATTAATGAGTATATTTCAGTTCCTTTTGTGAATCATGTATTCTGGGGCTGACCAGCATGCATTATTTTAGTAAGTTATCACCATTTGGATGATTGTTAACTTCTTTAGAACCCGGAACAGTTATCTAAATAGCACACATCTGATATGAAATGACTTTGCCTTTTCGCCCATGAGAGACAGACCCCTGGAGAACCTTCACCTTGTCAGAAGAACCATAATTTTCAACACCACTTGGCTACATTAAAAATTGTGAAGCCACCAAATGCTTTTTTACTTATGACATAAGTAACTCATAGTTGCTTGGACTTTTTCCTAGTTTTGGTGAACAATATTTTAAGCAATTTTGGTCAACCTTTTTAAATTTTGGATTTACATTTAAATTTGGGGGAGATAAATATGTTTTGTTCAATTAAGATTACAGACTCTTGCATTAGTCTTTGAGCAATGGATAATTGTTCCCTTAAGGTGGGAGAAAAATGGCATGGTACATTTTCACTGGAGTCCAGAAAAAATTAAGAGGAATAATTATTTTTGACACTTTACCTGGAAAGGGGTCATCATTTAAAAACTCAGATGACTTTTCTCCATATCTACCTACCATTTAAACTTGTAGTCATGAATCATTCACTCAAACCACAGTAGGAAACTGCATTGTGAGCTGATTTCTAAAGCATTTTGTATACATAGCAATATCAGAGCTCATGATCACTACAGGAATCACATGCATACTGGTTACCAAATACTCAGTATTGGACATTTCAAAAAACTGAAAGGAGACCAAATCTGTATTTTTAATTTGTTTGAATCAGTAGTAAAACTAAGTTTCTCTAAAGATAAAGCAAGTTCTTTTTTCACTACAATATGTGTGAAAGGACCAATAATACCTAATTGGGCAGGCTGGCAGACTGCTGTTCAAAGACAGATGAATTACAGCAGCTATCATTTTGTCCCTTTTAGGTTACCTTACGAGTTTTCTTCTTTACGGATGCCCAGAACGGGCCTTTCAGAATGTGCCTAGATGAGAAATTCATTTCTAGTCATTATCACCACAGCTTTAGCTAGGAAACCAGCTCTGTTCCAAATCAGGACGAAGTAAAAGCATAGGTTTTCTATAGGCAAATGCAATTTTTGACTGGCTGTCCTCAGAAGCCATTGTCCCTGGTTGCCGGGTCTTTGCTGATGGAAAGCCAAGCCAGGCCACATTATTAGGTAGCTCAGTAGCAGTTAATTATTAACTCCAGTGGAGAGTGGTTCATGAGATTACTGTATATGCTGTTACAACATGATTAACTCTCTGCTCATCAATTCAATTTTTTTCGGAAGTGTTGCTGCAAATAGGCATAAATTTCCTGGGCACAGCATTCAGTTCCACCTTATTATGCAGCACGGCTTCAAAGATATGAGGTTCCATGTCTAATCTTAATTTAATTTTAGAAGTTAGCTCTCTGGCTTGCTACAAGCTGCATTCCATTTCTGATGTTATCCACAATTCTGAGACCGACTAGAAATACCTGTGTGGATTGTGGTAGAAAAGGATAACCCTGGATCTGGAATAAAAGTGTAGCCTCAGAAATTTCCTGGCATTGGATCACAAGGTCAGGAAATCGAGACCATCCTGGCTAACACGGTGAAACCCCATCTGTACTAAAAAATACAAAAAATTAGCCAGGCGTAGCGGCGGGCTCCTGTAGTCCCAGCTACTTGGGAGGCTGAGGCAGGAGAATGGCGTGAACCCAAGAGGCGGAGCTTGCAGTGAGCCGAGATCGCACCACTGCACTCCAGCCTGGGCAACAGAGCGAGACTCCGTCTCAGAAAAAAAAAAAAAATCCTGGCATTGTTGAGTCTGTGCTGCAACAAAGGCAGCTGGATTCCACAGGACAGTTTACATGTGGGTATCAGCATTTGTACATCCTCAGAATCTCCTATGAAGAGCATCACGCCAATTGCTAACATCTCGCAATTCCCAGAACCAAGCCACTGGCCTTTCAGGAGAGAACTCTGTATTCAGAGAAGTCCCTCTCTATTAGAGGAAATAAATAAGTTGATGCCTTTTTAATCTGAGCAGATGCATAGAATTTCCTATGGGGGATTCTCACAAGGATGTTTGTACTTGAATGTTTTTCTGCAAGAGAGAAGGAAGAGCCTGGTGTCCTCCTGGATCAAAAGTAGGGGCTTTTCATTAATTCGTGATGAACAGCTATGTATCAAATCTATATCCACTTAAAGAGGTGGAAATTACTCTCTTGGTTTATTGGACCAGACGAGGACTGTGGGTCTCATTGGTTCTTAACAGAGCCTCAACAAAGCCATAATTACAGAAATTCTTCCAGGACCATGGACATTATTTAGGCTTTCTATTACCTAGAATCCACACCAGGAAAATTATGTGCAAACGCAAATCAGACATTTTCCTGGGGTTTATTTGTCGAGTGTTGCTTGGAAAGAATTCCCACAGCATAAAAATTATGCTTGGAGAAAAGAATGGAAGAATCAAAGTGAACCATGCTGCTTTCTGCAGGAACAAAGCAATATAAGAAATAAAGCCTGCGAAGAAGTATTTTCCTCCCCACTGCTACTCTCTTATCAAGGCATCTTCTTTCCATTTGTTGACCAGCCTCAATGTCCAACGGCTTCTTGGACCAATACTGCCATGCTTTCTGCCTCTACAGAATTTGAAAATATGCTGAAGCTAACAAACAAGGAGTCTTTATATAAGTACAAAAAGTCTTTATATAGGTACATATTTGTGAGCGTGTGCGTGAATGTGTGCACACATACACATGTGGGAGCGATGAAGGTTACCTCATGTAACCCTGTTAAGTGAAAATAACATTAAGCACCTCAAATTCAAGCTGCTAATTTGTTCCTCCATCATTTGGGGAAAACTTTGCAAAATTATCCAATTGCTCATCTGGGAAAAGAAACATTCAAAAAGAGGCAAGAAAAGGATTTAAAAGAATAAAGGAGAACTTACTCTACTCAAATTTAAAACTTATTATAAAGGTGCAATAAATCAAACAGTGTGATGGCAGCACTAGGCTATACCAATGGAGCATAATGAAAGCATACACCAAAAAATTACATATAGTTTCTGCCTTGAGAGAGAGAGAGCACTCATATGTATGTGTGTGTGTGTCATAGTTTATGATAATGTTGGAATTGTGTGATAGAGTAGAAAGAGTATGAACTTCAGAATCAGATAAATTCAAACCTGGATTTGAATTCCAGTCCATGCACTCTTGAGCAAGTTAATACTCTTACTGAATATTAATTACCTAAAATGGAATGGGGATGGTGATATGTATCTTTAAGGTGTGACGATTTGAGAATCAAATGATATCCTACATGTATTAGTCAAGGTTTTTAGTTACAAGTGGCAGAGACATAATCTGGCTAATCTGGGCAGATGAGGAATTTATTCAGGGCTCTTGTGTTGCTTACAAAATTTCTGAGAAGGGCAGAGAAACAGTCTTGGGAAAAGGGAAGAACAAGGAAGGCTAGACAGCAGCCAGGACCACAGGAATTCATGCCCCCAAAGAGCATGTGAGGACTGCTAGCCCTACCACTGAATCCTGGGTGTCACTGCTGGCATGGCCACATATGCTCCAAGACAGCAGTTGTTGCTGGATCACTCATCAGAATGGCATTGGCTTGGTCCACCCTCTTTGAATCAATAGATCCAGTTGTAAATTCCAGAGAGGGTCTGTTGATTGGTTGCTCCTAACCTAAGTTCAGAGGAGTCTAGGAAAATAAGTTCTTGGCATTTTCAAGTTTTATAGTGAAGGCAAGCTCTCCTTCCCTAGCAAGATTCATAAGGTAGACAATTTATCAAATGCAGGAAGGAATTTCAGATTTTGCATCACCTAGAAAAGGCACAAATCCATTACAAAACATATCAAAGCACCTGATACATAACAGATATTCAGGAAATGGTGACAATTGATATTTTCACAAATCAGTGGGGGAAAGGAACAATTCATTATTCAACAAATGGTGCTGGGACCATTTGTTATTTGGAACAAAAAAAATCTAAAATTCACCAAAATAAACTCCAATTGGTTCGAAGATTAAAAAGAGATTTTTTAATCAAAGATTTAAATCTGTAAAAAATAATTTGACCCACTGTGCCCATCAATTCAGCCTCCAGATCCACCTGGAAAGGATGTTAATTTAAGCTCAGTGGGTTTTCTAATGGTGTCTCTTCCAGTTCTGGCAACACAGGAGAGTCCTACAGCCCATCACTTAGAACAGATTCACATGCCCCACTCTTAATTTTGCATCTGACCTCCAGTTGAAACACTTCTCTTTTATTTACTGAAAATAAAATGTTAAAACAGTTTCTCACATGCTTAATTTCTACAAGTCTTTCTTTGGGTCATTCAACCAGCGTTGTGGATAATGTTACCAAGAGTGCTTGGTGGCTTGGATTCTATGTCTCCACTAAACTATAGGTTTCAAAGACAAGGGGCTTGTTTTACGTATCTTTTTTTTTTCTATTATGCCTGGTACAATGCTTTCAACATAGGAGGTGCTCAATCCATGATTAAGGAAGAAAACGGAATTGCTGGTTAGCTGTTTCAAAATGTCTGGTAATGGTTTCAGCTTTGAGCACTAACTCAGATAAAGCACTAACGTCTCTTATCCTCAATTTCCTTTTCTTTAGAACAAGAACGCTTACATTACCCTTACTCCCCCAAAACTTCACATAACAAATATTGATCATTTTGGGCTTGATGAAACAATTCATAGGTGACAGCTCTTAAGATCATAGATGGACAGCTTTCCAGAAGGTATACTACTCTTTCTCTTCTCTTATCTATAATCTTTACTGTTCTCAGTTTCCATCTGCCACTCTTATGTCCAGTTCTGAAAAGCTAGTCAAGGATGAGTGAGGCTGGCCAAAAATTTTTCTTTTCTAGCTATGTTTCTTGGCGGTTACATTTTTCCTCTTAATTTATTGCTTTTCACTATTGTTAGAATAGATATGTGATCTGAAACATCAATTTCCTCATGACTTAGGTGCATCTTGCTTTCTTTTTTGCCATCTAAAAGATCTTAATATTATTTATTTAAAGTTGAGAGAGCACTTTGTGTCTCTTGGATGCAAATAACTGTGAGTGTGTATATTATTATTGTCTCTATTGCCCAAAAGGAAAAACTTCATTTCTTATAGATACAGTATTTTTATTTTTAAATGTTTAGAGAGAAAAAAAACATTAGCCATGATATATCCCTAAATAACACATGAGTAAGGGTTCACTGTGTCTGAAAAATTCTACTCAGCTCCAGATTTGAGAAAAGACCATTTGTCTGGCCTCTCTGATTCATCCCTGAGAATGAAAAGGACCAAAAGTCAGTTCCCTTTGGTACAAACTCTCTTTCATATTTTATTTTCTAATGCACAGCTAATTTCTAAATTAAGACCATGCTTACAAGAAAGGTTAGGAAGTTATCCACTTCAATCCATTAGTAAGTCTGTTTTTGATTGAACTTTTAAATAACTTTTGATAATTAGTACATCTTGTCTTTTGGATTTCAAATAAGATAAAATAATCAGTTTTCTTTTTTATTTAAAATTATGCCAGATTTAGCCCAGTCAAAAGATTCCAGAATTTCTCCCAGCAAGACAAACACTTTGGAGAATTTTCTAATTCCCCACATGCGTGCTGTCCATATACTCCCATTACCAAACTTTAAGTGATCAAAGTGTTGAACTATATCTGTGATTAGGTCAGCGGTCAGCAAACTTTTCCTCTAATAAAGCAGAGGGTAAATATTTCCAGCTTTGCAGCCATTTGGTCTCTGTCCCAACACCTCAACTCTGCCATAATCATGCAAAAGCAGCCATTGATAATACATAAGTGATCGAGTGTGGCTGTGTTCCAATAAAACTTTATTTATAAACACTGAAATTTGAATTTCATATAATTTTTACATGACATGGTATACTATTCTTCTTTTGCCTTTTAAGGTATAAATGCCATAGTTCGTGGGTCATATAAAAATAGGCAGTGGGCCAGATTTAGCTGGGGTGACAGTTTGCTGACCCCTGCTTTAGGTGAACTGGGGATGGGCTTCTTGAAAAGTTTTCACTAAATAGCATATAACATTTATTTCAGAAAAACTTATTTGTGCTTTTTCTCTGCTCTCACACCACAAAAACCAATCAACACAGAAGACTTCTGTGACCAAATGTGTGGGTTTTTTTCCCCACCACCAAGCAGTGGCCACCAGCTGGGTGTCCTCCAAGTCAACTCTGACACTACCTGGAGATAGCTTCAGATTCCACAAATTGAAGGTTCAGTCACTAAAACTGGCCCCCACCTTTCAGACACCAGTCGAACTTCTGACCCACTGGCTTCAACTTGGGGCTCCCATGACCCCTTCTTAGATTAATTTGTTGGAGGGGCTCACAGAACTCAGGGAAACACATTTACCAATATACTATAAAGGATATTACAAAGGATACAGATGAAGAGGTGCACAGGACAGGCATGAGGGAAGTGGGTGGAGCTTCCATGCCCTCCCTGTGAGCACCACCCTCCAGGAACCTCAATGTGTTTGGCTATCCAGAAGCTCTCCAAACCCAGTCCTCGTGGATTTTTATGGAAGCTTCATGATATCAGCATTCCTTCCCCAGGGTATGGGGCTGGACCCTCTCTAGAATGAGGGGCTTATAACTGGCAATCATAAAGGCAGGGAAGATTAGAGTCCTGCCTTGGGGAAAGTGAAAGGAGAGCAGGAGAAGTTCAGATAGATTCTGTCTTCTGAGGCTTAACACACCCATCATTATAACAAAAGCCTGTAACAGGGTTTATGGGAGTTATGAGCCAGAAACCATGGACAAAAACAGATAGATAGATAGATAGATAGATAGATAGATAGATAGATAGATAGAAGATATATATGTAATATATAATACATGTAATAACACCACAATATTGAATTCCAAACTTTACCATATCTTCCATAATTAAAGCCCAAATTTCTTCCATTTATGCTGTGTACTCATTAAAAAGAAAGATGTGGCTGGGTATGTACTGACATTGAATGTTCCCAAGTTACATGTGTGCAGTAGACCTTTGTTTGTGTTTATAAAGGAAAACTTTATATACATATATGCCTCTATATCAGAAATGTATAACAGTGGTTGCATCCAAAGGGTCAATTAGAGGACAAGAGTGGGCAGGTGACTTACTTTTCACCATACACTATTTTGTACCTTTAGACTACTGCAACACTTAAATGAAGCTATTTTTTATATAACATATTCATTTTTTAATGTTTAAATGCTGAAAGAAATGACTAGAGAGGTCCTGAAATCAGTGCTTAATATTCTCCAAATTAAAAGAATTGCCAATTCTAAGCATATTTTATCAGATGACCTCTAGCTGATGAAAGGAGCTTGAACCAACAGCAGAATAAAAACCTGGACTAAAAAGGTAAGCATCTTCATAAGTACAGGGGTATATGGACAAGAAACCACTTTAAATGCAGAGGAAATTTTGACCTTTTTACAACTTTTGCCTTAAATTTTTAAAATCGCCTCACAACCTAAAGATTTTTCAAAAGGGAAAATAAACAGGTGAACACACAAAAGCAGGCCCAGCGACACTTCCTAAATTTTGTCATTAATTAGTGTTTCTATACACGAGAACCACCAGATCAGCAGAGCATAGCATTACCTGCATGCACTTAGAATTGGGGTCATCCTAAACATCTGTGGGCCCCAGCAAGGGTGCAAACAGAGGCCTCAGCCTATGGCTCACACACTTCTCTTCCTACCCCCACTCCCTGCAGCACCAGGAGAGCTGGCATGCCTGCATGTGGACATCGCAGCCTGAGTGTTTGTCAGGCCTCTGAGCCCAAGCTAAGCCATCATATCCCCTGTGACCTGCACGTACACATCCAGATGGCTGGTTCCTGCCTTAAATGATGACATTCCACCACAGAAGAAGTGAAAATGGCCTGTTCCTGCCTTAACTGATGACATTGTCTTGTGAAATTCCTTCTCCTGGCTCATCCTGGCTCAAAAGCTCCCCCATTGAGTACCTTGTGACCCCCCACTCCTGCCTGCCAGAGAACAACCCCCCTTTTTCCTTTACCTACCCAAATCCTATAAAACGGCCCCACCCTTATCTCCCTTTGCTGACTCTCTTTTCGAACTCAGCCCACCTGCACCCAGGTGAAATAAACAGCTTTATTGCTCACACAAAGCCTGTTTGGTGGTCTCTTCACACAGACACGAATGAAATTGGGTGCCGTGACTTGGATCGCGGGACCTCCCTTGGGAGATCAATCCCCTGTCCTCCTGTTCTTTGCTCCATGAGAAAGATCCACCTACGACCTCAGGTCCTCAGACCGACTAGCCCAAGAAACATCTCACCAATTTCAAATCTGGTAAGCGGCCTCTTTTTACCCTCTTCTCCAACCTCCCTCATTATCCCTCAACCTCTTTCTCCTTTCAATCTTGGTGCCACACTTCAATCTCTCCCTTCTTTTAATTTCAATTCCTTTCATTTTCTGGTAGAGACAAAGGAGACACGTTTTATCCGTGGACCCAAAACTCCAGTGCCGGTCACAGACTGGGAAGGCAGCCTTCCCTTGGTGTTTAATCATTGCAGGTACGCCTCTCTGATTATTCACCCACGTTTCAGAGGTGTGAGACCACGCAGGGATGCCTGCCTTGGTCCTTCACCCTTAGTGGCAAGTCCTGCTTTTCTGGGGGAGGGACAAGGACCCCAACCCCTTCTCTCTGTGTCTCTACCCCTTCTTCGCCTTTCTGGGGGGCAAGAAACCCCCAACCCCTTCTCCTTCACCCTTAGCGGCAAGTCCCGCTTTTCTAGGGGAGGGGCAAGTACCCCAACCTCATATCTCTGCACCCCGATCCCTTATTTCCATGCCCCAACCTCATATCTCTGCACGTCGACCCCTTCTCTGCTTTTCTGGAGGGCAAGAACCCCCTACCCCTTCTCCATGTCTCTACTCTTTTCTTTGGGCTTGCCTCCTTCACTCTGGGCAAGATTCCACCTTCCATTCCTCCTTCTTCTCCCTTAGCCTGTGTTCTTAAGAACTTAAAACCTCTTCAACTCTCACCTGACCTAAAATCTAAGTGTCTTATTTTCTTCTGCAATGCCACTTGACCCCAATACAAACTCGACAGTAGTTCCAAATAGCCAGAAAACGGCACTTTCAGTTTTTCCATCCTGCAAGATCTAAATAATTCTTGTCGTAAACTGGGCAAGTGGTCTGAGGTGCCTGATGTCCAGGCATTCTTTTATACATCGGTCCCTCTCTAGTCTCTGTTCCCAGTGCAACTCATCCCAAATCTTCCTTCTTTCCCTCCCACCTGTCCCCTCAGTCCCAACCCCAAGCGTCACTGAGTCTTTCTAATCTTCCTTTTCTACAGACCTATCTGACCTCTCCCCTCCTCACCAGGCCGAGTTAGCTCCTAATTCTTCCTCAGCCTCTGCTCCCACACCCTATAATCATTTTATCACCTCCCCTCCTCACACCTGGTCTGGCTTACAGCTTCCTTCCATGACTAGCCCTCCCCCACCTGCCCAGCAATTTACTCTTAAAAAGGTGGCTGGAGCTAAAGACATAGTCAAGGTTAATGCTCCTTTTTCTTTATCCCAAATCAGATAGCATTTAGGCTCTTTTTCATCAAATATAAAAATCCAGCCCAGTTCATGACTTGTTTGGCAGCAACCCTGAGACACTTTACAGCCCTAGACCCTAAAAGGTCAAAAGGCCGTCTTATTCTCAAAATATATTTTATTACCCAATCTGCTCCTGACATTAAATAAAACTCCAAAAATTAAATTCTGGCCCTCAAACCCCACAACAGGATTTAATTAACCTTGCCTTCAAGGTGTACAATAATAGAAAAAAGTTGCAATGCCTTGCCTCCACAGTGAGACAAACCCCAGCCACATCTCCAGCACGCAAGAACTTCCAAACGCTGAACCGCAGTGGCCAGGCGTTCCTCCAGAACCTCCTCCCCCAGGAGCTTGCTACAAGTGCCAGAAATCTGACCACCAGGCCAAGGAATGCCCACAGCCCAGGATTCCTCCTAAGCCGTGTCCCAACTGTGCGGGACCCCACTGGAAATCAGACTGTTCAACTCACCTGGCAGCCACTCCCAGAGCCCCTGGAACTCTGGCCCAAGGCTCTCTGACTGACTCCTTCTCAGCTTAGTGGCTGAAGACTGATGCTGCCCGATCACCTCGGAAGCCCTCTAGACCATCACGGACACCAAGCTTCACATAACTCTCACAGTGGAAGGTAAGTCCGTCCCCTTCTTAATCAATACGGAGGCTACCCAGTCCACATTACCTTCTTTTCAAGGGCCTGTTTCCCTTGCCTCCATAACTGTTGTGGGTATTGACAGCCAGGCTTCTAAACCTCTTAAAACTCCCCAACTCTGGTGCCAACTTAGACAACACTCTTTTAAGCACTCCTTTTAGTTATCCCCACCTGCCCAGTTCCCTTGTTAGGCCGAGACACTTTAACTAAATTATCTGCTTCACTGACTATTCCTGGATTACAGCTACATCTCATTGCTGCCCTTCTTCCCAATCCAAAGCCTCCTTTGCATCCTCCTCTTGTATTCCCCCACTTTAACCCACAAGTATAAGATACCTCTACTCCCTTCTTGGTGACCGATCATGCACCCCTTACCATCTCATTAAAACCTAATCACCCTTACCCCGCTCAACGCCAATATCCCATCCCACAGCACGCTTTAAAAGGATTAGAGCCTGTTATCACTCGCCTGCTACAGCATGGGCTTCTAAAACCTATAAACTCTCCTTACAATTCCCCCATTTTACCTGTCCAAAAACCTGACAAGTCTTACAGATTAGTTCAGGATCTGCACCTTATCAACCAAATTGTTTTGCCTATCCCCCCTGTTGTGCCAAAACCGTACACTCCTTTGTCCTCAATACCTTCCTCCACAACTCACTATTCCATTCTTGATCTTAAAGATGCTTTTTTCACTATTCCCCTGCACTCCTCGTCCCAGCCTCTCTTTGCTTTCACCTGGACTGACCCTGACACCCATCAGTCCCAGCAGCTTACCTTGGCTGTGCTGCCGCAAGGTTTCAGGGACAGTCCTCATTACTTCAGCCAAGCTCTTTCTCATGATTTACTTTCTTTCCACCCCTCTGCTTCTCACCTTATTCAATATATTGATGACCTTCTTCTTTGTAGCCCCTCCTTTGAATCTTCTCAACAAGACACACTTCTGCTCCTTCTGCATTTATTCTCCAAAGGATATTGGGTATCCCCCTCCAAAGCTCAAATTTCTTCTCCATCCGTTACCTACCTCGGCATAATTCTCATAAAAACACACGTGCTCTCCCTGCTGATCATGTCCAATTAATCTCCTAAACCTCAATCCCTTATAAAACAACAACTCCTTTCCTTCCTAGGCATAGTTAGTATGGTCAGAATTCTTACACAAGAGCCAGGACCGCACCTGTAGCCTTTCTGTCCAAATAACTTGACCTTACTGTTTTAGTCTAGCCCTCATGTCTGTGTGCAGTGGCTGCTCCTGCCCTAATACTTTTAGAGGCCCTAAAAATCACAAACTATGCTCAACTCACTCTCTACATTTCTCATAACTTCCAAAATCAATTTTCTTCCTCATACCTGACACATATACTTTCTGCTCCCCGGCTCCTTCAGCTGTACTCACTCTTTGTTAAGTCCCACAATTACCATTGTTCCTGGCCCAGACTTCAATCCGGCCTCCCACATTATTCCTGATACCACACCTGACCCTCATGACTGTATCTCTCTGATCTACCTGACATTCACCCCATTTCCCCATATTTCCTTCTTTCCTGTTCTTCACCCTGATCATGCTTGATTTATTGATGGCGGTTCCACCAGGCCTAATCGCCACACACCAGCAAAGGCAGGCTATGCTATAGTGCAAGCCACTAGCCCGCCTCTTAGAACCTCTCATTTCCTTTCCATCGTAGAAATCTATCCTCAAGGAAATAACTTATCAGTGTTCCATCTGCTATTCTACTACACCTTAGGGATTATTCAGGCCCCCTCCCTTCCCTACACATCAAGCTCAGGGATTTGCCCCCGCCCAGGACTGGCAAATTAGCTTTACTCCTCAACATGTCCTGAATCAGGAAACTAAAATACCTCTTAGTCTAGGTAGACACTTTCACTGAATAGGTAGAGGCTTTCCTACAGGGTCTGAGATAGCCACCGTAGTCATTTCTTCCCTTCTGTTGGAAATAATTCCTCAGTTTGGCCTTCCCACCTCTATAGTCTGATAACAGACCAGCCTTTATTAGTCAAATCAGCCAAGCAGTTTTTCGGGCTCTTAGTATTCAGTGAAACCTTTATATCCCTTACGGTCCTCTGTCTTCAAGAAAAGTAGAACGGACTAAAGGTCTTTTAAAAACACACCTCACCAAGCTCAGCCACCAACTTAAAAAGGACTGGACAATACTTTTACCACTTCCCCTTCTCAGAATTCAGGCCTGTCCTCAAAATGCTACAAAGTACAGCCCATTTAAGCTCCCGTATAGACGCTCCTTTTTATTAGGCCCCAGTCTCATTCCAGACACCAGACCAACTTGGATTGTGCCCCAAAAAACTTGTCATCCCTACTGTCTTCTGTCTAGTCATACTCCTATTCACCGTTCTCAACTACTCATACATGCCCTGCTCTTGTTTACACTGCCAGTTTACACTGTTTCTCCAAGCCATCACAGCTGATATCTCCTGGTGCTATCCCCAAACCACCACTCTTAACTCTTAAAGTAAATAAATAATCCTTACTGGCAAGGCTATGCTGAACCTCCTTAGGTACTCTCTAATTAGATGTCCTAGGTCCTTCCAATTCTTAGTCCTTTAATACCTGTTTTTCTCCTTCTCTTATTCCGTTTAGTTTTTCAATTCATACAAAACTGTATCCAGGCCATCACCAATCATTCTAAATGACAAATGTTTCTTCTAACAACCCCACAATATCACCCCTTACCACAGAATCTTCCTTCAGCTTAATCTCTCCCACTCTAGGTTCCCATGCCGCCCCTAATCCCGCTCAAAGCAGCCCTGAGAAACATCGCCCATTATCTCTCCATACCATCCCCCAAAATTTTCGCCATCCCAACACTTTACCACTATTTCGTTTTATTTTTCTTATTAATATAAGAAGACAGTGTTCAAACTCTCTCCGCCCTATTACCATCCTGTACAAAGAGCTGCCCCAGGCCACCTCATAAGGCTGGGATATGCACACTAGGTGAAGTTCAGGACAACAAATTCTGGATGCTCAAAGCCCAAGAATCTGGAGCTTGGTCTATAAGGAGAGAAACTGGACTCCAGCTGGGCGATTATCTTTGGTGGGACAGTTTTCTCTAAATAAGAGGACCCTATGGATTGTACTGCTTCTTATAACAAAACTGCTGCAAGCAAGACAGGAGGCCAAAAAGACTACATAAAACTCTAGCACCTGTGCAGTGGCTCATGCCTATAATCCCAGCACTTTGGGAGGTCGAGTGCAACATTTAAGTGTTGCAGTAGTCTAAAGGGACAGTCTAAAGGTGGAGCCAACATGGCAAAACCCCATCTCTACTAAAAATACAAAAATTAGCCTGGCATGCTGCCTGTAATCCCAGCTACTCGGGAGACTGAGGCAGGAGAATCACTTGAACCTGAGAGGAAGAGGTTGCAGTGAGCCAAGATCGCGCCACTGCACTCCAGCCTACGCAACAGCATAACACTCCATCTAAAAAAAAAGGAAGAAGAAGAAGAAGGAAAAAAGAGCTACGTTTATTCAAGAGGCCCCATGAAAAAAGAACTCTGTAGACAATCAACTTGGATGCTATATTATAGATCAGCACTGGACAACAAAAATACAATATGCACCACAAATGCAAGCCATGCTATAATTTTAAATTTGCTAGTGGCCACATGAAAAAGAAGTAAAGAAAAATAAGTAAAATTAACTTTAATAATACATTTTATTTCACCCAGTATATCTAAAATATTCATTCAACATGTAATCAAATAAAAAATGTATTGAGCTCTTTAAAAAAAAACAACCTCTAACACCTGTGCTTTTGCAAAAAAAAAAAAAAGAAAGAAAAAAGGAAGGAAGGAAGAGAGGGAGAGAGGGAGGGAGGGAGGGAGGTAGGGAGATGTTTCTCTAACTTTCCTAACAATTTCCTAACAAAGTCCCTTAATAACAAAAAAGGGTTGAAAAGATAGTAATAGAGGCTTGGGCATGAGTCCAAAGCTAAAAATTCAAAATGTCTTTAAGTCTTATATTATCTTGAAACTTCATGTGATTTTCCCCCATTCTTTTAATAATGTCCTTTCATATTTTAAAACATTTGAAATTAACACTTATGTTAATTAAACTTTTTGCCACTAAAAAAAGTGGTGATCCAGGAAGTCACATCCTGTTTACCCTTTCTTTTCAAGTGCTGCCAGCACCCTACTGAGTAGCCCAGCTTACAAATCACAATGTGACCAGCTTTATAGTCCAAAGTGAAAGTCAAGAGAACCTCAAATCTGCCTCTGATTTCCAGGGTCAGTCTCACCTATAAAAGTGAGACACAGGTAATAATGAAGCACAGGCTATAGGTTCTTTGATGGGAGAAAAAAATTAGCTTGTGTCTGCCATAATTTTATTGAAGCCCCTTGTGCTTATCTCCTTGATGGGAAAGTCATCTTCACACAATAAAATAAGACAATGAATTTTAAAGTGCCTGGAAGAGTCCTGGCTTATAGTAGGCCCTCAATAAATAGATGGAATTCTGATTTGAATCTGAAGTCTAGATAAAAACCTTTACCAATTAGTATGTTTCTGGTGGTTTAGAATGGGATTGGATAAATTATAATTCATGGGCCAAATCCAAACCAAAGCCTGGGGAGAAAAAAGAGAGAGAGCAAGTGAGGGAGAATGCAACAGAAACTGTATGTGGCCCACAAAACCTAGAATATTTGCTGTCTGAGCCTTTACAAAGTTTGCCAACCCTTGGTTTTGGAGCAACCATGAGGGCAAATAATGCCTTACAGATCCAGTCCCAGAAAGAAATCAGGTAGCAAACTGAGACAGTATCAGTGAGCTATTTTCACAGCAGTGCTGCATAATAAACCATCCCAATTCTCCACATCTTAAAATAACAATGTTCATACATCTGTGGGTCAGCTGGGCTCAGCTGAAGCGGCTCTGCTGATCTTGGCTGACTTGCTCCTGCATCTGTGGGTTGGAAGAGGGAGTTAACATAGGCTGTACTAGGCTGGGGAATTTGGCTCTACACTGCAAGTTTGTGGGTCTGGATCCTCTTTACTGTCTCATCCTCTTTGGACCAGTGGGCTAGACAAGACATGCTCTTCTTGTGGCAGTGACAGAGGCCAAAAAAGAGTGGAAATACGTGACAGCTGTTAGGGACCTAGACTTGGAACTAACAGATTGTCACGTACTTCCCCTGGATGCCATTGGTCAAAGCAAGCCACATATGGGAGCCCAAAGTGGAGCAGTGGGGAAGTATTCTCCTCCAGTAGAGGAGCTGCCTGGTCGTATGGCAAAGATGTGAATAAGGGAGGGTGGAGAACCTGGGTCAATAATGTAAATTTAAACTCAATTCAATACTTACTGAGCACCACACAAGCCAAGCATTCTTCTAGGTCCTGGGGATTTGTCAGCAAGCAAGACTGTTTATCGTCCTTACCATTAGGAGCTTAATTCTAATGGGATGTGGAGGGGATTTAATATTCCATGCTACCCCTTCTTGTTCATTTGGCTCTGGTTCACTGGGGGGGTCGTTGTTGGCATATCTGTTGCTGGCCAGCAGGAATCATCTGGCCTTGACCAGCTTTCTGTCCCCCAGTATTCAGCACTGGGCTTTGGGCAAGGTAAGTGCTCAATAATAAATGAATGAGTGAGTGAATGAAGCATTTTTTTAAATCTGTCTTTCTTAGGAATCACTGAATCCCTGTCAACTCATCTACTGGTGGAAAGGAGGAAAACAACAGAAATTCAGATCTCCAGATTAGCAGACAATGCAAGGCTGGGACACAGAGCAAATGACAAGTGACAGTGAAACTGGATTTAAGAGAATTTGAATCATTTGGGCGAGAAAGCCCGCAGATGGCGCATGCTGTTCGGTGTGGAAAAATGGGTCATTGCTCCCAGAGCAATTACCATAGCCTAAAAGACCTGTGAGAAGAGCAGAGCATTTGTGCTGCAGGCTGATCAGGGAAGAATTAGGGGAGATATGTAGGGACTCCAATGCTGTTACGACAGCACCCACGTGGCTCATGCCCACACAGGATGATAAACCAAGCTCAAGAGAGAGTGCCATACCCAGTGAGGTCTGTGGCCATGGCCTTCCCTGGATAAAATGAGGGCAGCCCCACAGCACAGCAGAGAACATTTGTCAAGGCTGGCCCGTGAGCACAGTGCTGCTGCCATCATGGTGCCGGAAAGCTAGAGTCTGTGGAAAACCCAGTGTGCTGAGGTGGCCCTGGGGTGGCCACAATTGCTCTGTACAGGAAGCTGGACGTCTTCATTCTGGCCCCCGCTCTGCTCCCTGAAAAAGGCTTCCTGACCTTAGTTTCTCTATCTGTGAAATAGGTACTGAGATACTTGCTCTGTTTAGGTTACAGGATTTTAGTGAGGATTGAGAGAACCAGCAAGTGCAAAAGCAAACCAGAAACTGTCAGCCTTCAACCAAAATAAGGATTACTCAGGGAAGATGAGTAGGATTTGGTCTCATCTCAAGCAAGACAATGATGCTCTGGGTTTGGGGAAGGGATGGAATGTGTGAGGATAAAGAAATCTTCAGGATCATGAAAGAGATTGTTTTCAAAGTTAAAAGTAAGACATCCTTCATATTAGGAAAAAAATAACTGTAAGAAATTGTTGTTTGAAGCTTGAAGAGTGAAAGTTTCAGAGGCCCAACTCCTCTCAGGAGGATAAGTATGGAAAATAAGTTACTCTTGAGGGTAATTAATTGAAACAGAGGGCGAATGAGTCCAAAATGCACTTACATCCCTTTCAAATTGAAGGGAACAGAGAGCTTAAGAAAAGAGGGGAGGGGCAAGGAGGTAAAGATCAATGTTGAAAAGGCAAACATGCTCTTTTCTTTAAATGAGTGTGACCTCAGACATGGGGTTAGCACAGACAGGTATGTCCCAGCCCCATAATTCCCTTTCTAACCTACTAGCTGTGTTTGCGCAGGCGCCTGCCATTGGGAAGCGCTCTGCGAGCTTTCCTGGGATTGTGCCTCATGAGCCATCACCTGTCACTATGTGTATTTCAAGCCTACTTCTTCCTCTCCCTGACCTGTGAGATGCTAAGAGGAGGAGGGATGGGGTGTCATGCAATATGGAAACCACTTTAAACATCCACTGGGCTGATGGCAATAACAAAATTTATGTAATCCATGAAAGCACAGAATTGGGTAATAAAACTGGATAAATCATTTCTCTTTGTAAAGCAAATTCTCACCAACTGCCACCCAGATCATAACATATGAGGAGCACTGCTCTTCACCTGGGTGCACCTGCCCCCACCAAAAATGAAGTGCCTTGATGCCTCTGAGGATTATGCAGATGTGGGCATTATTTATACATCTGTGTGATGCATCAAGTATCAGAAGGTGTCTCCGGGCATGAGTCACAAGGCCTCTAAAAGCAATGACTCTTTTATAGGGTTTTAGATTACGGTGATTTTCCGTAAATCCTGCCAGAGTCACACAACAGGCCAAGAGCAATTAACATTAATTAAATGATCCCCACAAAGAGGTTGCCTCGCTGACACACTGATAACCTCTAAATGCACTTAGCCTGCTACATTCTTGAAGGTGTTCCTTCAGCTGCTCCGGGGGCACTGGGCAGGCTCCCGCTGCCCTGGGCGGCTGCACACACACGTGGAACACCACTGTTCCTGCTGCGATGTGTGCATAAGAACTACCTGGAGATCATGCTAAAATGAGATTCTGATTCAGGAGGTCACAGATGGCACCTGGGATTCTGCATTTCTAACAAGCTCCTTGATGATGTTGACGCTGCTCATCCCCAGACCACACTTTGAGAAACAACACTGTACAAAGCCCCGGACACAGACCCGGGGAGTGGGGGGAGGGGGTGGCCTGGGTTGGGTACAGGAGAGCAACTCTAAACATCCAGTGCATTGCTAATGTGCTGGCCTCTCCAGCCTGCTTTTCCTATCCCCGGGAACCACCAGTGAAGAGAACTAAGCAAGCAGGACATTGTGCAGATGCTAGGGTTAACATCAAAGCTGACCAAAACCAGCTTCTGAGAAAAAAAAAAAAAAAGGAGTCCAGGAATAGCTCCACCCTCATCCCCTCTGCATTTTGCACCTGTCTTTTAGAGAAATCACCTGGGATTTTCTAAAGAAAGCCACACCCCACCATTATGAAGCACTTGGAGTTGGAGCTTTTTCCAAGATGGAAGGGTGGGGACCAGAAGACAACCTCTTTAGTGGCGCCAAGAACTCCTGTCCCTAGGCAGAGAGACACTTCTCTGTCTTTACACCACAGGGCACGATGATGAAACTGGATTTAAAGGCTGGCACACCGCCAGTAATGAGGGCCAGGGTAGGGAGCTGGGGACTATAAAGGCCAAGAAATCAGGGTGTAGAGAGAGGAGGCAGGAAGAATGTGAGTAGTGGGTGCGTCAGGAATGGGCAAAGGTCAAACATTTGAAAAATAGCCCGAGAAGCTTTGGCAGGGACTTCCTGACTGTGGAGTGGTGACAGCCGTGAGGAGGTGACCCAAGTGTGGCAGCCAGCAGAAGGAAAGAGCACTCGGTCAGGGCCAGGATGGGAAATTTAGAGAAAATAGTACAGAGAGAAGTTAGGAAGCTACCAGGGCCCATCTCGGGGAGCAGATGTGAGTTTGTGGCAGCCCTATAAAATTGTAGGCCAATCAGTTGTAAAATTATATCACAATTTTATAAAGATGCGGCTGCAGAAAGCATCAGTAACAACTGGGAGTGGAAGGTTTCCATTTTAATTCAGTAATGACATGGATGAAGTTAGAAATGTCTCATGAGTCCACAGAAAGGGGTTTGGATACTTCTCTTAAAGTAACCTTGTAGCATTTCCTGATCAAAAATAAATTCAAGCATGAAAATATTGGGGAAGGAAAAGGGGAAAGTTCACTTTGGTTGATGAGATCTTAGAAAAAGAAGTCACAGGAGAAGCGGAGGAGAAGGCCCAGGCATTTTACACAGAGAATTCTTGGGATTCCTCAGAGACTGGAGTCATCTGACCAAGAAATGTGCCCTTGGGTCTGTAGCCTTTTTCTTCTCTCTGACACCCTTCCTCCGTGGATTTTCAGTGCAACACGAGCCAAGCTGGCTATTAATAGAGCAAGAACAATTTTACCACGGGATGTGGTGTTTAATTTAAAGAGACGTCAAAGAGTGAGGGGCAGATGGCTGGGCAGGCAGTGCTTCCCAATGACCTTGGTGAGCCCCTGACTCATCCCAGATCTTACAGATCCAGAAATGTGCTCTGACGAATGAGCCCTGAGTTGATCAAGCTTTAGTGAAAAAAATGAGAAATGGATAAGCCAGGGGTCTGCGTATTAATTTCTAGTAGATCTATGGGTAGCTTGAGAAATGAGAACAGTTATCAGTTCGGGTGATCATTTCTGGAAAGGTGTTCAACTCAAGGGACTCAATTATATATCTCAAGATCACCAGCATGTGGAAAATCCCAAACCTTAAAGCTCAAACAGAAAAATAAGCAAGTAATTCTCAAAACACTCCTTCCTCACACCATAGTGAAAGAATGACCAATTCTTGTTTATCCCACTCTACCTTCCCATAAATTTAGTGCACCCCCCTCTCCTGCAAGCACAGCTTCACTCTTACTGGTTATTTGATTGGTTTCCTAGGGCTGCCTTAACAAGGTACTACAATTCAGCGGCTTAAAACCAGAAGTGTAGGGCCGGGCGCGGTGGCTCACGCCTGTAATCCCGGCACTTTGGGAGGCCGAGGCGGGCGGATCACGAGGTCAGGAGATGGAGACCATCCTGGCTAACACGGCAAAACCCCATCTCTACCAAAAATACAAAAAATTAGCCGGGCATGGTGGCGGGCGCCTGTAGTCCCAGCTACTCGGCAGGCTGAGGCAGGAGAATGGCGTGAACCCGGGAGGCGGAGCTGGCAGTGAGCCGAAATCGCGCCACTGCACTCCAGCCTGGGCAACAGAGTGAGACTCCGTCTCAGAAAAAAAAAAAAACACCAGAAGTGTATTCTTTTCTCACAGTCTGGAGGCCAGAAGTCCTAGGTCAAGGTGCCAGCAGGGCTGTGCTCCCTTTGAAACCCATAGGGTTTCACCCTTGCCTCTTCCTAGCTTCTACTGGCTTGCTGTCAACCTTTGGCTTTCCTTGGCTTATAGCTACCAACTCCAATCTCTGCCTTCATTGTCACATGGCATTCTCCCTGTGCGTCTCAGTGTCTCTTCTCCTCTTATAAGGACACTAGAAGTCTATCCTACTCCAGTATTTCATCTTTTATCTACATCCATTATCCTCATCTTAACTAATTACATCTGCAACAACCTTATTTCCAAACAAGGTCACATTCTGAGGCATAGGGGATTAAGACTTCAATTTTTGGGGGGGACATAATTCAACCCATAACATAACCATAACCATAATCATAACCGTTATGCCACAGTGTGGTTCAATTTCCAGGCCGGTGTTGAGATAACCATGGCTAAGTCCAGACCCTGCCTTTAAGGATTCCACACTCTATTGAAAGATATATATATATACACACACATATAATATATATATAGTAGCATATATATACACACATACATATATACATATAATTATATTACACATAACATAATATATGTAATGTAATTACATATGTAATGTAATCATATATATGAAAATTTAGTTGGCAATTTTCCCCTGGCTTCAGGAAAAATCCCCAGACCAATGAAACCACAAAAGCCCTGGGCTGGATCCCAGCAGAATCAGTGTATATTTTAAGTTTCCCTGGTGTAATGATTAATTGTATATCAACTTGACTGGGCCACAGGGTACTCAGATACTTGGTCACACATTATTATGAGTGTGTCTGTGTGAGTGTTTTGGGGTGAGATTAACACTCAAATCGATACACTGAGTGAAGCAGATTGCTCTCTCCAATGTGAGTGGATTTCTTCCAGTTAGTGAAAAGCCTGAATAGAACAAAAAGCCTGATCCTCCCCTGAATAAAGGGAATTCCTCCTGGCTGACTATCGTCAAGCTGAGATGCTGGGTTTTGTTGTTGTTGTTGTTTTCTTTTCCTGCCTTTGGACTTGAACTGAAACATTGGCTCTGTTTAGGTCTTGATCCTTCTGGCCTTTGGAATGGAACTACAACATCAGCTCTCTTGTGTCTCCAGCTTGCCTACCGCAAATTTTGGGACTTTTCAGCCTCCATAATTGCATGAGTCAATTCCTTATTATAAATATCTATCCTGTGTATTCTTTCATACATACATTCTGTTGATTCTGTTTCTCTGGAGAACTCTAACTAATACACCAGGTGATTCTAATATGCAACCAATGTTAAGAACCACTGACCCATAAATCACAGATAAGAGAATGATTAATTCTGTCTGCGGAGGTGACTTCATGAAAGCCATCACATTTGAGGTGAGCGAGAAACAAAAATGAGTATCATCTGCCTTGCCGCACAGAAAGAGGCAGAGGAAAGAGTATTAGCAAAGAGAAACAAAGAAGAGAGGGTGGGGCCAGAGGAAGGAATAATTGGAGATGAAATGGATGGGTTGGGCCTGATTCTGCCTTGCTGCAAATGTCGTGGTTAAATAATACAGGGAGCTACTGAAAACTTACCCAAGTGAGCAATGTGCCATTACTGTACTTTAGAAAAAAAAATCTGAAAGCTGTGTAGATGAGGGGAGAAAAGATTGAAAGTGAGAGGGAAATTTAGGACATCAGTGTAAAAGTCTGTTATGGAATGAATGTTTGTATCTTCCCCAAACTCATATGTTGAAGCCCCAACCCCCAATGTGATGGGACTAGGAGGCAGGACTTTGGAAAATAACTAGGTTTAGCAGGGGTCAAGAGGGTAAATGGGGCCCTCATGATGGGATTAATGCCCCTATAAGAAGAGGAAGAGGTACCAGAACATCCTGTCTCCTCCATGTGAGGACACAGCAAGAAAGCAACAGTCTGCAAGCCAGGAAGAAGGCCCTCACCAAGAACCAAGTCTTTCTGCATCTTTATCTTGGACCTCCCAGTCTCCAGAACTGTAGAAATAAATGTCTATTATTTAAACCTCCCATTCTATGGTATTTTGTTATAGTGACCTGAGCTAAGCAAAGCCCAAGCAAGAGATGGTGTGGTCCTGGACTAGCTAAAAGGTTTTTCTGTATGTTTTAGAACTAGATTCAGCAGGATTTTGGTGACTAGGCTTGGGAAATGAGGAGGAGAGGTCAAATATATCCTCAAAGTTGTTAACATGGGTGGCTGGGAAGATGGTTGTGTTAAGATTGGGAATACAGGAGGAGAAGCAGATTTTGTGGAGAACATAATGAGTTCAGTTTTGGACACTTAACTTTGAGGTGCCGCCAAGTATTTGCTTAGACGTGTTCAGTCAGCTGATAAAAATAGATGAGTAAAAGCTCCCCAAGGCCTCCCGAGAAGCTGAGCAGATGCTGGCACATTCTTCCTGTACAGCCTGCAAAACTATGAGCAATTAAACCTCTTTTCTTATTAAATTACCCAGTCTCAGGTATTTCTTTATAGCAACACAAGAACGGCCTAACACAAGTGTACTTACACAAAGCTAGATGGTATAGCCCACTACACTGGGCTATATGAAATAGCCCATTGCTCCTAGGCTTCAAACCTATACAGCATGATACTGTACTGAATACTGTAGGCAGTGGCAACACCATGCTAAGTATTGGGTGTCTACATATACCTAAACATGGAAAAGCTACAGTAAGGGTACACTATAAAAAATTTAAAATGGTGCACCTGTATAGGGCATTTATACCATGAATGGAGCTTGCAGGACTGGAAGTTGCTCTGTGAGTCAGTGAGTGAGTGGTGAGTGAATGTGAAGGCCTGGGACATTACTGCACACTACTGTAATCTTTATAAACTCTGTAGACGTAAGCTACATTACATTTATCTAGAAAATAATAAATTAACTTACAGCCTTCAATAATAAATTAACCTCAGCTTACTGTAACTATTTTACTTTATACATTTTAAAATTGTTAAAAGCTTTTTGTCTCTTTTGTAATAACACTTAAAACACAAACACATTGTACCAATGTCTGAGAAATATATTTTCTTTATATACTATTTTAAAAGCATTTTTCTATTTTTAAAATTATGTATTTTCTTTACATTTTAAACTTTTTTGTTAAAAACTAAGATACAAACACAGACTAGCTTAGGCCTACACAGAGTAAGGACAATGAATCTCACTGTCTTCCACCTCCACATCTTGTCCCACTGGCAGGTCTTCAGGGGCAGCATGGAACTGTCATCACCCATGCTAACAATGCCTTCTTCTAGAATAGCTCCTGAAGTAACTGCCTGAGGCTATTTTGTAGCTAACTTTTTTCTAAGTAGGAGGAGTATACCCTAAAATAACGATTAAAAGTATAGTGTAGTAAATATATAAACCAGTAACATAGTTTATTATTATGATCAAGTTTTACATACTGTACATAATTGCATATGCTAGACTTTCATGTGGCTGGCAGCACAGCAGGTTTGTTTACACTAGCATCACCACAAACACGTGAGTAATGCATTGTGCTACGACTTTCCCACGGCTACAACCTCTGTAGGTGGTGGGAATGTTTTAGCTTCATTATAATCTTATGGGACCACCATTCTATATGTGGTCTGTTGTTGACAGAAAGGTTGTTATGTAGTATATGACTGTATATTCGTCCCACGGAGGTCAAAGGGGAGGGACTTAAAACGTTTGCCGAAAATAATTTAATCTAAAATTTAAAAAATAATTGATTTTGTCAAGTGTTTCAAAGATGTCCAGTAATTAGACGGAGGGGAGGGGAGGGGAGGGGGAAACGGGGATAGCCTTGACTATCCCCGTAAGTGATGAATAATCTAAAACATTATATTTTATTTTAAAACAATTATGAATATATCATAGAGCAGAAGGAAAGGTTAACATAAATTTTAAAGATTAAGAGGAGAATTCAAGAAAAAGTATTTTCAGGTACATTTAGAGCTAGAGCCCAGCAGCACGCAACCTTCTCTTCTGCCACTAGGGGCACTGTGCTGGGAAAGTCTGAGGCAGCGCCATCTTCCTGAGAAGATGCTCAGAAACCTCAACTGAAGAAACTACTCCGTGAGCCTAAATACCAACCCAGGAATTTAGAACAATCTTGGTCATCCAGCGACTTTTTTTTCTTTTTAGAAAAGGGAAATTATTGAGGGAAATTTAGGATTTTGCAGGAGTCATGAATCTTACTGGTTCCCAGGATTTCTTTTATTTCTTTAGAGGGAAATTATTCGGTTGTACAAAACACCTTTTAACAATAAGCCTATAAAGGAAAAGAAACATCCTCCCATTTGGCTGAGAATTCAGATAAGTGGCACTCTGTTCCTCTTGTCAAGTCATTCCAGTGATTGTTTGATCAGTAGTGACTTAGCATACTTTGTCTAAAAATATAGCATATCCTCATTCTCTGGGATATGCTATGTATTTGAAATTTTTGAAAATTGGCCACTACCATTTCAAGACCTTTTTCTCTACAAAATATATATGGTTCCTTAACTTGTCACTTCTTTAAGCGAAAACCCAGAGCATCCACACGGCCCCTGTGGACAGTAGTCATCAGGACCTCCGTTTCCTCAATGAGTTGGGCTAGATGATCTCTACAGTTCTGTCTCCAAGGGTCTCAGAGTCTCTAAAAGAATTGCTAGAATCAATGCTCTGCCTCACTTGCTATGACAGTTCATTACATTGATGGCCCCCAGTGAAACACCCCTCCTGGTGTACACACCTCCTGGAAGTCAGGACCTCATGTACTCCACTCTGGGTTGGGTATGTGACTTGCTTTAACCAAGAGAGTGCAGTGGAAGTGATGCTGCACCTGTTTCAGGACTCAGTCTTAATAAGACCTGGCAACTCCTACTTCCGCGTTCTTAGGAGCCCTGAGGTGCTATAGAAGATGTCCAGCCTCTCTGCTGGAGAGATCATTTGGAGAAGTCCAGGCCCCTGAGTTCTCAAGACGAGAGAGAGAGAGAAAGAGAGAGAGAGAGTGAGGTCCAGCCATGCCAGCATTCCCGCTGAGCCTAGGCCACAGCTGTACAGCTAGCTAAATGCCGTCATATGAGTGACCATTGGCAAGGCCAGCAAAAGAACCACCAAGTTGAGCTCAGCTCTAATTGCAGAATCATGAGCAAATAAACTGGTTATTGTTTTAGGTCACTAAGTTTTGGGATGGTTTGTTACACAGAAAATAGATAGCCAAAAAAGAAATACAAGTATGATTCTATAAAACAGAGGTTGCAAGGATTGTATTATATGTCAAAGGTCTGACCCTTTTCCTTGTGGGGATGATAAAAGGTGGTATAGCTAATTTACTCCCAACCTATAACTGTATTAATCATCTTTAATACAGTTTAATATCTATAGTTGGTAAATAGAGAGGCCCCTTAGACTTGAAATCTCTATTCCAAAAGAGAACTCGGTTTCTCAAAAGGGCTCACTAGCCTGGTGGTGGAGTAACTATTGTTATTCAGTCATACAGAATTATGACACATGACTGCCTATATTGCTTAAATAACAGTTGTATGTGCACTCCTCCAAGTATATTCAGATTATGTGTACTGTAGCTGTGTACAGTAAGTTCAGAGGGGAGGCCAGTAAGCAATGCATCCCATTTCCACAAAGGAAGGGTGTCTGGAAGAGGTGGCATTTTAACTGATTCTAAAGAACTGAAGAGATTCACAGAGTCCCAGAATGCAAATAGAAAGCTGTATCACTCCCCCTATATCTATAGGCAAAGGAATATGCTACTTACCTGGTATGACCTAAAGTGTCTCCCAAACAGACTCATTCTCCCAAATATCACTGCCGACACACACCAGCCTTCTGTGCCCTAAATTCTAAGTAGTAACACCTTGGCCTTCAAGCTGAAAGTTGCCTGTTAAGATGCAAATAGATGAGTCAGAAGGGCACACCTTACACCATTAGCTGCATTAACAACTTAACTCAAATGGGCTTATCAAACAGCTGGAGTCCCCTACAGAGGCCCCAAGAAAATGAGATCAGAGTATGTGGTATTACTACTCAGTGTCCAAAGTCAAGGTAGAGTGGCAAAGAAGTTTCCTGGATGACCGTGGAGAGGACAGCTCTGGTGCAAAAGATACAACATAGAGTGTTTTAGAGGACCCTGAAGAGAGTTTTCAGTGTGGTTCGGGCAATTACCTGGACTTGTTGGACTGAAACTTTGATCCCATTCCCTGCTGATAACCACACTAGTTTGTAGCTTCCATTTTCTGCCAACAACAGAACTTCCAGCAAACAAATTATTCTAGGTGGACACACCTTTTTCTTCTTCCTCCCACAGGTATATACAGGTAAGTATCTGAGACAGGCCCTGCAAAGATCAGGTCACATCTGTTAACAAGGCACTGGTTATATCAATGGCAACTCTGAGACGATTTCTCTGTGCTGAAGTAAGGCACTAAATATAATAGCCTCTTAACTGGCACATTGTTATCAGTATTATTATGGCTTTCTCTTCATGCCTGTCACTGGATTATGGTAATTTTTTTTAGTCATAGGTTTTGATCGGAGTTGAAGTCTCTGAGTTACTGACAGCTCGGGAGAGCTGTAAATGCTCTAAGATTGACTTCCCACTGTCACAAAATCATAACACAAGCAAAAAGTAGAGGTTCTCTCAAGCCTCCTCATGCCAATTAGAAACAAAGCAACTTTCTAAACAGCAGGCTTCTTTTCCAGCAGGCTTCATACCAAAGGAGAGGGAGGCAGAAGGCACCTACCTCTCTCCTCATCCTTCCTCCGAGGTTCAGTGCAAGAAACAATGACCCTGGCAAAGACGATAAGAGAAGCAGATACTGCAATTTAGCTAATGGTGTCTACAGGAAGCTAGAAATCATTCCTTTGACATGCTGTGATACTGAAACAGCATCAGGTCTTGGTGAGTTCTCCTGACCTTGCAGCAGCTGCTCACAGACATTGACTATGGTCACTTATTTGAATAACCACAATAGAGCTGGGAAAATGAGTCATGTTATCTATCCCCTTTGGAGGTTATGAAACCTCCAAAGTGGTACCTCTGGCCTTGTCTTCTTGTCACCATGGAAGTTCCTTCCTGACCAAATGCGACCCCCAGCTGGGAGGCATCTAGGATTAGGCCAAGTGTTAGAGATTACTAAATCTCTTTTCTGTCACTATGGAGAAGTTGTATGAGACCACAGTACCAATCTTAGATAAACTCCAGCTATTTTTTCATTTTGCCTTCAGGGTCCTTCTACTTCTTCCATTTGCAACCCTTTCCCCCTTTCTAGTACCATCATCCTTAGGCCTCCCATGACCAGAATAGACCATTCTGGCATCTAACTTAAGTTAGTCCTTTACATCCATCCAAATCCTTATTTGCCTGAGGTCCTGTTCTCAATTTAACAGGATTGAAAACTCAAGTAATTATCACAGAATGAGATGACCTGAATATATCAGCCAGGATAGGCTAGGTTATGCTGCAGTGATAAACAACCCTAAAATATCAGTGGCAAAAATGAGGGTTTCTCATTCATATTGCATATCCACCACAGGTTGTCAAAAGAATCTGCTCCCCAGAGTAACTCAGTAACCCAGGCCACCATCAGTGATCCAGATCACCATCTTAGAAGTCACCACCAACATCCCCAAGAGAGGAAAGGAACTAGATTCTTATTCTGGCAATTAAATGCACTGGCTGAGAAATTGTATTACTTCCACTCACAAGTCATTGGCCAGAATTCATCACATGACTTCATCCAACCAAAAAGGGGCCAAGAAGTACAATCCTCTTTTGTGCATCAGAAGGCACACAGCCAGAAATATTTGATAGGTTGCATAAATGATGAACATGACAATTATTTTGCACTAAGGAAAAAATGAAGATTTGCAGGGTAAAGAGTTACCCCTCCTAGTGCTGTTTGCTATTACAGTAAAGCTTACTGTGTTCAGTTCTCTTGTACTAGGCAGGATTGACCAGACAATGGAAAAAAAGAAAAACCTCTCCCCAGTTCAGACCCTATGCTTGCTTTATTTGCTCACAGTTCTCAAAGTGGTTTGCCAGAGTGAATCCAAAATTATATAAATATGTGCTGAAGATGAAAATAATAAGGATGAGAATATGTGCTAATCAACTTAAATTTGGTGGGGAGGAGGGAGGTACAGTGGAAGGAGAGTGAATTGGAAGCCTAGACAGAAAACTGAAAGGGATTTTGTACTTATCTGAGATGATAAAAACAAAGATGGATAAGGATAATTTTTGCTACTAGCTGCTAGCTTTCTGGAAGCATGAAAAAAAAAAAAAACCAGGATGAAGATTGCATCAGTCTAAACACGAAGCAGTTCAGGCTTGGGCAGAGTTTGAAGGAAAGAGACATCTAAGATGATGGTGGAGGAATAATGAATGCAAAGAGGTGATGGTGTATGGAAGAATGGAAATGTTTGTTGTTCTTGTATCCAGGAGAACTGCTGAGCTTTAGTGGGAACGCCCTGCAGTGGCAGCACAAAGTTCAGTTTCAGAAAACAGAATTGGCAGCAGAATCATGTTCTCGTGCCCTGGCAAATGCTATATATGTGCCCAGGGCAAAAACAAGCAAAGGAAGATGCAAACCCCAAATATGACCAATATTTGAGCACCTATCATCAAGGCCAAAGCAGGTGGGAGGAGAAATCTCAAAGATCTTTGTGTACCTTGTAGCAATTCCAGGGAAATGAGACTGTGAAGTGATCCCACATCCAATATGTCAGCAAATTCTGTTGGCTTTACCTTCAGCATATAACCAAAAGTAGAATCCACCTTAACGCCTCCACCTGCCACCTTCTTCCAAGCCACTCTAATCTATTGCCTAGATTTGTACAGTAGCATAACTACTCTCCTATTTAAACCCTTGCCTCCCCATTATGCGTTTTCTATGAAGCAGCCAAATGATCCTCTCGAAATGTAATTTCTCGGCTTGAAACTCTCTGATGGCTTCCCATTCTTGTCAGAGGATCCCAAAGCCTTCCCTTGACCTAGAAAGCCAATCTAAGATCCAGTCCCCCAAATATTCTGGGACCTCATGCCCCATCACTCCCTTTCCGCCCACTTGACTTTGGCCACATTAGCCTTGCTGCCCCCTCCGCCAAGCCTTCTGTCTCAGGGTTTTTGCATAGGCTGCCCTCTGTGCCTGGGGGCTCTTCCCCCAGAGACCTGCATCAGGACTGTTCCCATGCTTCCTTGGGGTCTCTGCCCAAATACCGTTTGATCAGTGAAATCTTTCTTAACCATTCTATTTAAAAGAACACACTCCCACCCCCGCCCTGAAGGCCCTCCTAAACTATCTTTCCTTAGCTGGTTTTGTGTGAAATGGGTTGTCACATGTACTGATTTAGTTGTAGTTATAAGTACTCCAAAAGGGCAGGAAGGATTTCGCTTCATTTGTTCACTGCTGTAACCCCAGCATCTAGAACAGGACCTGCCAACGGTGTGAGCTCAATCACTACAAGTTGATTGAACAGATTGAAATTCATCCCAACCCTCCCACTACAGGGATCTAGTGTCAAAGAGATATTCAAGGAACAAGACATCTCTCTCTCTCTTTTATAATACCCTATGAGGATTCCTCCTACCTGATATCAGCTGCCATGGATACAGGTTTCTTAAAGGGGCCAAGGATGCAACAGATGCTTCATATTAGCTTTTATGTCCTCGATAAAATTAACAACAAGCAAACCTTGAGTAACAAAGCTGTAATTCTGTCTTGCAATTCTGATTCGATATAGATTGTAAGAGCTTGGCTCTTGAGGCTAAAAGCTGTTTACAGAACCCTCAATGGAATTATACCTCTGTAATTCATTTACTGTTATTCATTTTATGTGTGTTTACAGATAGAGCCAGAACAATCATACAGCCAGCAAAACCAAAGCAAAGAAGAAAAGATACCTAGTGGTTTTCATTTTTAAATTACAATCATTATGTAAGTTACAATATTTTGCCACACTACAGCACTTCTAGGCTAAATAAGAAATACACTTAACAGCAAGGTAAACATAATAAGATAGCTTTTTAAAAAATGAATATTACCTTGCTCTGTCTTCAGGGATGTTATTTTCAATAGCAATATCGATTCACAAAGAAAAGTCAAGAGAATAATTATGGATGTTTAGCCAATAGGGCTGGTACATGTACACAAGATCAGAAAAAGTACTGGATAATACCCTTGAAAAGCCTCTAAAGCTACTGTCCCACCACAGCCATTTTCAACTACATGACCAAAAACAATCCAATAAGCTTTCATCGTTTATGTCCAAATTTCTAATGAAAGAAGCCTCTTGAAAAATAAACAAGTATACAGATGGGCTTGGATAGATCTGGCATCAAATCTACATTTTATGTTTCTTTATTTTATTTCACTTTAAAATAATTTAGGATATTCAAAAGTGGTCTGTTAGAAAGAATTATTGGAGGGACAATAACATTTTTCTAGCACCAGACACAAACTAGATAATGATAAGACGTATACACTTTCCTCACCCAATGAGCTAAAACTCCATTTAAGAAGGAACATCAAGGACTTAGAAGGTTCTCTTGTGTAGATCTCTTTCTTCTTGAGACAGGGTCTCTCCTGTCACCCAGATTGGAGTGTATTGGTGCGATCATAGCTCACTATTACAGGTTTAAACTCCTGGGCTCAAGTGATCCTCCTACCTCAGCCTCCTAAGTAGTTAGGTTTACAGGTGCATGCCACCATGCCTGGCTAATTTTTTTTTTTTTTTAAATTTTTGTAGAGACAGTCTTGCTCTATTGCCCAGGCTAGTCTCAAACTCCTGGCCTCAAGCAATCTTCCCCTCAGCCTCCCAAATCACTGAGATTACAGGCATGAGCCACCGTGGGTCACCTTGTGTGGATTTCTGTTTACAGGACACTTGGCTGCCACTTATAGCCTATTTCATATATAGACTGCTGAACAGCTTCCAGACAGTGTGTGTAAAATTTTACAAATGTTTTTCTTGTTTCAATCAGGCATGACCTTTAAATATATAAAACTGTACATAAGAAAAGTGCCCACAAGACTTCTGGAAGAAACGAGCAAATTCAATTCACAAATATTTTTGAGCACCTACTAAATGTGAAGCAGCTTTCTAGGTACTGAGGATACAATTGTGAAAAACATAGACTTAAAACTCTTCAAGAAGCTTCTATTCTAGTGTATTGGGGGACATGGAGAGGAAGCAAAATAAGTAAATGATGTATTTTTCAAGTGAGAACTGCTAGGTGCTCCAGAGAAAAATCAAGTGGAGAAGAGCCGGAGAAGGTGAAGCAGGGGTGCAATTCTAAAGAGAATTAGGGGAGACCTTGCTAGAAATGAGACATTTAAGCAAAGACTTGATGGGTGCCAATATCTAGATGAGAAACTGCAAATGCAAAGATCCTGAGGTGGAAATGAGCCTGGATGTGACTGAGTGGAGAGCAGTGGATGAGGTCAGAGAGGTTGGGGGGCCATATCCTACAATGACGCAGGGTACAGGTGACTTGACATGACCAATGTTTTCAAAGCATTACTGGCTGCTTTGTCTGGAATAGTTGGAGTGGGCTAGGCGGCAAAAGTGAAAGCAGGGAGACCAGTTAGAAGGCTTTAGAGTGAATGCAGGTGGGAAAGTTTGGCTGCTACCCATGGATCAAGGTGGTAGCCAGTGAGTGGTTGATATGATATAGTCAGATTCTGGATATCTTTTGCAAGTATACAAAATAGGACGGGGACCACAGGATTAGGACACTTCCAAAGATTCATATGGCCAGTTTAGGTAGCTATGATCCTCTCCCCACTAGGGCCAGAACAGTGTTATTTACAACATCACTCACACACCAAAACTTAACGGGCATCAATGAAAATCCTTTTTTTAAGAGACAGAGTCTAGCTCTGTTGCCCAGGCTGGAATGCAGTGGCATGATGCTAGCTCACTGGGCTCAAGCAATCCTTTCACCTCAGCCTCCTAAATGGCTGGGACAATATGCACCTGCCACCACACCCAGCTATTTTTTTTTTTTTTTTTTTTTTGTAGATACAGGGGCCTTGCTTTGTTGCCCAGGCTGGTCTTGAACTCCTAGCCTCAAGCGATGCTCCCACCTCAGCCTCCCAAAGGGCTGGGATTATAGGCATGAGCCACCATGCCTGGTCTATCAGTGAAAATCTTAAAAGATAGCTCAGAAATATGGGTACTTTGAGAAGATTAAGAACCCATGTTAGAATGAAAGGGTTCCTGAGTCAACAGAAGGTGTAATGTGTCTGCTGCTCAATGTGTACACATTGTTAGGGGAAAGCGTGTCACCCTGTCTCTCCTCTTATCACCCTTCCTCTCTCTGACCCACCATCATTCTGGGAGCTGTGAGCAGTAGAACCATAGAGCACTATCACTGTGCTCAACAATTCCCAGTTTACTTGGAAAGGCCTGTGAAACTCCCTCCTCCTTCCTTCTTCGATCCACTTCCTCTGTTTTTCTTTTCCTCCTCTGCCTGTGTCAGATTTCCCTGGGAAGCTCAAGGCACCAAGATGCTGTCTCAGGCTCTTGGCGAGACTGACCTCCACGGAGACTGTGCTTGGGGTTTTTCCTGTGCTCTTGTCTGCAATCTGACATCATTTTCAGTAGTTTCCCTCTCAGGAGGGGCATGGCCCTGCCTTGCACTTTCCTGTATTTCTTCTCTTGGCCCCTGGTTAAGGTAAAGCCCCAAACCAAACAGGACCTGGCCTTAAAAACTCCAGGATCAACTCAAGACTATTGACAGTGTGGCCTTCTGCGGGGCCTTTAACTTAGATGCTCAGCATGCCATGGGCCTGCTCCTACCGGGGAGGAGGGAGAAGTCAGGCATGCCCCTTTCCAGCAGCCGGGTTCCATCTTCCAGGTTGCTTGGACCTTTTAGTGAACAAACCCTCCTGGTGCCAGAGACCTGCAAAAAGTCATCATTACTTTGGCTCCTGATGGCTTTAAAAATACAGCTAAGATTTTATACTGCAGATCGTGTGGGCCATGGAAACCTGAATTTTACTATTTAGTTTGTAAACCATGCCTTTTAAGCATATGCTGCGGCAGATGGTAGGTGATATTGTGGTGTGTTTAGTTAGATGGGATCCTTGCTAAAGCTCACCTGTCCCATCTGCATTCTCAAAGGCCAGGATATTCTGTTACCTGAACTAAGAAATCCATCAGAACCAAGAAGACGTTTAAAACGGTAAATAATAATAATGGATCTGTGCTGGGTGTGTGCTAATAAAAATGCAGAGTTTCTTCACCCTGAGTGGAAAAAAACCAAGGTAAACCCAGTATCAGCGATTCTTCCGGAAAGGCTGTCACTGTGATCTGTGAGGCACTTTCAAGATGAAATTGGAACCAAGTGTACTTTATTCAGGACATCTTTGAGATAAAAAATATAATGCTCCTTTTCTATCTTTGTGACATTGTTCGCAAAGATGTGATTTGGTTGTTAAAGCCACTTGCACTGTATCTCAAGGCTAAGGCTGACAATTCAAATAAAAGCCTCTCTCTCTCTCTGGTTTGTTATCTGAGCTGCAGCTAGCTGTCATGGCCATCTACACAGTGGGGCACCTGGGAAGGGGTGAGGCATGTGCCTGGCCTGCCATCACATCCCACCTGACTCCATGCTTCTGAGCTCCATTTAACTTTCCGGAGTTCTGGGAAATTTTTGTTTTGTTTTGTTGGATGACCTCAAAACCAGATGCAGTGTTAAAAGGCAAATGATGGTGTTTAATTTTTTAATAATTTTATTGTACATGCCTTGTAGAAAATTTAGAATACATATTGGTACAAAAAAGAAAATAGGATCCCATCATTTTAGATTAGCACTGTGAATATTTTAACGTATTTTCTTCTGATCTTTTCTTGATTCAATATGTGTGTGTTTTGTTGGTTTGTTTCTGTTCATAAAAGGGGTGGGGGTCTTTGAATGAACAATTTTGTGAATTCCTCATTAACAATTTATGACAAACATTTTCCAACAGCATTTAATTCTCAACAGATGTGGGCACACTACTTTTTCCCATCATCATTAATCTGCAGAGAACACCATTCCAGATGAGTATCTCTGAATTATCATAAATCACTTTAGAATCTTCATTAAAAGAAACACTGTGAAATGTCTCTCCGTACAAAGATGCAGTGTCACAAAGGCAGAATCTGATCTGAAATACTCAAATCCACTGGCCCTTCTGACTAACTGCAGCAAGCACTGTATTCTTGTTTGCCCAACCTCAAGTCCCCTCAGAACCTTGAGTCTGCCTGGTAGTGGGGCCATCCTGGCCTGCAAAGGGTCCCTCAAGATGCCCTACTTATTACCCCTTCTTACCTAAGGGTGCCTCTGGCTTTCTGCAAAGTGAGTCATCCTTACAACTAAATTCAAAAAGACTATTTCCCTATACAAAGGCCACTTTCAGATAAATAAATGTGTACTTTTCTCTTGGAGACACTAGGTTGTTGAATTGGTATTGAAATGTATTGAAGACCCATTAAAGACCTGTGGCACTAAGAGGGTGGGGAAAGAGGAGCAGGTTAAATGTGAGAAAAGGAGCACTCTAAAGTCACTTATTGGGATCTAGATTTGGCTCATAGCTATTCAGTCATCCCCAATGTTTGATAGTCACTGGCTTGTGACATTGTCTTTTAACTATGGCATATTCCCAGTAAGAAACTCTCAGGGAAAACTGTAGTGGATTGCAGTGGTTTGAGGAAGAGCAGTTTGGCCTCCTTGAAAGAAATTTCACTTTTGAAACAAACAAACAAAAAAATAGTTTGCAGTGCACTCACTTGTTTTTTGTCCTCTGTGCTGCCTTGCATTAAATTCAGGCCAACTGGAGCACTTGGCTGAGATTTCCATCTGAGAGGTGAAGTGGTTAGGACCAGCCAGGGGCTGCCAGGGTAGATGTAGGTGTCTGAGACCAATGTTCTCATTGAAATTTTAGGCAGAAAGGTGCCTGCTTATTTTCTTTTGTTCATAGTCAACATAGACATTCATTTTCAATCACATACAAATTTTTTACCATTTTGACAGGAGGAGGCAGAGAAATGAAGGCATCCGCATCAGGAGGAGATGAAGAAAACCTATTGTATTAAGTTGTTTTCTTCACCTTTCCTGGGTTGTGGAAAGGGAGGGAAAAGAGGGGTTCTCAACCTTCACTGGGACGTTGACAAAAAATCTGGTCTAAGATGCAGCTCAGTGATTGCTAATAGAAAAAGTTGCACATGTGTCAGATCTATAATAGATTTCTTATTTTAGGCAATCGGCAACCGGCTATGGCTCTTCTGTCTCTATCTCTGATTGTTTGCTTCATTCCTTTCATCACTTCCAGCTATTTTGATGGGCAAATCCCAGGCTTCTAAACAACAGAGTTAATATATTACACTGGGACATGCGACCTGAACTAAACTCATTGATTGTATGGTTAAAAATCCACAATCCCTAATAGCAATCTCTTAGCCAATTGATTATACTTTGTTATGCTAGTTTTCATGCTAAAGATAATGGACAATCGAAGTAAAAAAACTGTCGAAATGAGTTAGGGAAAAAAAACTAGAAAACATAGCTTTCAAAATAAATAAAATTCAGCTGAAGACCCAGCACAAAAACTAGAGAAAATAAAACAAAATTTTATTTTTACAGAACAGGTCAGGGTCAAGGGCACTTCCATTAAAAATAATATATAAGCAAGGAAATCAGCCAGTTGTTCTCAGGAAATGTTGCCAGAGCTAGGAAGAAACTTGCAGGTGTTGACATTTTCACTGGGTAACAAATTCTGACCACCAAGGAAATACATCAATAAATGCCTAACCTAGAAAAGAAAAAAAGGGAAATTTAGAAGAGAAAGACTCATCTTCAGAGAAAAACCTGAGCAGTTCTTAGAAACCAAGAAAGGGGGAGATGGTTGGAAAACTTTAGAAGAGAAGGAAATCTCAGATTAATCATGCCCATTTGGTGGTATGAGAACAGGAGAGCTGTAAGAAATGGACAAGCTGATGAAACAGAGCTCCCAACTAATGTATGTAATCAAAGTTGTTTAAAGGACAATTCATTGAGGGGAATTGCCTGAGTCAATAACATAGGTGCCTCTGCCATTGCCTTGGGAAGAAGGCAGATTTTAAGCTACAGCTTGGAACAGTTGTTTTCATTTCATAAAGCCTGTATCACTGGAAAACTGCGTTGCTCAAATTGAGATTCTTTTGGTTACATTAAGCTTTACCACCAACTTTCCTGTAATTTTAGAGGGGTAATTTATTTGAACCATTCAGAAGTCAAGGACAATCTTGCAAGATAAAAATGAGTCAAAAGTTTGAAAATTAATTGAATAAATCAATTTGATAAGTAGTCAAACAGTCAAAAAACACCACTGATTTTGTTTTCAGGAAAAGTAAATGGTTTATCAATTAATAGATTTGAGATTACATGTAGTCAATTTTCAATTATCAATGCTAATGGAGAACAGGCAGGAATCAGAAACAAGATCCACAGAGAAGCCTGAAGCCTCATTTCCATTTCAATCTTTGCCCCCATTTCCATTTCAATCTTTTTATTGAACTAATTTGGGATTTAAAAGCCTCTCTGTTTCCATTTGAGTAATTAAATAAACATGTATCAAGGGCCTACTGTGTGCCAGCCGCTCGACAAGGCATCCAGGAGAAAGTAACCTGGCCAAGAAGTTGACTAGGACCCTAACAGTAACCGAGTTGGCTTCAGTTGTTTCTTTTTATCATCTCAGCAAAATGCAGAGCATAAATTAGAATTAATGAAAAGGAGAAATGGCCTTACTAAATAAGGATATCTTTATCTCAATTCTTCTGTAAAATAAAGTTTTTCACTAGCTCTTATTTTTTTTTTTTAACTTCAGCTCCCTCATTCTTAATCCTGATCTATGTATGAAGAAGAAAATGGCAACTAGGGAAAAATGGAGAAAGGACAGAAACTAAGCAAAAAGCAAAAGAAAAATGTATAGAAAATAAGACAAAAAAATAGAAAAGTAGAGTATAATTTATGAACAACATTAAAGTTGACCCCAATTTTTCCTAGTAGATAAAAAAAAACGATAAAAATGGATTTGTACATGTGAATGTTATGACTGACAAGCCAGAGGATAATGTGGAGATAATGTAGAAATGAGACAGAAATAATGTCCATTCCAGCAAATAGGAAGAAAGGCAGCTGCAGAGACCAGTAAGCAGGAGAACTTGGTCTATATTTATTACAGAAGTGACTGGACAAGAATGTCTAGGAAACAAGAAGTAAATCAGGGCAATTAATAATGAGTTCCTTCTAGAAATCATTTTCTTATTTACTCATTCCACAAATATTGGAGGTGCACCTACTGTGAGACAGGCACCCACAGACCCTTTCCAACTCAATGGTGTATAATAAATGTGTTTTTTTTTTGAACCAAGAAATAAAAGAAGAAAATAATGAATGAATAAGCCAATAAAATAATGAATGAATAAGCCAACACTTCAGAAAGTCCACACATTCTTTTTCACCTGGAGCCTTCTGCTAGGTGCCTTTCCTTGGCTCCTGTTGGACTCTTTCTTACCTACTCATTAGTAAGGAATCTGAAATCCCAGTTGTCATGATTTGAAACTCTCATGGGCCATGCCAACCAAGTGAACCCAAGTGAATCTGGTCTACTCATTTTGAGGAATCTGAATAAAGGGAGGCTGCAGAATTTCAAGAAATAAGATTAATGATTTTATGCTTAATTCTATCAGTCATGGGCAAAATGGAAATATAAGCATTAGGTTACCAAATACCACAGAGACAGCAGACATCTTTGTTAGATAGTGCTAATCTCTTGTAAAGAGATGTGCCCTCCCTTGAGCCCTCATCCTCAGTACCCCACCTTTCTGCTGTAATAAGAAGGCATTATCCATGATATGATCTTGGGCAATGCATTAGTGCTCGCTCAGACATCATGACAGTGGGTGAGACAACATTGCAGGTTTTATGGTAACTCAGTTATCCCAAGCTGTCTGATGGTGTAGCACATCCTCAGGCTAAAGTCAAATCTGTGATGCCAAGGACTGAGACGAGAGGATGGGGAGGACCACAGGCTGAAGAATATCTCTCAAATGCAGGCCAATGCCAACACCAGGAACAGAATTAGCATGGACTCAATTTGATGACAGAAATCCAAAAGGAATCCTTCCAGAATTCAGCACCTGATCAGTGCTGTCCCAGAAAGTAGGGCCTAAGTAATAATAAACTCTTACATACTGACATGTATATATGCCTTTAAAATGCCCCCAAGTGATTCTAATGTACAGCAAAGGTTGAGAACCACTGCCATGGTATGGGAGAGAAAAGTATTACCTTTTCTTCACCCATCACAAGGGTCATGGCTGACAACCCTATAACGAAAGACAAGTTGACAAGAGAAAAGCATAACAAATTTATTTAACCAAAGTTTTATGTGACACAGGAGCCTTCAGAAATAAAGACCCAAAGACCTAAGGAAAACTGTGTATTTTTATGCTACATCTGATGAAAAAAGTGACTAGTTATGGAGACACATGAGTGGAAAAAAAGGAAGTATGGGCCAGGCGCAGTGGCTCACGCCTGTAATCCCAGCACTGTGGGAGGCCTAGGCGGGCAGATCACGAGGTCAGGAGATGGAGACCATCCTGGCTAACACGGTGAAACCCCGTCTCTACTAAAAAATACAAAAAAATTAGCCGGGCGCGGTGGCGGGCGCCTGTAGTCCCAGCTACTCGGGAGGCTGAGGCAGGAGAACGGCGTGAACCCGGGAGGCGGAGCTTGCAGTGAGCCGAGATCGCGCCATTGCACTCCAGCCTGGGCGACAGAGCGAGACTCCGTCTCAAAAAAAAAAAAAAAAAAAAAAGGAAGTATGACCTAATGGTAATAAACTTAGGGGAATACAGAAAGTCCTGTTTGTTCAGATTGTTTGCTGTGTGTCTGTAAGACATGCCTTTCTCCCAACCCCTGGTGTGGGGCAGGACACAGGAGAGAGGTGGGAGGAGAATGTCCTAGGTCTTATAGCTTGATTTGGGGAGAAGAATTCTAGTTTATATGACCTGCTTAGGGGAAGAAAGCAGGGTGGGAGATAGGAGGGCAGAAGATCAGAGGGACCTTCTTGTTTCTGAGGCGCTCCTGTCTTCTTCAGCTCAAAAATACTCAACATGCCAAGGTGCCATACTTGGGAATATTGTGTTCTGAGTCCTGACAATGGCATCAAAATAAGATTCTAGTTCTTCCTCTTCCCTCCTCCAGGCTCCAACATGAAAATGATAGGTTTTTAGAACATTTTAAAAATCACTAGATAAGGGTCTCTGAGAATGTCACAAGCTTTACCGAAGACTAAATCACTTAGAAGATGCTTGTCCGTCTGAAGTAAATGGGGAAAACTGCAGAGTAAAATTAAATGGTTGGCTAGTCAAGGCAGTGGTAAAATGTGGTCCATGCCTTAATGAAGAGAATAATATTGTCTCTTTGGGGCCCTCCTGCTAAGTTTTTCCCCCTCCAAGACTGTTCAGTGGGCTGGAAAGCCCTCTGTAAACTCCCCACCAAGTTACTCATGCTGTCTCATCACCTAGTTGATTTATTCTTTGGCACTTGTCACTGTGTAACTTGAAATTACTTAGTTGATTAGAAGAGATATTTTGAAAATTACTTAATCAGCTTTTTTGTTAGTTTTTGTACTAGTAGGCCCAAGGTATCCATCTGCCTGGGGGAGATTAGAATTTATTGTAGAAGTAACAAAGAAAAAGGGGGAGGATGGTATTCACTTCTGACATGCAAAATAGGATTATGCAGCAAAACAACAGCTTTACAAGCCAGGCATTTGTATTGAGAGGATTTTCCAAATTCCTCTAATATCCATTTTATTAAGGGCTTATATGGAACTCTTCTGTGGTAAGAAGCTATTCCTTTCCCCGAATACAGGTAAGCCAGTAAGTCTTGTTGCCCCATAAGAAGAGGATGTAAGGCAGCGGATGATAAAAAAACAAAAGCCTGGGTAAGAGTCAGGGAGTGAGGAGGAAGAAGAGAAAAGGAGAGAGTCAGTGGGCCAGCTTTGGACCAGAGAAGGGTATTTGCTATAAATAAGTGAGGATAGTGAGAGCAACACCAAGGGCAAATGTGAGCACTTGCCTTCTGCTCAGTCCACCCTCTACATAGTACTGCGTAAGAGACCACCCAGTGTAGGGCTTGGCTCCTTCAAACTGACCTTGCAATGCCATCAAGCAGAGAAGACGCTGAGTTTTTGCTTTCCTGAGCCACTCTCAATTCCGATTAATATAAATTCTGAGTCAAGTGCAAGGAAACTTGACATTTTGGTTAGCCTGTGCAGCCTTTCTCTGTATACACATGTCTTTTCTATCAGGTTTATTGAAATATTGGAACTAGTTTTATGAAGTGACATTGTAGTGTTTGTTTGTACCCACTGCAGTTAACATTCCAAAGGATAATGGATTATAGACACCCAAGCAAGATCCTGGGGTCCTTCTTTCTATCAAACGTCAACATTTCCCCAAACCCCAACACAGTGATTATGAATAGGCATAGTTTGCTTATTCATTAATCAGTCATTATTTACTGAGCACTATGATGTACCAGATGCTGAGATATATATAGACGATAGAGAACTGTTCCAAAGTGCTCGGAATTGAAACTGCCTTTGCAAAAATTATGACGGTGAAAGAAATCTGACATAGTTGACTCCACCTTGCTTCTAATCTTACAAGCTAACTGCCTTTGTTAACTTTAAAACAAAGATGATTACAGTCCTTTTCAGAAACGAACTCCCTTTTTGCTCAGGGACCAAAATCACCTTTGTAAGACTAATGAAAGGCCGCAAGGTTATGTTTATGGACGGGGACTACATTCTGGAAGGCATAAGCATAGTTAAACAATAACCAGCCATTGTTCCCTATCTTGCCTTTCTAAAATCCCTTAGTGCTCACGAGTCATGGAGCTGAGGTCACAAGATTTGTGACTTCCCCAACTGGCTCCTATAGGTAACATCACTATTGTCAAAACCCAAGATAAGTCTCTGACATAATTTTCAGACTTTTGCATCCTGACTGACTCCACCAGACCCGTAACACATATCAAGGAATTGATTTAACTGGTGACCATCACACAGCCACTAACTCAGTAGGCATAGACAGTTTGGACACTGTTATGATTTCATCCCCAACCAATTAACAGCACCCATTCCAAAGCCCCCTGTTTGCCAAATTAACCTTAAAAATCCCAGCCTCCAAGCTCTCAGTGAGGCAGATTTGAGGAATGTCTTCTCTTCTTCCACTTGGCTGGCCCTACGATAATTAAACTCTTTCTTTCCTGTAATACTTACTGTTCTCGGTGCTTTTGCTTTTCTGGGCAGTGGGCAAGATGAACCCATCAGGCTATTACAAAATAAAGTAAAAAAGGTAACAATGTAAAGAAATATTGTAATACTGTTATGGATTAAATTGTGTCCCCCAAAATGATATGTTTAAGTTCTAACCCTCAATACCTGTAAATGTGACTTACATGGAATGTGATCTGAGAGACCAAAATAGGTGCCCATTTATCAAGATGGACCCAAAGATTAAGGAAACAAAGTTAGCTATAGTCAAGGGTTCAAGTCCAGGCTTGCATGACTAATTTCTAAATTCCTATGGCTAAACTCCCTAACAACAGGAGCTATGGGCTCTGATTTATAACCCAGACCACTACAACTCTGATTGCACAGCAGGACCAGCTTTAAAAACATTCTTTTCTGATAAGCAATTGCAAACCTCACACCAGTTTCAGCCAGCTTATAGACACAGTGCACAAACTGTCATTATATCCCATAGTTCACCTTTTGACATAAAGAGCCAAATTCTACCTCATTTTAATCTAAAACCCATGGAATGTATGTCACATATGCATTTACTCATTACAAATGTGCTCAGTTCCCCTCATAAATATATACAGCTTCTCTCCTGAACCTGCTGAATATGTATGACTCTATTGTATAATACAGACCCTGTGGGGCATGAAACCCAACCTGCCCCCCTTCCCCTCTTCAAAAAGAGAGCACCTTTAGTCTACACTGGAGACTTTCTCTGCCTGGCTTGCAAACTGATATCACCAATAAACCTCTCCTTTCTACTGTTTAGCCATCTTGGTGGTCTTTTGGACAACAGTAAATAGGGTCCTTGCAGACGTAATAAAGTTAAGATGAAGTCATACCAGATTAGGGCAGGGCCCTAATCCAACATTACTGTTGTCCTTATAAGAAGAGGATAAGAGACACAGACACAAACAGGGGAGGATGCAACATGAAGAAGTAGGCAGAGGTGGGAGTTAAGCAGCCACAGGCCAAGGAATGCCAAGGCTTCCTTGCAAACAGTAGAAGCCAGGAGAAACAAGAAATAGATTCTCCCTGGGAAACTCCAGCAGGAACCAACCCTGCCAATGCCTTGATGTTGGACTTCTGGCCTCCAGAACTGTACAAGAATAAGTTTCTCTTGTTTCAGGTAACCCAATTTGTGGCCGTTTTTGATGGTAGCCTGAAGAAACAAACAGCAATACTCTGCAAGGAAACACTTCAATAGGGTATTCACCCAGGACAGGGAAGAACACAGAGGAAGCAAAGCCCCTTGCACAGAAAGTGGGATGTTCTCTGTCTCTTCACAGGTGCAGAAGTGGTTGGAGGGTGTAGCTGCAGGTGGGTTGTTAGCTCAGCCAGAACATGTGGGATATCTAGAAAAGACTCCTCCATACTCAGAAACTGTGTTTAGTGGCTCCAAGAGGAACCAAATATAGGTGCACCAAGATGGAACTCAGCCTTAAGCACAGGGCAAGAAATTTTCCAACTGTATAGTTAAAGGTGATGAGGAATCAATGATAAAGCTGGAAACAGGGGCTGGGACAATGGTTCTCCAAGCATGTGTGAGTTGCTTTTAGGGCCTTAAGTAAAGATGCCCAAGGAAATGAGGCATCGGGGAGCAATGTAAATTCATGATCTGAAGATTCAGTACAGCTGGCCCCTGATGCTCTGTGGAAAAAAGGGGATGAAATGTTGCTCAATCTGTTTTCCAAGGAGATATTATCATCTTTATTATTATTACTTCCACCAAGTTGACACTTTATCTACCAAGCTGATATTTCAAGAAAGGCTTTATTAGTCAAATGGATTCCTATGTATTTTTTTTTTTTTACCAGATTCGGAAAATAAATGCATACCCCAGAGAATGTATATTTAGAATTCTAAGGGATTTCCTGGGTAAAATCTACTCTGCCATCTTTTAAAACAAATGAGTTCAGTTGCACAAATACATTCATGCCAAACCACTTCAAAAAGAAATACACTCAAGCTCTCTAGATCATATCTGAGTTTTTATTCCAATATTAGATGTCATTGTAAATTACAGAAAGAGTAGGGGTAGAAAAGCTGGAGCAATTATTTCACATTGCAGGAAATGTTAATTTTTTCTAGTTCCAGTTTCATTGAAATGATTGACCAAGTTAAATATGTTCTCCTTGCAGGTAAGTGCAGGAAAATGTTTTAAGATAGAGGTAGGAGGAAACACACACATTTTTCTCAGTAAGACTATTGAGTAGTGTCTTTGTTAAGTCTTCTGGGAAAAAAATTAATTAACTCTCAAATTTTCAGAAACTGATGATCCACATCTGTCTTCCTTCCTTCTAGTGACTGAATAAAGTCAGAAAGAGAAGCTGGCTGGCTCAGGAGCTCCAGGTCCTTCTTGGTCCTTGCTTTTAGCATATTGGCATTTTACACTTTACCTCTGTTAAAGGGATTTCCTTCGGAAGAACTATTTTATGTGCCATGGCCTAAAACCTCAGCACCCAGTAAGCAACATTTTCCTCCTGTTATGGGTAAAGCCAGTTCTGCAAATCCAGGAATAAGTGATATTAGAATGAAAGAAGCAAGACAGAAAATCTACATATCATTAAGGACCCCAAGTCCAAATGGCTGGTTTTGACTAACATGTACCCTTTTTCCTAATGCTAATTCATCTGTTCATTTATTGGAGTTTAAAATTGCACCCTGTGCCCTCCAGCCTCAGCAAACAAAGACATAATTTAAAATACCAAGACACAAATGTTCTATTTGTTCCTGTGTAAAAGAGCCATTATTACAGTGACTTATTTTTTTTCCTTCAGGAAACTAGCTCTTTTCAAGTTGTTTATCATGTTGTCAATTATTACCATCATTAATAATGATAATGATAATCATTGAGAACTAGCAATGTGCTGAGAAATAAATGGAGCTCAGAGCTAGGCATGGTCCCAATCTAATGAAACAATGACGATTTTGTCTCATCCCCAATTTCACAAAGTGGGGATGGCAGATATCAGGAAAGTTCTTACCCAGTATACTCCCTCATTTTTTTTTGTTTTTTGTTTTTTGTTTTTCAAAGCTCCCATTTTGTAATTCCTTGTGCATATATATGGTGTGAATTCACAGTCAGCCTCTTATGCATGACCTGGCATGCGAGGCTCCCAGCCCTTGCAGTCCTTCGGGCTGGCACTAATTGCCAGATTTCTCCCAGCTGAGAGGGACTGGATGTTAGTCCCAGTGGATACACTATTAATGGAATCTGTTATCAAGTCACAAGACAAGATGCCAGTCTGGCACTATTCCGTGAACTGGAAGTGCATGGGGGAAACACAGACACTCTGTCTGACGATGAATAGCTAAGCTGTGAAACCAATTGACGGGGCACCTACTAGAAATTAGCATGTCACAAATGATTGTACTGTATGAGATGGAGCATCATGTGTTTGTGTGTCTGTTTGTCTATCTATTTGCATGCGTGCGCTTCCTTCAGCTTCATAAATGCATGTGTACATACATAAGGAAATAATAACTGAAGTTCTTGGGCAGTGTCTTGCTTGGATTAATGTGTTCTGATAACATTATGAATATAAATCTAAGTGAAACATTAGGGGCAAGTGTAGAAATTGTATAATAGCTCTTTTCTGAGGAGAAATCACTTCGGAATAATTTATTCTCACACTATTTTCATGGATGCCTAGAATAAATATGTAATTTATTTTTATCATTTTATGGAATTTGACTTAATACACACTTAAAGGTACACCCCTTAACCCAAATGTCAATGATTTTCATTCCGGGATTTTGAAGCATAAGGAATATGGCTATGGAGGAAAAGTAGAAGACCTTATTTTTCTTCTGCCCCACTCCTTGGCTCAGGCATCTACAGAACATGGATCAGAAAGAAAACTAAGCAATGCTAGTGGAGGGAAGCACTGGTGAGGTAGACCCTCATTGACGGTGTGTCTGTTTCATGGCCACAGTTGCTGTTTGTCCCATTTCCTGGCCACCAACAGACTACTAACTAATCACAGAGGACCAGAAGTTCCCACCACTACCACCACCATCACAGGAACCCCTAAAACATAAGTTTCTGTGAAAGCCACAGGTGGAGATTATTACTTGCCTATGTGTTAAAGATCAACTTCTGCCCTTGGAAAAACACACATTATTCCAAGATCCAAACACCACCTTGGCTTTTGCATAATGATCACAGTGGGAGTTATCTATGTGCATCAGGGTGAAATTTGGTCTAGGCTAATTAAGTTTGTTTCCGTTTGTATCATGTAGACAATGTAGAACAGTATCTCCAAAATATGTTTATTATGTGTTTAAGAAAGAATTTTTCCTATCCACACCTACATGTTAAAAGTGCTGTGGCTACCTAAAGTAAGGACTTGGTTGCCACTAGCTCTCAATTTTTTCTTCACTGGCAGTTATGGACCTATATCAGATTATTTCTGACATATGTTTTCCTTCCATTTTTAGAAGATAGAAAAGATAGGAGTATTGAGCTGTTTTATTCAAATGACCTGAGATTTGTGCCTTTAAATTTCAATTACAGGGCACAGATTTGCTGTGAACCTTCTGTAAACCTATCAGTTAAAAGCCTGTGCAGTTTTATGGCATGTCACCTCTAGCCTCTGATTAGCAAATTGCAGGCCAAGTTAAAACACTTAAGCAATGCTGCTGCTTGTCTCATTTTGGAGAACTAGATCATTACAGTTTAGTAATTTAGATAAATTCTTGCAGTCTATCCTTCTTTCCTCTGTAGAGATCTGTTGCACAGAGAAGGCACTCAGGGCCAAATTACATACTACGTTTTCCTTATAAGAAAATGCCAAAAACTTTGCACTGATAGAATTTATGAGGGGTTTTTTTTTTTTTTGCACTCACTATTGAAATTTCCTTGTTCATTTATTCATTTATGGCTTGTTTCCCTCTCTAAAATGTAAGCTCCATGAGCTCACAGACCTCATTTGTCTTGAGCACTGTTATATCTCCAGATCATTGCTAGGAGCTCAACAAATATGTGCCTAATGACAAATTCATTCATTCATCCATTCCTCAAATTACCCAGATAACAAATAAGTCCCCTGCCTTTGAGGGGTTCACAGTTTTTTAAAGGAGGCACAAACACAACACCCACTACAGTGCAAGTGCCATGAGCTTAGGGTAGGGGAGCAAACACTACATATTACCTTTAAAACCATAAGCTAGATATTGCCTTGATATAGCAGATACATGATATGCTAGGAACACATACATACTCAGTGTATTACCTCCTCCCCCAGTGGTTATTCATTCAACAAAATAGTCATTGGGTGCTTGGGCAATGCTGCCATCCTTATAAGTTGGAACCAAGCCACAGCATAGAGCTGGCAGCCCGGTGCGGGGCACTGAGTAGCTCTGCAGCCTGATGAAGCTTAGGGCAGCAGTCCCCAACCTTTTTGGCACCAGGGACCCATTTAGTGGGAGACAGATTTTCCACAGACTGGGCTGGAGGTGTGTCAGGGGGATGGTTTCGGGAGGAAACTTTTCTACCTCAGATCATCAGCCATTAGAGTCTCATAAGGAGCATGCAACCTAGATCTCTTGCATGTGCAGTTCACAATAGGGTTCATGTTCCTACGAGAACTTAATGCCACAGCTGATCTGACAGGAGGCGGAGCTCAGACAGTAATGGTCACTAGCCTCCTGCTGTGAGGCCTGATTGCTAATGGGCCATAGACTGGTACCAGTCTGCGGCCTGGGGGTTGGGGACCCCTGGCTTAGGAGATCTCCATAGTCCATCCAGTCACTGGGTGGAGTAGCCAGCTGGTATTTGGATATCTGAAGTCAGGAAGGCAAGATTCAATAAGTTCTATAAGATCTCAGTTTTTGCATCGAATGGAAAGGCCGTCGTGTCTGAAGCTATTTGGTTATGCCCATGAAATCTGGAAGGCTGATTTGGAGATAGTTGATCTTTCTTCCCTTTGTTGTTTTTCAATTTAGGGCTTTTTCTTTTCAGAATGAGAATCAGGACTTGGCTCAGAGCCCTGACACCAGAACATCTTCAAATGTTCTCACCCCAGCCCTAGTTTAAGGACCTATGGGACCAGGAACACAGAAGTGGAGGCCCTTTAGATAATGAGCCACCTGACATTAGGACAAGTAACTTCTATTTATTTATTATGTGCAAATTTACTGTAGCACATGCTGGTCTGAATAATTGCATCCCCCCCAAATCCACGTGTTGAAACCTAACCCCCAAGGTAATGGTATTAACAGGTTAGGCCTTTGGGAGGCGATTAGGTCATGAGAGTTCCACCCTCATGAATGGGATTAGTGCCCTTATAAAAGGGGCCCAAAAGAGCTTGTTCATCCCCTCTACCATGTGAGGACACATAGAAGGCATCATCCATGAGGAATGGGTCCTCACCAGACACTAAATCTGCTGGTGCCTTGATCTTAGACTTCCCAGCCTCCAGAACTGTAAGCAATAAATCTTTGTTTATAAATTATCCAGTCTAAGGTATTTTGTTGTAGCAGCCCAAACAGACTAAGGCAGCACACAAATTAAATTGCAACTTTATTTGGACTCTGAATGATGACTCAATACATGGTTGAAATAATTGCCTTGCTTATAAGCTAACAACAATCATAATAGCTAATGTTTATTAAGCACTGATTTTTATGTACCAGGGCTCTATTATAGATACTTTCCACTAACTAACATATTTAATATTCACAACCACTAGATGAGGTGGCTAATGTTACTGTCCCATCTTACAGATGAAGAAAGAGATACAGGGAGGTTGAGTCATTTGTCCCCATATCACTTGACTCATAAATGACAGAATGGGACAGAACCCAGACAGCTCGACTCCAGAGCCAGTGAGCCTAGCCACTGACAGTTGCTATTATTTATTGGATGCCATCTATGTACCAAGGCTTTATATTTATTTTTGTCTCTGTAAGTCTGTTCCTTAAAGCAACACTACAAGGTAAGTATTATTTTCCTCATTTTGCAGAAAAGGATACTTTATGGATGATCCAGCGAGTCCTAAAATCAGGGTGTGAATCTTGTCTATCTGAAAGGCCTCCACTCCATCCACTGCCCAGAGCTTCCTCTGTGACCTTCCTTTCCACTGATCTTGCTACTATCTTACTGGATTCTTGCCTTATATTTTCCCTTGGCCAAAAAGAGCAACAGCATGTTCTAATTGAGCATTCATCAGGAGGTTCTATGTTCCTTTTGGAGAATTATAATCTTTCACATTTATATGCCACTACATATCTTTCCAAAAATCTTCATCTACATGCCCTCATTTGTTCATCAAGACAAGCCTGAGCTATAAAAAGTGGGTATTATTGGCCTTCATCTCTGAAATGAGTAAACCTAGCAACAGCGAAGGTGGATAATGTGCCCAAGGGGCTTGCACCTGGTCCTGCTCTACTTTCATTTACTTGCCTTTGTTTCTACTTAGTGTAAATATCCTAAAGAAGAGTTTGATAAGTGGGAGAATCAGACCAGAAAAAAAAAAAAAAGCCTGGTGCTCATCTCAGACATGCCATATGGATTTCTACAATAGTTTCCTTACCTGCAGTAAAGTATCTGAAAAGAGATCAGAGGATTCCAGTTAAATGCAGAGGACTGGACATATGCATTTACCATTACTGCTTGAAATTATGTAAAAATGACCGAAATGCATAAAACAAAGCATAAAGCCACAGTATCAAAGATATTGAGAGAAAAGATCAGTCTAGGAGGCTCAACATCCAAATAGTAGGAGCTCTGGAAAGAGAACAGACAGGAAGAAATTACCAGGGAAATAATTCAAAAATTTTTTCCAGAACCAAAAGTTATAAATTTTCAGGTTGAGCTGATCAATGAAATGTCCAGCTCAGTACATGAAAACAAGACCCACATAAATTGACACTGTTATGAAATTTGAGAACACTAGGAATAAAAAGATTATAAAAACATCCCAAGAAGAAAAAAACCAGGTGACATAAAAGGACTTGGAAGCAGAGTGTCATAGCACTTTTCAAATGGAACACTATTGAGAAAAACTCAAATGGCTTAAAACATCTATGAGAAAAAAAAAAAATCTGTTTTTAAGTCTGGGGAAAATTATTTCCAATCTAGAATTCTAAAACCATCCAAACTATCAATCAAGTATGAGGCTAGAATTAAGAGGTTTTCAGATATATATTTCAAAAATAGTTATGTTCAGTGTGTCCATTCTCTGGAAGATACTAGAGAATGTGCCTTACCAAAACAAGAGAACAAACAAAGAATGCAGTCATAAGATGGGAACAAGGAAATAGGAGACCCAAAACATGCAAGGAGTAAAGGGAATTCCCAGGTTGAGGATGATGGGATTGCTCAGGAAGACAGTTGTGTATCAAGACCAGACAGCAGATATTCCAGGTCAGAAATAAAAGAAACAAAGGTATCCAGAAGCATATCCCTCAAACAAAAATGAAATTGGTAGACAAATTTGACTGTACTGAGGAAGCAATATATACTTAAATTAAAAGCTCAGGAATAAACTAGAGACATATAAAACTAAGCAAATAAAAAATAATTTAGTGAACTTTTTTTAAATTTAGGAATATGTAATTACAGTATACTACATGACTCAGCTTTGAATAATATTAACATGATCATAACAATATAAACTTTGAGTGAATAAAATTATGACAATTATTTTGGAAAAATGGGTGAAGGGAAGTGGAAGTGGTATGGGAATAAGGGTACAAGAGAGGCAAAATCCTCATTTCATCCTATTTAAAATAAGGAAATAATGAATTAGCAGGACAATGTTGTTGTTGTCTGAATATGAAATAAATCCTAGAAAAAACAGTCAGAAGAGCTAAAAGTAGTTGCCTCTAGGGAGTACAATTAGGGTAAGAAGGAAGATGGCTCAGGAGTCCTTCTTAGAAATGATGCCCACCATTCTTCCCTTTGTTCTTGGTAATAAAACCCCAATTTTACTCATAACAGCAGTAGGCTCAGATAAAAATCCATGCTTCTTAGATGCTCTTGCAGCTGGATGTGGCAATGGGACTTTATTCTGGCCAGTGAGATGTAAGCAGGAGTTATCAGACAGACATGCCCCTTTGTTTCTCCCCCTTTTCATCTTTCTGCTGCCTAGAATGCAGACATGAGTGACTGGAGCTTATCTGACAAAGGATGGAGAAACAGAAAGGTAGAAGGAGCCTATGGTTCCAATAACTTCAGGAACTGCCAAATAAGCTATGGACTGACTAGCATGAAACAGCTTTTACTATGAATGAGTAAGCTTTATATATTTAAGACCCTGTTATTTGGAGTTTCTGTTAAATACAGATGAAACTAATTCTAACTAACATATATACCTTAAGAAACTATCTGACTTATTAAACTATCTATGCATAACATGGATAAAAATTAATATTGAAAAAAAGGGAGGGTCAGCAAATGCACAAAGAGAATAAATCCCAGACACCCACTTTGGAAAACTTATTTAGGATCCCGAATGCCCACCTGGTGAATGTGCTTCTTCCTTCACACACCTCACTGTAAAAGGCATATCTAAGATGAAAAATACACTGTATGGTACTCATGGCAGATGAAACATTGCAGAAAAAAAAAGATTAGTGAACTTGAAGATATGGCAATAGAAACTATTCAAATAAAAATGCACAGAAATTTTCAAAATTTAAAAAGCCTCATTAAGCTGTGAGATAACTTTAAGAAGCCTAATACATAAGAAATTGGAGTCCCTGAAGGGCATGAGGGAGGAGGAGGCCAGAAAAAATATTTGATAAAATAATCACTGAAAATTTTCCATATTTGGAGAAACCCATAAATCCATTGATATAAGAGCTAAACAAATCTCAAGCACAAGGCACAACAAACAAAATTGCTTAAAGCCAGTGATAAATAGAAGATCCTACAAGCAGCCAGAGAGAAAAGAAATTATATACAGAAGAACAATGATAAGGACTACAACTGATTTCTTGTCTGAAACAATGGAAGTAAGAAGACATTGGAGCAATGTCTTTTAAAGAAATAAAAATAAACTAGCTGTCAATCTAGAATTCTACATATAGCCACAACAAAAAAGTATTTAATAATGAAGGCAAAATGAAGACTTCTGTACACATACAAATGCTACAATAATTCATCAGCAGCAGACTTGCATATAAGAAATGTTAAAGGAAGTTCTTGAGGCAAAAAGCAACTGATAACAAATGGAAATATATATATCTACGCAAGGGAACAAGGAGTGCCAGAACTGGCAACTATAGAGGTAAGTATACAAAAGCAAATTTTTCCCTTAAGATTAAGAACAAAGTAAGAATGTGCATTCTCACCATTTCTATTTAACCTTGTCCTGAAGGCTCTAGTCAGTGCAATAAACCAAGAAAAAAATGCATCTAGACCTTAAAAGAATAAGTAAAACTCATTTTACTTGAAGACAACATGATTTTCCATGCAAAAAATCTGATGGAATCTACCAAAAAACTCAAAGAATGAGTAAGTGTTTTCAGCAAGGTTGCATAATGCATTTCAACATAAAAAATCAACCATATTTCTATGAACTCATAACAAACAATTAGAAATTGAAAATTTAAAGCAATGCCATTTATAATGGCACAAAAATCATATAATTAGAGACAAATATGACAAAATTGTGTAAGACAAATACACTCAAAACTACAAAATATTGCTGAGAGAAATTAGAGAACTAAATGAAAAGAACTCAATAAATTAAACACGACTCAAATTGTTAAAATATCAGTTCTCCCCAAATTAATCTATAGATTCAATGTAATCTCAATCAAAATCCCAGCAAGGTTTTTTGGTAGAAATTAGCAAGTTGATACTTAAATGTACATGGAAAAGCAAGGGATAGCCAAAATGAATTTGAAAATGAACAACGCAGTTAAAGAATGAACACTAACCAATACCAAGGTTTATAATAAAGTTATAATAGTTAACACAGTATTGTATTGGTGGAAAGATAGACATATAAATCAATGGAACAAAGTGGAGAGTCCAGAAATAGATCTATGTATACACAAACAACTGACTTTTTTTTACAATGGTGCAAAGGCAATTTAGTGGAGACGTGATAGTCTTGTCTTCAAATGATGGTGAACAATTGAATATCTATTTTTTAAAAGAACATTGATCCATACCTCACACCATATATAAAAATTAACTCCTGTATATTATAGACCAAAATGTAAAACCTAAAGCTATAAGATGTCTAGGGAAAAACATACAAGAAAACTTTGTGACTGATTGCCAGATCCATAATTTTAGAATTCCTCTTCTATAATGAAAAAAAATTTCTTTACATATGTAGAGTGACATCTGGTCATCCCATTACCCTAAAATGGGAGAATGGGATGTGAGGAACCCACGTGGTTATAATAACTCTGCCTCTGATCCAGAAACCTCATGTTTGCTCCCAAGAAAAAAAAATATATCTACTAAAAACTTTTAAAACATATTACGCCTTCCACCCTTGTTATGGGTAACCCCATCACTCCATCACTCTCACATCTTCACTACCACTGATCTGATGACTCTGAAACTTATCTTTTCAGTCCAGACTTCTTGGCTTTCAGACTGGTATTTTCCACTAGCCCTGCATATATCTACTTAGATGTCTCACTGACATCTCAAAGCAATGTCCAAAATTGCAATTAATATCCTCTTCCACACACCTGCTTATTTTTCCATAGTGGCATCACCTCCACTTAGCCACCCATTCTAGAAACCTGGTGATCACCAAAAACATGTGACAATACCACTGAGTAATCAGATATAATTTCAAAGTTTGAGGCTGGAATGACTGAGAGAGTGGTTTGTCATTCACAGAAAAAAAAAAGTCCAGGGAAGGAACATTTCTTTCAGGAGGGAAGATGCTAAGATTGTGGAACTGTCAATTTCAAGGTGCTGGCAGGGCATCAAGGCAGAGATTTCTAGCAGTCAGTTGGAAATGCCGCTGTACATGACAGATCGCTGATCTTGGTTACAGGAATGAAAGCTCAAGAGCTTTTCTGTAAAGTTTAAGCTGTGGTTTGACAGGAATCATACTGTTTCTAAGAGTAAAAACATTCAGAAGCATTCGGCTGTAGAGGACAGACCATCAGGGAGGAAGATAAAGAGAGGGACATTGAGAAGAAGGAGGAGTGGCATTTAGAGTATGCTTTCTTGGCCAGTTAAGGGACAGGAGCACAAGTCAAATTTTTTGTGGTAGGTCCTCTACTAAAGGGTTCGTGAAAACATGGCTTTTTCTCCTTTGTTGCTTGATAAAATCTCTTCCCTCTGTTTTCTCTTCCCTCCCTTGCTCTTTTTTTTTTCTTTTTTCTAGCCTGGGAGTGCCAGCATGGGGGTACACAGCGTGAAGGACAAGGGCCTGGCTGTAGGTTTTTCACTCCAGTGCATTAGGAAGGCGGACAGTAAGGAATAGGCTAGCAGAAAAAGTCTTCAGGCTCTGGCTGCCTTTTTTGATTTGTGCATTAATGCTGCAGAGTCGACAGCCTGCCTGAGAGAGGCTGAAGGGACGTGTGTTCTGTATGTCTGGAATTTATTCCTTTGGCTCTGTAAGATGTGACACTGCATAATGGCCACGAAGAAGTAATTTTGATCCTGTGACTATCTTGGCAAAAGTTCCAGAAAGACATATGGACATAATCTTCTGGACATTTGTAGAAGAGCCTTCCCTTGGGGACTGCAGGCTTGCTCTCACTTCCAGTCTTACGGCTCTTACCTTGGCTTTATCCTGTTTTCACTTAAGAGATAAAAGGCTAAAGTGTATTCAACTGAAAAGACAAAAAATATATTAATGTAAGAGTAAGTCATCATTATGACACATATCAATTTCTTACCTCAGGCAGTGTACAAAAGCAGGGCTCTGGATATTAACCCAGCCAGGATTAGAGACAAAAAGGTCTGGACAGCTCTAGATACACACTGGGAAAATATGAATTTTCTCCATGCTGGGATCCAGCATCTTCATCTATAAATTGACAGAGAGGTGACATTTTTAAAAACAAAATCTTCCAGGAACAATGATTTGCCTAAATATTATTCTGCAACAAGTGCTCTGCATCTATGACCCTAAATTTTAGGTATATTTTGAGAAATTATTCATTTCTCATTGGAATAGATTTCGTTTTGTTTTGTTTTGCTTTTTGAGACAAGGTCTTGCTCTATCATTTATGCTGGAGTGCAGTGGCGCATTCTCAGCTCACCGTAACCTCTGCCTTCTGGGCTCAAGTGATTCTCCCACCTCAGCCTCCAGAGTAGCGGAGACCACAGGCCACCACACCCAGCTGATTTTTCAATTTTTTGTAGAGATGGGTTTTGTTAATGTTGCCCAGGCTGGTCTCAAACTCCTGAGCTCAAGTGATCCACCAGCCTCAGGCTCCCAAAGTGTTGGGATTACAGGTGTGAGCCACCACACCTGGCTAGAATAGATTTCCACCTGTACACATCTTTATTATAAAACACTTGACATAACACAATATCCAGCTAATTTCCTCCCAAGTTTCTGTGTATAACTTGGGAAGTAATCACTTGTTAAATCTGAATTTCATCTAAGCCCTTCGATTTACCTTGATCCTTCTTTTTTTCCTTGAAGAGTCTAATAGGGTAACAGAAAAAAAACTCAGAAAATACCAAAGCCCAGGTGCTGGTCTATGAACACTGACTGTGTCCTGCCCCTAAAGTTTCCCTTTAAAGCTAGCTCCCTGAAGAATGCCAGACAAGAGGTCTGCCAGGAGCCGATCTTTACTCATTTACCAGTGTTTTGTAAATCCTCTTTGAGAAAATTACTGGGAGTCATACTATTGGGAAAAGGAGAAAGAGACTGAAACTGTGAAGATGGAGGTTCCCTGGGGTATGAGGTCCTCTTTACTTAGACCTTAAGCGGTTTTCCCCTAAGGAAGCACTCAGAATCATCTTGCAGTTGGAATGCTAACAAACTGCCTTGACTGATGGTTAGCTTTAAAAGGATAGGTTATTTTTGTTTTGTTGTTTCATTTTGTTTTTATCTCAGCGGTCACCACACTATCAAGATCTAAGCAAATGACTGTTCCATGAACCTTAACCAAGATAAATGAGTAATCAAGAACTCTTTTGCATTTTTACACATATATGGCTATAGATTAGGTTCATTTTGTAGAATCTGGTCATAGGTTCAGAGAACCACAGAAATGGAAAATGCTCAAGAGGTTATCTGTTCTAGCTTCCAGAGCCTCAAAGCTGGTGGACAATAAGTTGCAGGTCAACAGAAAGACTAGCAAACTATTGGTACCTTAGGTGATATTTGGGCCATTGCCAGCACATGAGATACAATGAAATGATGTGTGTTCAGCCCGTCAATGGCATTCATCACATGACTGAAAGCAAGCCAGCTGATAGGTCCCCAGTTTTATCCAACTGGGACACTTTTTTTCTTAGTTCTGGTACAAACAAATCAACCAGAAAGGTCTCTGGTTTTACCTGAGTTAGATATTCTCTTCCCCTAGGACTCGATAAACCATGGCTGGTGTGGGAGGTGGGAAAGTCAGCACAGCTGGGCATGAAACCTGTGTGGTTGCACAGGGACCTGTGCTTAGAAGGGTCTTATGTTTGGCATAATGCTTCTGCCATCTAGATATTCTTAATAATTTTTGAACACGTGATCTTGCATTTTAATTTTGCACTGAATTTCACAAATAACGTAGCCAGCCCTGGCACGGAGTACTAGCTCAGCTTGGCAGTTCTTAACATAGCCATGTGGATGGGTTTTGGTGGGGACGGGAAAATAGTTCCCAGGAGTGGTGGGTAGATGGTGGCCAGCACAGCTGGTATAGCCCTGAGAATTGGAAGGACACTGAATCATGGACGATATGGTTCTTGCCCTCCAAAAATCTCAGTCTGGTAGGATAAATTTTATTTTCAAAAAGTTGTTTCTCCAATCCCCACATATCCAAATGACTATATTATATGTGTATGTATATATATATATATATATATATATATATATACACATATACATATATATATACACACACACATATATATATATATATATTCTTTCTACCAAGGAAGTGATTCAAGGAAGAAATTTATTTCTGTCTCTATCTTAATTGACAAAGATTAAATGTCTGTATATATATTATATATATATATATAGAGAGAGAGAGAGAGAGTGAATGGGAATATCCAACTACCATAGAAAAGTGATAAATAGGAAAAGAAAATATAGGGAGAACATCCACCTTTGCTCTCAACATCACAAAGACTAGCTTTACCAAGTGCAAGCCAGTCTATGATTACAGATAGTATTAAGAGTCTCTTGTACAACAAGAGGGACCCCACTCTAGTGCCAGGACTTAATATTACAAACTGCTACAAATAGTCTTTCTACCAAGGTCCATAAAGAATAGGACAACGTAAGCCCTGGAAGGGTGCCCGTAGCCTTGCAAGGACTCAATGAATAGAGTACAAAAAAGAAAAGAAAGTTAAATGACAAAGAAATGGAAGGAATGCAAGGGAAGGAAGGAGGGAAGTTGACCAGTTAAGTTTTTCAAGGTACCAGCAGGTTATCTGGGAAGATAAAGGGTAAGCCATATTTAGAGCAATAAATTTTATGAAATGTTAATTGGGTTTACTCTCAGAACTCCCCTTTTCATTATTATGTTTAATACCAAACACTAAAAAATTAATCAGGAAATTCCATCTGGCCAACAATTTCAGTTTATGAAATTTCTTTTGCTTCAGATTAAAAGCAATCTTCTGAGTGAACTGAGTATTCCAAGACAGCCCCTAACATCCCCAAACAAAGACTCAAGAGTATCATTTTCTTTTATATTGTAACATCTTTGAGTCACTTGCAATCTATAAATAAACTTGCATTTTACAGAAATCCCTCTACAAAAAAGCAGCAGCATGCTGGAATCCAATGCACAAGACTATTTTTAAAAGTGTTTTGATTTTTAAAAAATTAATTATAGGCCCTAGATAACACAAGTTATAACTTGGCTTACCACAAGTTTAATGTTTCTTAACAACACTTTGAAACAATCCTTCTACATCTGTGCTTTAAGTGCGAGTTTGGTACAAGTGCAATCTTTAATGTTAATTGAAGTTTTTCTTGATTATGGCTGTCCTGTTCTATAATGAGGAAAATGGAACCAGTAATATTGTGAAATCAGTAATATCCTGAAATCAGCAATTAGTGTTGTTTATCTTTACAAAAAAAAACATGTTGCTGCTATTTTTAGATGTCTTGGGTTTCCCTAGGTGTAACTCAAGAAGTTATATGACACCAAAATGAATCTTTCAAACAAAAGCCCTCTCTTTAAAAGCATATAAAAGAGAAAAGCGAGGAAATGTGGGGGCAGTGTTTTCTTCCTAGAAGCCATGTGCAACTGTAAATCTATGAAACAGGAACATTATGAATAATAAAAACTTTGGACCTAGATATATTTGTTCAACTGAATTTGTTAGTTGATTTAGATCAAGAGAAGAGTTCATGACATAGATCAGATTTATGTGAAACCACGTGCTTGAGAAGCATTATGGTCTTTACCTTATACAAAAAGGCATAGATAGTATAATATAGAAGTAACACTTGGAAATTTTAGGTCTCAGAAACTAAATGATAACTTCTCTTTCAAGAGTATGTTGTTTAAAAGTACAGGAAGAGAGGAAGTGATTCAAGGAAGAAATTTATTTCTGTCTCTATCTTAATTGACAAAGATTCAATGTCTAGGTCCTATAGGTTTTTGCTCTAGTAAAAAAGTCTTTGGTTGATTTTCTCCTAAGAATTCCTTTGGAGAGAAGTGGACATTAGCTACAGTAACCGGAGACAGAACAAGACCTCAGATACATGACTCTTGTAACAGAAACTAATTGATTTTCTGTAATTGGGCCTGTCTGGCCACATTGTATTTCAGACAGAGTGAAAATTACCATTTCTGTGCTCGCTGTTTCTTGACAATTGAAAATGAGTAACAGCATTTTTTAAAAGAAAAAAGAGTAAACACAAGATTTGATTAAATGGTGGCATAGAATTCCAACCCAAAACACATACTCAATTTTATTTTTCAAGTTCATGGACAACTTCTGTTAACTTACACAGTGAGAACCACAGTTCATCTGATCCACTGTACAATAAAACCAATGCAAAAGGATATTATCACTTTGAAATAAGTGATACCTTATATCTCTGTGGGCTAAAGAGAACACAAGGGCTTCAGGATAAGCCTAGTAGAAGTTTCTAGAAAGAGTTAATAAACAATGTAGGCCAGTTGCAAAATATTCTTGATCTTCCTTGGAGAAGTAATCAGAATTGCTATAAGAGGGATGGTTACAGAGCAGCTAATATCCTCTAGTCATAGATCCCAAGAAAAAGGCCTCAGGTACCTAAGATGATGGCTGGCCTAGGGTAGGGGTCCCCAACCCCTGGACCATCGAACAACACTTGTCTGTAGTGTGTTAGGAACTGGGCCACACAGCAGGAGGTGAGCGGCAGGTGAGCAAGAGAAGCTTCATCTGTATTTACAGCCACTCCCCATCACTCACAATACCACCTGAGCTGTGCCTCCTGTTGGACCAGCAGCGGCATTACATTCTCATAGGAGCACAAACCCTACTGTGAACTGCACGCACAAGGGATCTAGGTTGCATGCCCCTTATGAGAATCTAATGCCTAATGATCTGTCACCATCTCCCATCACCCCCAGATGGGATTGTCTAGCTATAGAAAAACAAGCTCAGGGCTTCCACTGATTCTACCTTATGGTGAGTTGTATAATTATTTCTTTACATATTACAATGTAATAATAATAATAATAGAAATACAGTAGACAATAAATGTAATGCACTTGAATCATCCCAAAACCATTCCCCCACAACCCCACCCCCGAGTCCTTGGAAAAATTGTCTTCCACGAAACTGGTCCCTTGTGCCAAAAAGGTTGGGGACCACTAGAGAACTAAGCAAGGCAAATGTTTTCTTTCCTAAACTCAAGATTTTTCATTTTGACATTTGCTAAAGACACTAAATTCTAAGAGATTGTGAAATGTCAAACTGCCCTCATAAACGATGAGAACATTTCATGAGATTGTGTATTTCAATGCAATAAGTAGAAGATAATGCATTTATTTAATAAACCCATGTAAAATGTTAAAATTCATCGTTCTCTGAAGTACTACAAAATGTTTCCCAAAGATATCATACCAGTATGCTACGGCAGCCAAAAGAAAGATAACAGCTATAGGGAATAAACACAAATAGAATATTGGGCTAGACAGGCTCCTGTTTGCTAGAGAGGCATTTTACGTATTCTTACTTTCTTTTGCCTTTTGAAAAACACAGTATCCAGTCCCATTCTTAACACCATTTATCTTCATTCTTACTATACGTGAGGGGATGAAAATGCCTTTTAGTAGCCAAGCTGATGTAAGTGTGGAATTCACATCAACTGAAATCACTGCTAGGCCAAGTCATCAAAATCTTATTGTTGAATTAGAATCTAGACTCAGACTCCAAGGAGACATGAATAATGTGTGTGCTGGTCTTTCCCTAACTAGTATTAATGAATCCCTGGGAATTCTCTCTCTCTCTCTCTCTCTCTCTCTCTCTCTCTCTGCATTTATCTCCGTGGTTGTTTCATCTGATTGTTGCTTGATTTTAATTCAATCTGGCACTTCTTCATGGAGCACTAAATTTCTTCTCAACGGCTATACATTAAACTGTGGTGAGCCCTGAAGGCTCTACCACCAACATGAGTTCAGCCTTTATTGCTTTGTGCAGTCCATCCATTCTTGGTTCAAGGGTGGCCTAGATACAGAGATACCAGTTCAGATACGCATAGGTAATGACACCAATTACAGGGCAGGATGTGTAAGATAAGCTCTTCCATTCTCTTCTGTACCATGCTGATGGACTCTGATACATCTTCCCTTCAATTATCAAGTAGGAGTTCATTCGCTGAAAGGTCTCATCAAAGTCCACGTGTCTTGGTGGTGGAGTTCTTTAATGCCACACTTTTCAACATCTTTAGGCTTAAAATCAGGAGAACCATCTGACATACAAAAACATCATCTGTTTTGAAACCTAAACGTTTCTATTATTGGAGCTCCTGAATTAAGCTACTGCTTAGAAGTGTGTGTTTGGTGATGTGTGTGTGTGTGTACAAGCTCTCTAACTTTGAAGGCCAAATATCGAATTCCAAAACACAAAAGAGAGAATTTCTTGGTGCATAGAGGGATATGACCACATGCAAAAACACAGTTTACAGAAACATGGAGTTTAACGTGTTCTACCACCCATTACTTACAAATCAGGAGTATCTTCTTTCAAGTACGTCATGAAGCAAAGGATGTATGGAAGTGGAGCTTCTTTCTTACACATCATTCTTGTTGGCTCTGAGGGAGTAGCCAGATTTCTAGAAATTTCTAGAAAAAGCCCGGGGAAAGAGCAAACCATCCAAACCATCCCCTGAGATTAGATAGAAGAAGGGAGACCATAGAGAGCTTCCAGTTTATGGTCCAGGCATAATAGCAACAATGTGCTGGCCTCATCTTCCCCATATGGCCCTTCATCTCTCAAGGACATTGAACAGGGTGTTCTATTTCCTTGCACTGGAAAGGAAAAAGGAGTCATAGATTTCTTTGCTGCAAAGCAATCTTCTAGAGAAAGCAATTATTCCCTCTGCATCAGTATTTTATCAGAATCAAGACTTTAATGGTAAAATAAAAGGAAATGAATCCTGTTTTCCCAATTGCTCAGCATGCATGTATTCCCAGTCTTTCTTTTTTCCCCTAATGACACCTAACTGGATTTTAAAATGTAGTTTTTCTAAGAAGGAACTTCATGTTTTCAGAATGCTTTCTCAAAAACAGGAGCTCTTCTAGTTACAACATAAATGATGCTATTAATTTCTGTTATATGTACATTATCTTATGTGGGTTTTGTTGTTACTGCTGTGGTTTCTTTCTCTTTTTTTAAGAGAATATCTACTGACCTAGCCATCTTCCGTCTCTACCATGTGGCATAAAGTTTCAAGACAGCAGGCTGAGTTCCATAGCCATAGAACACATAGAAACTCACAGCCAAGAAAGACAGGGATCAAGCTCACAACTGTGCTAAGAAATACTAAGATAACCATCTGCTTCCAGCTCTGTTAGACTACAAGGGGCATTTTGTTGATTAGCCTGCTAAATGCTTTTAAAGCATTGACTTTGTTTCCACAGGACAAAAGTAGTTAATCAAAGACTACATTAGTTAATGCAATTTTAACTGGAAAGATGTATACAAATAGATTTCGACATACATTGCCAGGATAGTGGAAACTGTCTCTTTTTCACTTTACTTGCAATTTTAATGTTTCTATTGAAATTATTTATTTCATTTAAAAAGTGGAAACTTAGAACCACCTGTATTACCCCCTCACATTGCACCCACATTGCTGAAGAAGCTATCTATCCTAGGACATTGGGTATTCATGTTATTTCCCCCATCGTGAACTAGTGAAAGGGAATGATTACAATTAAGCACAACTTAGATTTGAGAGAAAAAGTAATCTGTGTTCAGAAATCAATGTGGTTTTATTCATAGTTTTGAGTCAAATGCAGAGGTGAGCCAGTTCATTCCAACTCTGACATTCAAAGACCCACTGAAGAGCACTAAACAAAACCAAGCATGTTATTTTGACACATCTAACTACTGCCATTTATAAGTAACGACTCGAAATTCTGCTCTGCTTTACATAGCTTTTTAAAAACCTGTTCTAAATCTATTTGTACTGTGTATCAATTATATGGATAAAATAAGAGCCGAGAGGCTCTCCCTAAGAAAAATGTTGTTTTTGCTAGAAACTCTGCCCAGCTACCTTCTGAGTTCCTTGAAAATGAAAATCTCTGTGTCTCCCAGATGACAGCCACCTTGTCGGTGCAACCAAAATAGCTCTCGCAGCTGGAGAGCTGTCTATCAGCAATAGTTCTGACAGATATCAGATTTGGCATGCAGCAGGAAGGCTAGAAATGGTCCCACAGAAGGCGGTTTGGTGGGAGTATGACCAGCTAAGGAGCAAGGCAGGGGGAGCACTCAGAAAACAGTGCTCCTGTTTTCACAAGGAAAACTACAGGCATTTCGGGAAATGACAAATAGTCTTGAGGGAGAGGACAGCCAAAGAGATGGTTATTGACAAGTCTCTATTTCCACGATTAGTTCTATAGGATTTTTGAAAGGGCAATGATTAGATAGAGACAAGATGCAGGAAACTGGCCGGTTTCCGTTCGTGAAAGGAAGCAAATACACTTACATGCGTAGGATTTTTATCTCCTCTAGTGGTGGGGTGGGGCCTTTGAGGCGATAGCCTATTACTGAATAATACCGCTTCAGAAACAAAGATGAGCTTCCCTTATAGCGCGTTTTACCCGTAAGATTAGGATTTTCATTAAATGTGTTGCTCTCCCTTACAGTGGTTTTCAAAACATTCCCAATCTTCCATTTGATGGAGTGAATCGCCTTTTAAGGATGCTGATTACCAGCGATGAGGTAACAAGTGTCCCCCTCTCTTTTTAGCTAGAGATACAAGATTCCATTCTCCTCTGTTGTCCTAACAAAAGTGAAGCCATTTTGTGCTCAGAGGCAACTCTCCTGACCCCTAGTCTGGGCCAGAAAAACCTGAGGAGCTAAATAAGTAAAAGAAAGCTAGCTTACCTAGAGTAAAGGTGGAAAACATGGAAACTCAGAGGGAAGACTCTAGTAAAGGATCTAGAGAATCATCTGAACCTTAAATAAAGGGCAATAATTAGAGAGAAATTTTGGAACAAGTCTCCACCACTCCCTTCCAGTCCCTGTCATTTTTGTCATTTTCATCCTTGGTCAAATGACTGATACTTCTGGTGTGGCAATTTAGAACAGTGATAGTGGATGAAAAAGTAGAAAAGATGGAAAAAATAAATGATGACAATTTTAAGGACAGTAACTAAAGTTTCTTTCTTCCATATGGATATGCAATTGAAGTGTATTAAAGGAAAAGATCAAAGGTTACAGCCAACTAATCAATGGATTATTGATCAATAACTGAAAATCTATCAATGTGAAGTATACAAAATATGCAGCTTTTCCCCTTGCCCTGCTCTATACTCAGAATTAGGCATCACTGATGTCTACTTGATTTCTCCTCTTGAATGTCTCCAAGGCAACCAAACTCATATGTTTTCTTTGCAAACCTGTTCCTTTTCTGGTTTCCTTATCTCGGTGGATAACTTCATCAGCCAGTTGTGCAAACCAGAAATCCAGGAGTTATTTGTTTCTCCTAGCCTTCCACCATCATATCCAATCCATCAGAGTCCTTCAATTTTACTTCCTATATCTATCTCAAACAGATCCATTTCTCTTTGGCTCTGCCACCACCCTAACTCATCATCTCTCCCCTAAACAATTACTGCTCCAAAGGGCATCCACTCCATCCTTTGTCAAATGCATTCTCCACACTGCACTACTTTATTCAACAAATATTTTTAAGGAACCTACTTTGTACTGTAGTGAATAAGACAGACGAGGAATTTGTGGAAATAGAAGATAAACATCAGGCAGTCAAAAGCACTACGAGGACAATCAAAGTCGGGTGATGAAATAGAGAGTGGCTAAATGACTATTCTAGACTGTGTTCAAACACAAGAAATCGGTGGCAGTTTTAACAAGGGGTATTAGTTTTGACACAGGAAAATGAAGGAAGTCCGCTGGGACGATGGTATCTGCTCCTAGCATATAAGGAGTGTGTTTCTGATACTGGCCAATAATAAAAAGGAGGTTAAAATGTACATGAACATTCAATCTAGGGCTGTTTGTCTCCAATTACCTCTGCTTAAACATAGCACTTACTACCTATATGGAAGTATCTTATTTTTGTTAACTTCTGTATGTCTCCCTTCTTTAGAATGTAAGCTCCATGAACATGCGGGCCATAACTGTCTTGATCTCTGCAGTAACTACAGTGCCTAAGAGAACTGAGCCTGGCATTACGGTAGGCATGCAAATAAGTATTTGTTGCATTAACGCACAAATTGCTGAGTGAAGCAGGAGAGTAGACAGAGAATATAACGGATTGGGTTTGGGGGCTGAGGAAGTCTCTGCTGAGCTGTCAAGGTCATTTACTTCCCCTTGCAAGGTTAACTGGGTTATAAAATCCCGGCCACGCTTTAGCACCAAGCATCAAGCGCTCACACTCTAACTTATACACACGCTCACAGCCACAAACCTCTCCAACTCCCCGCTAGGAGGAGTCACACCTCCCCACCCAGAAACCCTCCCACCCTCTCCTCTATTTCTCCTTCCCTCCCCTCTCCGCGGGGTTCCGGCAGGCTTCGAATCACAATGCTCGCCGGGAATAGTAGTCTTCCGGTCCGAGCCTATGGCGTTTTTAATGCATTTCCAGAACTACGCTTCCCAGGGAGCCTCGCGGCATAGTGAGGCTGAGTCACCTGACCAAGACCCTGGAGTTACAATGGCGGCGCCCATGCTGCGCTGGGGCTGCCGTGGAAGACGTTGGGCTTTCGCCCGGGTTGACGGTGGTTCTTGCCACCGAAGAGGGGCTCCGACTGGGTCCACATCCAACCAGATTAGGGGAGAGAGCTCAGTGGCTCAGCAGCCCCTCCACACGGCCCAGAAGACGAGGAAAGGGTATTCTGTTTCATACATTTCTGCCCACCTAACTGTGAGGTGGAACTGCAGGACTGGGGAAATAATGGCAATTACGGCCCAGCTTCTAGACGTTTTGGCTGACGGGAGGGCGTTGAGTTATAACCTGGAGCCCCGAAACCTAAATAAAAGCACAAACAGACTTTCTATCAACTCCGCCCCCATATATAAACCACTGTTTTCAAATAGATGTAGTTGGGGAATTCGCGAGTGTAAAATAGCAAATATTTTCTTGAAGGGTGCACAGACAGAAGAGTGGATTCGGTCATCTTACTAATAGCACTAGCAGTGGGGACGGTGACACGAGAAGCGGGATCATATTTAGCTGATTTTATTTAGCGCTAGTATGGGCTGGCAGCGTTCTAAAGGTAGAAAGGGAGCCTTTACCTACAAGCTCTTGGTAGTGGTGGGTTATTGTCATTAGTCAGAAAACACTAGCTATCTGTGCAGGCGTTTTATGTTGGAATATGTGTGACTAGACCTAGGAGGACGCAGCCAAAAGAAGAGATACTCCCCCTGGTTATATGGAGAGTTTTGCTTATTTGGCCAGATATCCCCTGAACAGCTGTTTATGCTTCATTATGTAAGAATTAAATAGTTTCTCTTTAAATACAGAAACATATGGCAAGTTTCTAATATTTTGTTTATTCTTTGAGACTAGTTGGCATTATTTTTACTTTCAGTTGGAGGAACAGAGGGAAATTGTCCAGAAAGAAGTATTCAGTTTTGTATTCTTTTCGTGAATTAGATTGTTTCCTTGTGAATGGAAAGTACATTTTTTCTCTCATGTAATGGAAATGCAAAAATACTTTGAATGGTGCTTTACTGCATGCAGAATTTCTAATGAGTTCCTACTTTAATTCCCCTCCCTTATGGGCTGTGTTTCCAAACTTTAAAAAGAAGGACTTATTCTTGCAGTACTTCAGATATAGAACTTTATATGTTGAAATGATTGAAACAAAACAAAACGATGTAAAATATGTATATATATATATATGTATATACACAAAATTACTTGGGAGAAGAGCAGGATAGGAACATACATGGATTTCATAGGGAATAAGCACATTTATAAGGACCTGGAGAGGCCTATGTACAGACCCAACAGAGTAGGACTGACCAGATAAGAGAGATTATTATAGCATTTAACAGCTTCTTAGATTTGATAGCAAATAAGCATTAAAAAAGTAACCTGAAATTAGGTCTCAGGAATTGAAAGTGATTTGGGGGACCAAAAATATGCCGCATCAGATGGTTTAGTGTGGTGGAGTTTTGCAAAATTTTTTTAAGAGTATCATTTAGTGGTGATTTATTGTATCTGTGTCTCTCTGGTTATTATACATGCAAACCAAAACATGGTTGAGAATTTCCTTTTTAAATAAGAGACGTGGAACTATTTATCATTATTTCTCTAGTAGTAGAATGTTGCCATTTATGTTAATTCTAGATAATGTGGGAAAGATCAGCTTTCATCATTTACTGAGTGATTACTTGATAAGTTACAGTTAATTTGTTAAATGCCGCTTTTCACTGAAGTCAGCCAAGCAGTTGTCACCTGATACCCATTTCTAAATTGTTTTAAGACGCCAAATTGTTCCTTTCTCTATAGCCTTCATGTTTATATCATCAGCCTCCTGATGCCATGTTGTAAATGAATTTTAGTTTGCCAATCTCAGTGTAGGCGCTTATTCTAAATTGTTTTTTATTTAGTCACTGATAAAATATGACACATTTTTAATGTGAGGATATAACATTGTATTAAGTTTAAAACACATATAGGAAATTAACATTTGTGGTTTAGACTTATAGAAATTCATTCATGGTGACAAATATAATACATCTTAACCATTATCTCTTTCTTCTTAGTGAACACAAATGGGCTGCTGTGGTAGGTTTGGAAATTCATGCCCAGATTTCCTCCAACTCTAAACTCTTCTCTGGATCTCAAGTTCGCTTTTCAGCACCTCCAAATTCTTTGGTTTCTTTTTTTGATGCATCTCTACCTGGAACTTTGCCGGTAAGATTCTTATTTAATCCTATTTTCATTAGAAAAATGTTTATTTTATATTGAACATGGAAAATTATTTTCTTGTTTTAATAATAACACAACTCTTTGGAAATACTTATTTAGGGAGTTTTGGGTGAAGCGGGATATATTAAATGTTTTCTGAAGACCCATCTCTGTGATGCTGTTTCTAAGTCTGAATATATTCATACATGTATTCATCACTTCACAAACATTTTAGCATGTCTACTAATACCAGACATTGGGCTTTGAGCTGGGTCATAAAGATGATCCTTGCCTTTAAGGAGTTCAAAAACTAGTAGGGGAGATGTGTCTTATAAACAAACAGAGAACAGTGTGATTCCTTCTTTGAAGGTAATATGCAGAGGATGATTTCGAAACCCAGAGGAGGGACAACTAATTCAGTAAAAGAAAGGACTGTTGTGAGAAATTGAAGTAGGGGTACTTTAGGTTAAGGAAGGGTTACTGAAGAGGTGGTGGCCTGAGCTATTTGAGAAGCCCAATAAAATTTAGGCAGATAAATGAAGGAGGAGGAGGAGTCAACTCAAAGCAAGCAGTGTATATTACATGATTTTACAGTGTAAGGCCAGTAATGATTGTGGTTATTGCAAATTAAGAAACACTCAATAATGTAGAAAACAGCCATAATATGCAGTGAGTTAACTATTGTACTCACTTAACCACTCATTTTTACTTGATCCTATGGAATGACTGGGCCCAGTATACTCATCAGCAAGACTTTTGGCATATATTTTTATATAATTGGTTGAATTTTTAAGAAAAGTATGAAGGGAACAAGTAAATGTTTTAGCTAATAAATAGCATATGGTCTGTCCAGGACCTATAATATCAACTGTGTTTGGGGTTTCCTGCCATCTTTGGAGGAAATGTGTATCCATGGTGGTGACAAAGGTGGGGAGAGGCAGACATTGTCATGGGTAAATTCCATGCTCTCAAACATTTAAATAAGAGTGGAAGCTGGTTGAGGCCGGGCGCGGTGGCTCACGCCTGTAATCCCAGCACTTTGGAAGGCCAAGGTGGGCGAATCACAAGGTCAGGAGATCGAGACCATCCTGGCTAACACGGTGAAACCCCATCTCTACTAATAGTAAACTGCAAAAAATTAGCCGGGCATGGTGGTGGGCTCCTGTAGTCCCAGTTACTGGGGAGGCTGAGGCAGGAGAATGGCGTGAACCTGGGAGGCAGAGCTTGCAGTGAGCTGAGATCGCGCCACTGCACTCCAGCCTGGGCGACAGAGCGAGACTCCATCTCAAAAAAAAAAAAAAAAAAAAAAATCTGGAAGCTGGTTGAACTGAGCACTGGCAGGCTTGCAGAGGTATACTTTTCTCAGTCACTGACCAAAGTGGAAGATTCTGGGCAGTGCCTCCAGTATGCCTGCCTCACTCAGCTTTGGTTGTATTGGGGCAGCATCTTTGTCTTGGAACTTTTCTCTTATCGCATTTTCTGTCATGGAGGACTCCCTTCCCTGCAGACCATATCAAGGATCACCTTTGATTTGCTGCTGGGTCCCTCTGGGAGAAGATAGATGTGGAGGTGTGCCCTCTTTCTCTCTCTCTGACTTAGAGATCTATCTATGGAAAGATTTTTTGTTTATTTGAGAAGAGTGAATATTTTGGTTATAAATATATGACATCTTTTTTGGGCAGAGATTCAGATATAGTAGAGATACAATAATATTTATTGTAAAATGGAAGGCAAGTTGTCATAACACCTCTACATTTTCCCTTCCAGATTCAAAACATTTTTTTCCCATGTTGTAGTTAATTATCAAGAGATTAGGCATAAGCTCTGAGTTCATCCTAGGTTTTTCCAGCTGTGAATGTGATGGCTATCAGGCCATACTTATTACAGTTCACTTTAGAAACAGGTCCATTTGCAGATAAGCATGTTTTCTGTATATAGACTCTCCAGCTGTACCTAAATTTGGTCAAAAATTAGACCAAATTAGAAAAATTCAAAATAATTAAAATGCCAACATTTTAATTGCTTTGTAAAACTTGTCATGCACCAAAAAAGAAGGTGCTTGTTCACTGATAAGCATATCAATAACACAGTGAAGGTGTTTGGGACATTTGAGTGTTGAGAGCTTGGCTTACATTAATTAAATGGCAGACAAAGTCTGGAAATACAGTTTTGTATGAGCTAGGATTTGTTTTCCTCTTCAGAGCCTACAACGCTTATGGTTTAAGTAGCCTAGATGGGTTATTCTGTAGACAGAGGAGATCTACCTCTTCTTCAGAAATGTTTCTGCCTTTAAGGGACCTCATTTTGTACGTGAGCAACATTATACCCAAACTCCCAGAATTAAGCATTGCCATTCAAAACATTTCAAAATCTTTTGATTTACCTCTAAATAGATTTAAAATACACTAAAACCTTTAGACAGTTGTCCTTCCCCTAAGCCCTATGGAGATGTATAAACATGCTCTGATAGCCAGACTCTGCTTATAACTCCATTCATAAGAAACCAATAATTTGAGAATATGTTTGTGCTTCCGAGGATTTTAGTAGAACATTATGTTATTGTTTTGGTCAAGTAAACCAAAGTGTAAGTGTGATTCATGATGATACTTGAAACTCTTTCTGCGCAGGGCTTATATTGCTCCCTTCTCTCCTGCTTCTTCCCCGCCCTCTACCTGGCTGATTGTGCCTTCTCACATGGCTGTGTTCTGCCACTCAGCCCTGAAATGTTGGTTTCCCATGCCCTATTCTTTGGCTCTCAATTCTTCTGTTACCTGTGTTCCCCTGAGTAATCTTTTTACCCTCAAATAAAGCTCCCCTCTCTCTTTTAGGCAAGAAACCTATATCTATTGTGTCCTACTATATATTTCCATCTGAATGATTCATAAACATCTTAAATTCAGCAGTTACAGTGTTAAGCCTGTTATCTTTTCTCCCCAAAGTTTCACTGCCTCCTGACGAAAGAATAAACCAACAAGGGAAAATATATGTAAGAAGAAGCAAAAATCAGTGGGAAAAGGATAAGTTATTTAACTGATGGTTTTGGAATTGGTTAGCTATTTGGAGAAAAAGTATCGCTCATTTCACACATCAAAACAAAGTTCATATATATATAATATAAGTTAAATGTCAAATTAAATCCAGAAATATCTAGGAGAATATTTGTTTGTCCTTGGGTTGGGGAGAAACTTTGTAGGCATAAAAGCAAGAAAAAACAGCTAATTAGGCAAAATGGCAATTTGACTACTTTATTCGCCCAACATGTTTATTGACGTAGTAATTCTTTTAGGAATCTGTCCTTGGAAAATAAACATGTGGGCAAAGACTTATATGCAGAGATGTCTATAGCAGATCTATTTTTAAAGGTAGAAAATTGGAAGTAACCACAGTTTCTCAGTGATGGGGGAATCATTGAGTAAATTATAATACATCAGTACAGTACAACATTATGAAGCCACTGATAATGTTTATAATAGACTTTTAGTGACATAGGACAATGCTAAAGATAAAAATTCTAGTGAGATGAATAGAATTTTCATGTAGATTACTTAATCTTCTTTGCATCAGTTTCTTATAAAATGGAGATAATTGACTCATTGGATTTGTGTGAGAATTAAATGAATCAGTACCTTTAAAACACTTAAAACAGTAATTGCATGTAGTAAGTGCTCTTATTAATTAACAGATAATTAACAAGTAATAACAGGTAATTAATTAAAAAGCTCTTAATAATAGGTAAGGTAAATCTTACCTGCTAGCATACCCATAATGATTGGTGGCTTTTATCTTTACAAAGGCTCTCCTGAGTTATTGTGCACAGTTACGTTGCCAGTGAGAGCAAAAGTAAATGCTACACATAACAATTGGTCACTTAACCTTGATTTCACCAGTTAAGTGATCTGCCAACAAAAACTAACCTGGGTATCTCATCACCTCAGAGATGTATAGAGAATTAAGTAAATAATGAAAACCAGTAAAAACTAGTATATGGATAAAATTATTTCTGAATTAGAAATCATTACTTTTATTGCGAAAAAGAAGGCTTATGAGCTTTTTTTTTTCCATCTGTAGTTATTTGGAGTGTTTCTTTGGTTCAACATGGTATTGGCTCTTGATTTAGTAAAAAATTAGGATTGTCACTTAAAACAATTGTTATAATGTATAGTCTTTCTGTAGACATTTCATTCTTCTTCTCTGTCGGTTGTGTCTTCATTCACTCAGCTGGCATATATTGGATGCCCACGTTATGCTAGCCCTTGTGTAGCTCTAGTGACACAGTTTTGAACTTGGTAGACGATAGATATGGGTGTTGCCCACATGGAGCATGAACAAGCAAGCAGGCAGTTGCACTACCTTTTAATAAACATGTTAGTCGTGGAAATACAAGGTGCTTGAGGAGCACATAGGAAGAGTATTCAACACAGATATAAGGAATTGATGAAATTGGCCAAGTAGAAAGTGAATAGGATGTACAAAGACCAGAAGAAAAACAACGTGGCTTGCTCTAGAAACTGAAACGTTTTCCATGTGTTGTAGCATAGAATTTGAATATGGGCATTGCAAGAGGTGAGGCTAGAGCAGAAAGCATAGCCTGTACCATATAAGCCCTGATAAAGGGTGTGGATCCCATTTGCAAAGAGGTAAGAAGACGTAAGGAGAGTGCAGGGCCAGAAACTCCAAGGAAGTGAGTGTTTTGAGAAGGAGGGAGTACAAGAACATTGGATGCTACTGAGAGGTCAAGTAAAGTGAGGACTAGGAAGTGCCCATTGGATTTATTAAGAAGGGTATCCTTTGCAAGAACAGTTTGAGTGGGGTGATGGAAACAGAAGGTAGGTGGCAGTGGATTGAGAAATGTCATGGCATGGAGGAAGAAGTGAGTGTGGGCAACTGTTTCAAAAAGTTTTACTATGAAGGACAACAGAATGCAGCAAGTGAAAGGAGACATAGAATCAAGAGAAAACATTTATTGGTCATGTCTTTCTTAATATTGGAGAGACTTGGGAATGTTTAAATGCTGATGAGTTATGTAGTCTATGATAGTGTACACTTAAAATGTGTTTAAGAGGATAGATCTCATGTTAAGTGTTCTTACTGCAATAAAACAAAATTTTTTAAAAATGCTGATGAGAAGGAGCCAATGAAGAAGGGGTAAAGACAGGAGAGGCTTTTGATTAATATGATCAACTGAACACATGCATTTTAATCCATCCTCTCTGTAACCCAGAGAAACCCCACTGAAATCATAGTGAAAGAATGCAAATGTGATAAGCCTACAAAAGAATGGGAGAGGAGACAAGAGTGTGTGAGAGAGAGATGGTAGGTGGAGGAGGGCCTCACTTTGCAGAGGATGCACTGTGACCTAAGTGCCTGCAGGAAGGGACACTAGCGAGAACTGAGATGATGTGTCCTACACAACCTTAAAAACGCTCAGGATGTGGGGGCGTCAAGTATTGTGGAAGGCTGGCTGAGGTGAAAACAAAGGGGTTGAGTCAGAGTCTGAGTACAGTGCAGTGAGATCTGAGCTTCTCTACCTGACCCTCTGCAGCTGCCCTACCCCCATAGGAATGTATAGTCTTTGGAGAAATTCAGCTCATGACACACTTTCCCTGAGGCCACCAGTCAGAGCAAAAGGCGGTATCAGACAGCATCTGTAGTGAACTCCAGGACCTACCCAGTTCTTTTCCCTGCCCCAGTGCGGGAACTTAGGTGGCCTGGTATGTCCATCTTTCCTCTTCCCCTCCTCCCCCAAGCAAGAATCTGCAGGAGCTTCTTTGAAGATTGTGTGACCCTAGTGGGAAGAACATGAGATATTGACATGGTGGGATGTCTCTCAATTTAAAAAAATCTGTCTGGCCACCTGATTGCTTTACAGTGAAGGCCACTGATGAATAAGCCCTGGGCATTTACATAGGACTTTTAATTGGCATTTTAGTATCTTACTTTAAAATATAGATTGAGAGCCAAAAATCACCAGGCACTTGAGGAGATTCTCCAACATGATAGACAAAGCTCAAAATAAAAAAGAAAACTAAAGGAAATAGGAGGCTATAGATAATGCACAGGGTAAAAGAATACTTAAAAAATTAATAGCTTTTATAAATGTCCTCAGAGAGATAAGGGAAGGTAGCTGCCTCTTTGAAACAAGAACACAATACTGCTTTTAAAAAATGAACAAACAGGATAAAAACGAGCTCTTAGAAATTAAAATTATGGTGCCTCTCCTTCCCCTGGGAAAGTTAGAAAATAATGTCAAGAAAATCTTCCAGAGATCAAAACCAATGTGCAGTGCATTGGACAATAGAAGAAAAAAATAAGCAAATTAGAGAATCAGTCCAGGAAGTTCAGCATCTGATTAATAAGAGACTCGTGAAAAAATAGAAAACAGAGTCAAGGAAACTCTCAAACAAAACACGTGGATTAATTTCCCAGAATTGAAGGACATATATCTCTAAATGGAAAGGGCCTGCCAACTACCCAGCCTGAGGAATAAAAATAGTCTAACATGAAGGCATGTCAAGAAACTTAATAACACTGAGAATAAAGTTAAGGTCCTAAAGCTTACAGAGAAGAAAAAAATAATCAGGTCCACATACAAAGGATTGGGAGTCAGACATCAGACTTTTCAACAGCAGCACTTATACCTGTAAGAGAATGGAACCATGCCTTAAACATTCTTAGGGGAAAAAAAATTATAATTCTAACCTAGAATTCGGTACCCAACAGTGTCAATCAGATGTGACAGTAGAAGAATGGTATTTTCAGACAGACTCTCAAAAAGTTTGCCTTTCATTACCCCAGGAACCTGCTGGAATAATAGAGAAGTTTCAGGTTGCCAGCTCTACCATGAGACCGTTGGAAGAGGAGGAAGGTGGCTCCAGAATAAAGAATTCTAGGAAAAAATGAGAGTAGGGAATTAACAGGTATCTGATTTGTGTGGAAAAAAGATTTCCATATAATCTAGCCTTTAGAGGAATGAGCAATAGGTACATAAAAAATGAAGCACATGAAAACAATGAAGGGCTTAGCAAGTCTAGGAAAAACAAAATGTTCAAGAAAGGAAATGTAATCATAGTGTTTTATTAGCTTAGGAGAGAAACATGTAAATAATAATAGAAGCACCAGCTACTGATTTAATAAAAACTGTGATATAACTTGGATATTGGGAAAAGAACTAAATTCTTACCTACCATAATTGGAAGTCATGTTCTAAATTGGTAAAGCAAGAAAAAAGTAACCTAAGTATAGGCTGTAGGAACATTTTTGGCCACTGATTGGAGGCCTCTTTCTCCTTTTCAGGCCTTAAGCCAGTAGATGGGTTTTATTTTGTTGTGTTTTTCTTTGGCGGTGAGGTGGGATGTGGGATTGTATTTGTGTTTTGTTTTGTTTTTTAATTAGGTGATGGGTAAATGATTTGGAGCTCCCAAGAAACAGACTAGTAGTCAAAAGCATTTTTAAAAACAAGATTTATTTTTATTTTATATACAAGATAACGTTAGGTAATAATCAAACATTACCTGTACTGGTTTCTCAGCCTTCTGCTGGTGAAGTGCTTTTCATTTTGTTTTGTTTTTTGTTCTCAAAGTCCAAATAATGAGTCCCCTACCACACCCCTGTTCTCACAACTCTTACCCTTACCCTGATTTTAGGAGAAATAGACTCATCCACATTCTAGATCCATCCATACTCAAGCTCATGCATGTAATGGCTCTGTCTGCTTCCCTGGGGGAGACATGACCTACCATCCTTTTTTCTAACTGACTTTATGGACTTTTATGTTACCCAACTTCTCATGGCAGGGCTTTTAGGGAGTGGGTATATTTTATTTTTGGATAGAAATATAATTTAGCAGCTAGGCACAGTGGCTCGTGCCTGTAATCCCAGCACTTTGGAAGGCTGAGGTGGTTGGATGGCTTGAGCCCAGGAGTTGGAGACCAGCCTGGGCAACATGGTGAAACCCTGTCTCTACAAAAAAAAAAAATACAAAAATAAGTCGGGCATGGTGGTGTATGCCTGTAGTCCGCTGCTTGTGGGGTTGAGGTGGGAGGATCACTTGAGCTTGGGAGGTGTACCACGGCACTCCAGTCTGAGTGACAGAGTGAGACCCTGTTTCAAAAAAGAAAAGAAAAGAAAAAAATATAATGTAGCAGCAAGCTTGGGTAATTCTTTGATAAAGTAAGATATAAAAATATTGCAAAATGTCTCATATTGTTATTCTCTTATCTTGTAACTTATCTCAGTTATCTCTCAGAAATGGAATGGGCCAAGTCTTAGGAGTCCACGTTCTTAAAACAAGTACACTGTATCATTGTGACAGTTTATCAAATCTATCTTTTTTCCAGATTAAGGAAGGATTGTCACATAGCAAATGGCCAGGAGCCTTGGCCAACAGGTGATGGATTTTCCAAAGGTCCCCTGGCACAGCATATTATTTAAAAATAGGAAGATAAATACCAAACGAGACAGCTCAAAGATCTGAAGGTGGTTGCTGCCAGGAACAGGACGGGACCTAGGAAGGGGTGGGGCGGGGAACTGCTGCTTTTCATGATCAGTTATTTAAAAATACATGTCTGTGATATTTTGTTTAAAAAACTTAAGTTAGGGGCTGGGCGTGGTGGCTCACGCCTATAATCCCAGCACTTTGGGAGACCGAGGTGGGCGGATCACGAGGTCAGGAGATTGAGACCATCCTGGCTAACACGGTGAAACCCTGTCTCTACTAAAAGTACAAAAAATTAGCTGGGTGTGGTGGCGGACGTCTGTAGTCCCAGCTACTCGGGAGGCTGAGGCAGGAGAATGGTGTGAACCCGGGAGGCAGAGCTTGCAGTGAGCCGAGATAGCGCCACTGCACTCCAGCCTGGCATGAGAGCCAGACTCTGTCTCAAAAAAAAACAAAACACAAAAAACTGAGGTTTAAAGGAATAAAGATATAAGGGGGAGGGAATTGTTGATAGAATAAGGTTCCTAAGAAAGCAGACAATGTCTCCAGAGCTGTGGAGAAAGAGCCCTCTCCTACTGTAACCCGAGGGGAAGATGTGTCCCTCTGCTCCCAGGTGTGAGGAAGTTTTGAGGTTTGGTTGTCAAAGGTTGAGGAAACACCTCTCTGATTTTTTTCTTTTTTCTTTTTGTTTTATTATATATATATAATTATACTTGAAGTTCTAGGGTACGTGTGCACAACGTGCAGGTTTGTTACATATGTATACATGTGCCATGTTGGTGTATTTACATTAGGTACATCTCCTAATGCTATCCCTCCCCCACCCCCACCCCACAACAGGCCCTGGTGTGTGATGTTCCCCTTCCTGTGTCCAAGTGTTCTTATTGTTCAGTTCTCACCTATGAGTGAGAACATGTGGTGTTTGGTTTTCTGTCCTTGCGATAGTTTGCTGAGAATGATGGTTTCCAGCTTCATCCATGTCCCTACAAAGGACATGAACTTATCATTTTTTATGGCTGCATAGTATTCCATGGTGTATATGTGCCACATTTTCTTAATCCAGTCTATCACTGTTGGGCATTTGGGTTGGTTCCAAGTCTTTGCTATTGTGAATAGTGCCGCAATAAACATACGTGTGCATGTGTCTTTATAGCAGCATGATTTATAATCCTTTGGGTATATACCCAGTAATGGGACTGCTGGGTCAAATGGTATTTCTAGTTCTAGATCCCTGAGGAATCGCCACACTTGTCTTCCACAATGGTTGAACTAGTTTACAGTCCTACCAACAGTGTAAAAGTGTTCCTATTTCTCCACATCCTCTCCAGCACCTGTTGTTTCCTGACTTTTTAATGATCGCCATTCTAACTGGTGTGAGATGATATCTCACTGTGGTTTTGATTTGCATTTCTCTGATGGCCAGTGATGATGAGCATTTTTTCATGTGTCTGTTGGCTGCATAAATGTCTTCTTTTGAGAAGTGTCTATTCATATCCTTCGCCCACCTTTTGATGGGGTTGTTTTTTTCTTGTAAATTTGTTTGAGTTCTTTGTAGATTCTGGATATTAGCCCTTTGTCAGATGGGTAGATTGCAAATATTTTCTCCCATTCTGTAGGTTGCCTGTTCACTCCGATGGTAGTTTCTTTTGCTGTACAGAAGCTCTTTAGTTTAATTAGATCCCATTTGTCAATTTTGGCTTTTGTTGCCATTGCTTTTGGTGTTTTAGACATGAAGTCCTTGCCCATGCCTATGTCCTGAATGGTATTGCCTAGGTTTTCTTCTAGGGTTTTTATGGTTTTAGGTCTAACATTTAAGTCTTTAATCCATCTTGAATTAATTTTTGTATAAGGTGTAAAGAAGGGATCCAGTTTCAGCTTTCTACATATGGCTAGCCAGTTTTCCCAGCACCATTTGTTAAATAGGGAATCCTTTCCCGATTTCTTGTTTTTGTCAGTTTTGTCAAAGATCAGATAGTTGTAGATGTGGTATTATTTCTGAGGGCTCTGTTCTGTTCCATTGGTCTATATCTCTGTTTTGGTACCAGTACCATGCTGTTCTGGTTACTGTAGCCTTGTAGTATAGTTTGAAGTCAGGTAGTGTGATGCCTCTAGCTTTGTTCTTTTGGCTTAGGATTGACTTGGCAATGCGGGCTCTTTTTTGGTTCCATATGAACTTTAAAGTAGTTTTTTCCAGTTCTATGAAGAAAGTCATTAGTAGCTTGATGGGGATGGCATTGAATCTATAAATTACCTTGGGCAGTATGGCCATTTTCACAATATTGATTCTTCCTATCCATGAGCATGGAATGTTCTTCCATTTGTTTATGTCCTCTTTTATTTCATTGAGCAGTGATTTGTAGTTCTCCTTGAAGAGGTCCTTCACATCCCTTGATTTTTTTCATTTTGTAGCAGATATTGCTTCTTACATCTCACTCTGCTTTTGGGCACCGTTTTCTTCCTGTGTTGGTGGCTCTTGCTTTCCAGGTCTGTGGGTGATGAACTCTCTTAGTCTGTATGTGCCTCCAGCTGTTTCTGTTTCCCCCTCACTCTGGAATAGTAGTATAGAATTCCAACTTGACATTTATTTCCCGTTGGCACTTGAAGACATTTTTCCATTGTCCTTAGGCATCTGTAATTGCTGATGAGAAGTCTGCATCCCTTGTCAGTAATCTGTTGTGTCACTCTGATAGCTTTAGCCAGGATGTGTCCATATGTGAATTTGTTTTTATTTATTCTGCTCAGTGTGATTTTTAACTTAAGTACTGTACCCTGGACTATGGAGGTATCTCTATGGAATGAATTCCTGGTGGCCTCTGCCAGGGCCCATTGGGTTTTATTGAATGAACCGGTTTGTATGTTAATTTCTTGGCCCCCTAACTGCCACACAGCTTAGATAGTGCCAGCGTCAAGCTGCACACATCCAAGCCAGGCACAGGGTCAAGGGCTCAGATTTCTCAAGACTCTTTTTCACCTATGGCCTGAAGTAGCTGGCCTCCTCCACAGCAACCCCTCCAGTTGGTGGCAAAAGGTTTTCTAACTGGACTAGAATTTTTTGGCTCACAGCTTTATGCAGGAAGCCATCCCAGCTCCCTATCACATGGGCTCATGGCCTTGACTTCTGCCCCCAAGGTGCTTTAAAGCATTGACATCTGATGTCTCATCAGCCCAGTTAACAATAATAATGGTAGTAAAATCAACTACCATGTACCAAGTGCTTACCATGTGGCAGGCACTGTTCTAGGTGCTTTATATGTATTCACTTATTCTAACCTCATAACAACCCTACCTGCCGCAGTTGCTGTCCTTATCACAGTTAGAAAGTGAGTAGAAAATGTGTTGTCCTGTCTCTTGTGGTTACCCCTGGTGTCACATGGCTTTAAACTACCATTACTTCTGCGGCCCCAGGGGATTTTCTTGCTTGCTTTGAGCTTGGCTCTGGGCATGTACACATCTGTGTATTTGTAAATTTATATGTATATATAAATGTATGTGTGTATAAATAGAATACTTCATTTCTGCCTCCTGCCTCCATCTCCCTGTTCCCCAGCATGTCTGGAGCACACCTGCTGTCTTGACCAACCCCCTCCCCGTTCTGATTAGTAACCCTTATTCTGAATGTTTTTTAGGATCTTTTTATTTTCTTATTTTCCCTCAGTTTTAGGATTTTATGGAAGCCCATCATAAATCTTGAGGATGAAAAGGTCAGCCAGCCCATTTCACTGCTTATAGGCAGGATTACAGCTACACTAAGGACAGCATTCTTTGTTTTTATTAGTAGGGATTCAGCTTCACTCATTATTTGGACCTAGTAAAATCTCTTTACTGTGGTGCCAAGTCTTCCTTAATTTATTAAGTAATTATTCACCTATAGATCTATAGACAGGATCTTAGGTTGTTTGCTTAAAGTTAGTTATTTCCTATTTAACAATACCATTCCAATTTTTCTACTTGTAATACTTTGTATATGGTTGTGAAATGGGAAGAAAAATAAGAAAGAAAATATATTTGTTTGGTAAAATGTCATGGGCTTTACAAGTCTGTTTCATAATTGGCCAAGTAATATTTCCAGTAATGGTGAGATTTCAGCAAAGAATCAAGTTTGTTTGAAATTTATGCATGTGCAAACCCATGTTTACACATACACACACACTCACTTTTTGTCATCGGAAATGCTTGCCCTCTCCTGGTGTCAGTTCCCACGCAGGGGAAAGGGGAGAGGACACCGTTGCCTCTGCCGTAGCTGGCTGGTAGGAATGCTCAGTGTGGCACAGTAGATAACTCCTGATAATCAGGCTGCACTACAATTCATTTAATAAGAAATGAGAAGCTCTGCTCTTGTTTTGCTTGTCTGAAAGCTCTTATCTGTATGTAACATAGAACTCCCTAGCAACTGTGAATGCCTCTTGTCTCCAGAACTGGGGAAAAGACCATAAAAGCTGTTTTTCACACATGTATGCAAGAATATTCTCCTCTTTTCTCAGGATCAGCCTGTTTAAAAAAGCATTCAGGGCTTTCCATATCAAAGGTATTTAGAATTGGCCCTGGAAGCTATGGAATGAAAACAGGAATGTTGTTTACTACATTTTACAAAACTTTCTTTTATTCACAAGAGTGCATACTATTATTAGCCAGAATAAGGGGAATGAAGAGGGGAAGAAATATGATGTGAATAAATATGATGTGATGCCTGCCCTCTGGGAACTAACAAACAATGCAAATGCTGTGCTTTCTGCTAGAGATTCCTTCTGGAACATATGTATGCACATTGCAGCAGAAGGGGTCTTGCCTCCCTGAAGAAATAGTGATGTGAACGCTTTTCTAAAGTACTTTGGAATTAATTTATTTTTTAGATTCCTTATGACAGATTTCGTTCAAGCTAGGTAAATCTGCAGCATTCCGACTCTGAACATAGAAGATATTGGTGATAACTTTTGTTTTGAAGAACCTGCTAGATTTAGAAACCCTTGACTAGTCTAGGGAGCATCAGGCTTTCTGAAATGCTTTTCTGGCTCTTAATTCTAAACATAATTATAAAAGTTGTTTTTAACTCAAAATGTAGAAATGAAACAGAAATTGAAGATAGCATCATTAGGGAAAAGTCTTTAAATACGTACATTTATAATCAGATCTACATTTATCTCTCCGTCCATTCACACTTAGATGATGTTTAGCTATTTAAGAAGACAAAATGTGACCATTTTCTATGAAATTTCTTTCCATTTCAATGATTTGCTTTAATGTAATCTGAAAGATTTATAATTATGTTGTATACTCAGACTTGCTTCTTGCCAGTCACTCTGCAAATCACTTCTATAGTTATCCTCCATGCTTTTGAGAGTGAGGTGTTGCAGGGATTAGGTGTTTTGTATAGTGACCCTTGTCACCCTAAAGGAGGTATGTGTCTGTGAGCTCATACCCACAAATGTGGAATGTTCCTTTTCAGCTTTTACTCTGCTGATGGTCTAAACCTGCCTTATAACTTAGTTAACCGGATGTCTCCCATGAACTCAGTGACTCATGACAATGATGACTTTCATGTTCAGGAGGCAGCATGATCTCACCTCCCTCCCTGTGGGAAGCATTTGACTCCTTCCCTGCCATAGATCTTTTTCTAACTTTCAGTGGGTTCTTGAAAGCCTCTCTCTTCACAGCAATTTTCACTTCCCTACCTCTCTACCAGCTTTGCATGCAATATTCCCCACCTGAAACCTAACCATATTAATAATAATGCTTCTACTATTTTTATTTTTATTTTTTTTAGAGACAGGGCCCCACCATGTTGCTCAGGCTAGTTTCTAACTCCTGGGTTCAAGGAGTCCTCCTGCCTCCACCTCGCAAAGTGGGATTATAGGCATGAGCCACCATGCCTGGCCTCTACTTTCTATCAATATGTATTTGTTTCATACAGTTGACTGAACATCTTTTTATGTTTTATGTATGTTGTTTATAAGGATTTCTGTGTTTGATTATACGCTTCTAAAGAGCAATTCATGGATCTTTCTTGGGCTACTTGACAGTACCTTGCATAGAACATGTGTATAGCACCCCTTGTAAATATTTCCCTATATACTTGCATACACGTACATACACGTGCGTACACACACGAGGCATCCATATAAAAGGATTTTCCTGTCTAAAACCCTTTAGCTATTTTTTAAACTTCTTTATGGGTCTCTTGTCCTGGCTGAACATAAGACAACCTTTTCTTGATTACCCAAGCTTATCAGCAACATCAGTTATTGCTCAGTGTTATAATGGTGGCTTCAAGGTCTATTGAGGTGTGTAAAGCTTTTTGATCCTACAGTAAATGGCTAAAGATAGCCATTGTTTTTAGGTTTCATATTACAGTGTTTTTCCCTGCTTTTATGGTTATGTGTTCCTCACTGGGTTTTTAAAGCTGCTGTCAGTATATTTGGCTCTAGGAATCCCTTCTTGCTCATTTTTCACTTCTCAATGATTATTTCTGATTAGTTCACAAAGTCAGATTATCACTTTTGTAAATATAAATAAGAACAAAGCTCTGAGTAGAAACCTGTCCTACAAAAGAAAGTACATGGATGCTATGAAAGCTATTTAGCATCACCATGTGACAATAGAATAGGAAGAGGTCCTGAAAATCATTCAGTTCAGTCCTTTTAATTTACAGATGAGAGAACTGCTGTTGGGACTTACCCATGGTCACACAATTTCTTAACATTCCATTCAGATTAGAACCAAAGTTTCTCACTTCCAGTTCAGTGATTAGCTCTCAACCTGTTCCACTATAGTTGAAGTTGCTGGAAGTCAGATTTATGTAGGTGGCTATTATTTTACAGATATGTATATATGAGTATACATCCAAAAACATTAATCTCATTAACAGATGTGTGTGTAATATGTTTATAGATGTATGTCCACATGCTTATACACATACAGAGGCACTGACTACACAGCACTGATGCTGGTTGTATGCACCATGTGTTATGATGCCCTCTAGGTGTGAGATCTAAACCTAGGGAGAGAGCAAAGACAAGAATGTTGAGTCAGAAGAAGAAATGGATAAAGGAAATCTCACCTAATTAGCCTCCAATTCAGGGCCCTGTGCATCGGATTTCCCCAGACTCACCATGAAGAAAGCAGGCCTGTCTATGGGCAGCTCTTAGCTGTATGTTGATCACGATGCAAATAGCGGTCATGGGAAAATTCTTTTAGGATCTTTTCTCTAGGCTTCATTCTGGCCAGTTTTCTCTACACTGACTTCTAGTTCACTAATTTTCTTTATAATATTCACTCTTTTACATATCCATTGAGGTTTTTAGTTCACTAGATCTTTCAATTACAGAAATTCTGTTTTTCTCTTTTAAATTTCTCTAGCCTTTTGAAAATAACTTGTTCCTTTTTCATGTATTCAGTTCTTTATTTCTTTCATAATTTTACAGCTACTTATTTTATAGTCTGTATTCAGTAATTCCATTACCTGAAGTTCTTGGGTGATCTTATTATGCTTTTTGCTTGACTGCTGATTCTGGCTGGCAGTAGATGATTCTCTGGTGTATTTTGTAATTTTTTTATTATGAAGCCATATCTGACAGGGCTTTATTTGTGGGATCTTGTTGAGAGTGCATCTCTTTAAAGCACTTTTGCATTGGCTTTTGCCTGATGCTCCAGGTCTAAGCCAGGGCCATTTTCCATATTTACCTCTTAGCTTGGGGGCTTCTGGACCACAGAGTTAGTACATCTGACCCCAAGCCTGTCTGAGAGCAGACTATCAATTCTTAGGGCAGACTCCCATACCCCCTGTCCCATTGCCACCCACCAAAATCTATAATCTGGCTGAAACTTTATTAAGGTTGAAACCTTATAGAAGGGAGGGGATGAAACAAAGGCTGTGAATATGGGTGACTCAGAATGGAGCAGGGAAGGCACCTTTAACCTTTCTCTGGCCCCCTTGCCCTGTCCCATTAAGATATCCCTCCCAGCCGGGTGCGGTGGCTCACGCCTGTAATCCCAGCACTTTGGGAGGCCAAGGCAGGCGGATCACGAGGTCAGGAGATCGAGACCATCCTGGTTAACACGGTGAAATGCCGTCTCTACTAAAAATACAAGAAATTAGCCGGGTGCGATGGCGGGCGCCTGTAGTCCCAGCTACTCAGGAGGCTGAGGCAGAAGAATGGCATGGACCGGGGATGCAGAGCTTGCAGTGAGCCGAGATAGCGCCACTGCACTCCGGCCTGGGCGAAAGAGCAAGACTCCGTCTCAAAAAAAAAAAAAAAACCATATCCCTCCCTTCCCATTGTAATTCTTCTGTGTTGTTGTGTATGTATTGCAGTTCACACTAGTTAGGGCCAAGGTTGGTGCACATCCCAGTACCTTTTATCTGTCCTCTCATCACAGACACAGATCAGGTGACTGAGCTCTTTCCAAATTCCCGCTAGATGTGCAAGGATGCACTCTCTCACTTATTGCCTTTAAAGATGATCATTTTCCCAAAAAAAGCTTCATCCTTAATAAAATGATTCCCTTAACCTTTGTGTAGAAATGATGATGCCATCTCACTCCTCCTAAAGAACAACAAAAAGCAATATGATGGTGTTGACAGGAGCAGCTGGCTCTAGTGGGAGAAATCAATGAGGAAATTGAGAGTTCGCTTTCCTCTCCACCTGAGCCTTGGCGAACCTGAGGGACCTCGTCTGGCCTCCCCCTGGGTGAATCTTCTGGGTCTGCAGAGCATCTCCCTGACTCAGCAGTGTTTCTTAGGAGCTTGATGTTCCTTTCCTAGTAATGGAAGTCTCCAGGCAGCTTGCTCATCTCCCCACAAATTCATTCCTGAGCAAGAAACTGCCAGTATTGTTTGGGAAAGCCTTTTCTCCCATTTCCACATCCTTTTATTGGTTTGTTTTCCCTCAAAAATATGCACATGGATGAGATATGGAGCAAAATAATAAGCCCTTATTAGAGAAGGCAGTGTTATACTTAGAATTATTAACTGTTCAAAATGAATTTTGTACACTACTGCAACCAAAAATCTGTAATACAATAGTACTCCCTTATCTGTAGTTTCCCTTTGTGTAGTTTCAGTTACCCTCAGTACAGGAGAATAAGATATTTTGAGAGAGACCACATTCATATAACTTTGATTACAGTATATTGTTCTTTTTTATTATTGTTGTTAATCTCTTGCTGTGCATAATTTATAAATTAAACTTCATCATACATACCTATGGATAGGAAAAAAAATAGTCTATATCGGACTTGGTACCATCCGAGGTCTCAGGCATCCCCCAGGGGTCTTGGAACCTATCCCTCATGGATAAGGGGGCACTCCTGTACTGGAAAGAGAGGTAGGAGTGTGCAGAAAATAAAGTATGAACACATTACCAAAGATGCCTGAGAGTACAAAAGCTTAGGAGTCTTTTGGTGATATAAATATGTAGTAGTCCAAAAAAAAAACCTAACAGTGTTCTGTGACACTATTTTTGTCTCTGCCATTCGAGTAGTTCATACAGGCTTTGTTCTGGTGATTTATACTAGAAGCCTATAATAAAAACGCAGCCTGAAATCATGCAGCTGGGTACCATTCATTTTTCTTCCATGGACAGTTCCCGAACTTAACAAATTACGGCAGGCCTGGCAAAGCTCTTCCTGCAAAGGCAATACATGCCTGGCCATGGCAGCTGCCCTCTTGGGTTTCTTCTGCTTTGTGGCATCATCGGTGATGCTGCGGGGATTGCTAGATGGTTTTTATGAGTACATCATGTACTGCATAATGACATTTTGGTAACAACAGACTACATATATGATGGTGGTCCCATAAAATTACAGTGGAGCTGAAAAATTCCTATGGCCTGGTGATGTCATAGCCATCTTGTCATCATGGCATAATACATGACAATATGTTTAGATACACAAATACTTACTGTTGTGTTACAGTTGCCTACAGTATTCAGTACATAACATGCTGTACAGGTTAGTAGCGTAGGAGCCATAGGCTATACCCTGTAGCCTAGGTGTGTAGAGGGCTGTCCCATCCAGGTTTGTATGAGTACACTCTTACGATGTTCATGCAACAGCAAAGTCTCCTAACAAGGCATTTCTCAGAACATATCTCCATTGGTAAGTGATGCACGACTGTACTAGGAAAGAGTTTCTAGGAAGATATTGTGTAGTTTTAGTGGGTCAATAAAAATAATACTCGCTTCCTGTCTTGAGTCAGAACCAACTGAGAAATCAGCACAGAAGTCAGACAGATGGAAATGAACATACCAGCTTTATTACAGATAATAGCTTGATTGAAAAATGCAACGTGATGTTTAGCCATATGCTTTTTAGTACTTGCTGCCTCTGTTGAACTCAGCTTTCCAAAACTGCAGGCTTTTCACTTGTAGAGGACGAACTTGCTTCTGCAGAAAGCTTATCATGTCGCCAGAGTAGAGCTGACTGTCCCATCATTGTGGGCATGTTGATTAGGAAGAACTCATGCAGGCTTTCTCCTGATAATTTATACTATAAGCTTCTATAGGAATGCTCAGCCATGGGGCCAACCCACTCATGTGGTTCCATTTCCCAAAGTCACTTGTCACAAAAGTCACTCTTTTGGGGACAAGAGAATACAGAGTAGAAAGCAAAGTCCTGTCACATGGAAACCTAGGGGCAGGGGAATGACCGTTGCCCAAATTGTGCCCTCAAAAGCATGAAGCCAGTGTCACATCATGTCTGGGCATAGATGTGAGAAGCTGTTTTTGGGTGAGTCTTGCGGAATTCTTTGTTTATACTGCAAGTAGATGCACTTGTCATCTGAGGCCATTGGCTTGGCCTCTCTTGGCCATTTTTATGTGTGTTTGCGGCTTCACATGTAACATTGTGGGGAGAGTTGGCTATTTTCTACGCTGCGGCATCTTGGGGAGTTTTTTTCCTCAGCTCTTTTAAAAATCTTGGCAAAGTTAGGAGGTCATTTTGCCATTGGCATACCAGAGATGACAAACGTAGGCTTGGTGATTCTGGCATGGGTAGGTAGTCAGGCTGGGCTCCTCTGAAGAGCATTCTGTTCCTCATGGCAGAGGATTCTTGCTAGTGAGCCTTTGTGTTCCCCAGCCTTTCACCACTGGGTACATCATTATAATAAGGACTGGAGCTGAGGCAGGGAGAATAACTGGGAATCAAAAGGCATTAGTGCTTCTGGGAGCCTTAAAATATTCTATTCTAAATTTTTATGCACGTATCTCCTTTTACAATTATAGAAGCAAGAAGCGTAATCAATCAAGGGTCTTTGTCATGCTTTGCAGCTTTCTTAGGAAATGCAGACAGGCAATAATATGTGATTGTCAATAGCATTTTGAATTTTCAGTGATATTTGCCAACTCATAGGCCATCCCAATGAGCAAGGTCAGGGGCTCCAACCCCAGTTGATAGGAGAGGAAACTGATGGTCTTACTGACTTATCCAAGGACACAAAGAGGTCATGAACCCAGCTAAAAATAGAAGTGAGAATTGCCTGGTCCCTATTCTTAGTATAAGCACCAGATTACACTCGCTGCTGCAATACTTGCTAATTGTTCATTTCCGACAAAACATAGCGGGGAATTTTTCCTTTATAGCTGGTTGTAAACATTTAAGATGCCTGTAGTCACTCATAACCTCTGTTTACTTATCACAGCCAGCTAGCTATCTTATTTACCTTATCTCTGATTCTTTTTCATTTTTACATCTGTGCAGAGAAGTTAATATATGTGAAAGCACTTCATAGACTCTCAAGTAGCACATAAATTTTATTTGGTGTTATTATAATACTTGTATTAGTCATTTTTACACTGCTGATAAAAACATACCTGAGACTGGGCAATTTACAAAAGAAAGAAGTTTATTGGACTTACCATTCCACCTGGCTGGGGAGGCCTCACAATCATGGTGGAAGGTGAAAGGCATGTCTCATATGGCAGCAGACAAGAGAAGACAGCTTGTGCAAGGAAATTCCCATCTTTAAAACCATCAGATCTCGTGAGACTTACTCACTATCGCGAGAATGGCACAGGAAAGACCTGCCCCCATGATTCAGTTACCTCCAACCAGGTCAAATCTTAAATCTCCAAAATGATCTCCTTTGACTCCACGTCTCACATCCAGGTCACGCTGGCTGATGCAAAAGATGGGTTCCCATGGTCTTGGGCAGCTCCACCCTGTTGTTTTGCAGGGTACAGTCTCCTTCATGATTGCTTTCACGGGCTGGCATTGAGTGTCTGTGGCTTTTCCAGGCACACAGTGCAAACTGTCAGTGGATCTACCTTTCTGGGGTCTGGAGGAAGGTGGCCCTCCTCTCACAGCGTGGTACCCCAGTAGGGACTCTGTCTTGGGGCTCTGGGGGCTCTGACTCCACATTTCCCTTCTGCACTGCCCAGCAGCAGAGGTTCTCCATTGTGACCCCGCCCCTGCAGCAAACTTTTGCCTGGACATCCAGGCATTTCTATACATCGTCTGAAATCTAGGTGGAGGTTCCCAAACCTTGGTTCTTGACTTCTGTGCACCCACAGGCTCAACACCACGTGGAAGCTTCCAAGGCTTGGCAGCTTCCACCTTCTGAAGCAACAGTCCAAGCTGTACCTTTGCCCCTTTTAGTCACGCTGGAGTGGCTGGGATGCAGGGCACCAAGTCCCTAGACTGCACACAGCAGGGGCACCCTGGGCCTGATCCACAAAACCATTTTCTCCTAGGCCTCCAGGCCTGTGATGAGAGGGGCTACTGTGAAGACCTCTGATGTGCCCTGGAGACATTTTCCCCCTGTCTTGGGGATTAACATTCTGCTTCTCATTACTTACGCAGATTTATGCAGCTGGCTTCAATTTCTCCTCAGAAAATGGGTTTTTCTTTTCTACCACATTGTCAGGCTGCAAATTTTCCAAACTTTATGCTCTGCTTCTTTTATAAAACGGAGTGCCTTTAACAGCACCCAAGTCACCTCTTGAATGCTTTGCTGCTTAGAAATTTCTTCTGTCAGATACCCTAAATCATCTCTCTCAAGTTCAAAGTTCCACACATCTCCAGGGCAGGGGCAAAGTGCCACCAGTCTCTTTGCTAAAACATAACACGAGTCATCTTTGCTTCGGTTTGCAACAAGTTCCTCATCTCCTTTTGAGACCACCTCAGCCTGGACCTTATTTTCCATATCGCTATCAGGCTTTTGGTCAGAGTCATTCAACAAGTCTCTAAGAAGTTCCAAACTTTCTCACATTTTCCTGTCTTCTTCTGAGCCCTCCAAACTGTTCCAGCCTCTGCCTGGTACCCAGATCGAAAGTCACTTCCACATTTTCAGGTATCTTTTCAGTAACACCCCACTCCTGGTACCAGTTTACTTTATTAGTCCATTTTTACACTGCTGATAAAGACATACCTGAGACTGGGCAATTTACAAAAGGAAGAGGTTTATTGGACTTACAGTTCCACCTGGCTGGGGAGGCCTCACAATCATGGCAGAAGGTGAAAGGCATGCCTCACATGGCAGCAGACAAGAGAGGAGAGCTTGCGCAAGGAAATTCCCAGTTTTAAAACCATCAGATCTCGTGAGACTTATTCTCTATCACGAGAACAGCACCGGAAAGACCTGCCCCCATGATTCAATTACCTCCCACCGGGTCCCTCCCACAACATGTGGGAATTCAAGATGAGATTTGGGTGGGGAACAGCCAAACCATATCAGTACTCATGTTTTTAACTTTGCATCATTAAAATGTGAGCACAGATACTTCCACTTCATAGTGGCCAATAGAGTTGGGCTGGGAGTGGCAGTGGTAAACACTTACATCATACTATCCTGACATAACTTAGGATGGCATGTATTCACAACAGTATGAGTAACAATTAATGAGAAGTTTTCAGTCACAGATGTCTTTCAGAGAAGCACAAATTGATAAATATACATATACATTTACATAGTGAGGCAACAGAATGGAAGCACTGATAGAAAATAAGACACACATACAGCTTTGGGGGAAGCTAAAAGTATTTTCAGCTAGAAAATATATAATTGGGGAAAATTATTTTCCTACCAGTTAAAAGAACAAATCTTCCTTTCATACTCTTGATTATGCATGTATATGGTGTCTATTTGCAGGGTTTATATACTTTTCTATAGATACTGTGGAATTCTCTTAACAGATTTTGGTTGCACCATACTTGATTACATACACAAGGGCCTTAATAATATCCCATAGCTTAATTGAATCTATGGCATAGGAAAGTTTAGGTAGATAGCTTTAATATGTAATGTTTTCTTTCTAGAGCTGATTTTCAGCAGCAGTGAATGGAAGTGGCAGGATGTGGGGTTTACAAGTCAGCATTAGTTTCTTCTTTTTTTTCCCATTAGTTATTGGGGTACAAGTGGTATTTGGTTACATGAATAAGTTCTTCGGTGGTGGTTTGTGAGATCCTGGTGCACCCATCACCCGAGCAGTATAGACTGCACCATGTATGTTGTCTTTTATCCCTTGCCCCCTTCCCACTCTTCCTCCGAGTCCCCAAAGTCCATTGTATCATTCTTACGCCTTAGTCTCCAGTCCCATCCAGGTCATTGCAAATGCTGTTAATTTATTTCTTTTTATGGCTGAGTAGTATTCCATCATATATATATATATATATATACACCACAGTTTATTTATCCACTTGTTGATTGATGGGCATTTGGGTTGGTTCCACGATTTTGCAGTTGTGAATTGTGCTGCTATAAACATGCGTGTGCAAGTATCTTTTTTTTTCAAATAATGACTTCTTTACCTCTGGGTAGATACCCAGTAGTAGGATTGCTGGATCAAATGGTAGTTCTACTTTTAGTTCTTTAAGGAATCTCCATACTGTTTTCCATAGCAGTTGTACTAGTTTACATTCCCACCAGCGGTGTAGAAGTGTTCCCTGATTGCTGCATCCAGGCCAACATCTACTGTTTTTTGATTTTTTGATTATGGCCCTTCTTGCAAGAGTAAGGTGGTATCGCACTGTGGTTTTGACTTGCATTTCCCTGATCATTAGTGATGTTGAGCATTTTTTCATAATGTTTGTTGGCCATTTGTATATCTTCTTTTGAGAATTGTCTATTCATGCCCTTAGCCCACTTTCTGATGGGATTGTTTGTTTTTTTTTTTTTTTCTTACTGATTTGTTTGAGTTTGTTGTAGACTCTGGTTATTAGTCCTTTGTCAGATGTATAGATTGTGAAGATTTTCTCCCACTTTGTGGGTTTTCTGTTTATTCTGCTGACTGTTCTTTTGCTGTGCAAAAGCTCTTTAGTTTAATTAGGTCCCAGCTATTTATCTTTGCTTTTACTGCTTTTGCTTTTGGGTTTTTGGTCATGAAATCCTTGCCTAAGCTAATGTCTAGAAGGGTTTTTCAAATGTTATCTTCTAGAATTTTTATAGTTTCAGGTCTTAGGTTTAAGTCCTTAATCCATCTTGAGTTGATTTTTGTATAAGGTGAGAGATGAGAATGCAGTATGATTCTGCTACATGTGGCTAACCAATTATCACAGCACCATTTGTTGAAAAGGGTGTCCTTTCCCCGCTTTATGTTTTTGTTTGCTTTGTTGAAGATCAGTTGACTGTAAGGATGTGGGTTTATTTCTGGGTTCTCTATTCTGTTCCATTGGTCTATGCCTATTTTTATGCCAGTACCAGGCTGTGTTGGTGACTGTGGCCTTATAGTATAGTTTAAAATCAGGTAGTGTGATGCCTCCAGATTTGTTCCTTTTGCTTAGTCTTGCTTTGGTTATGCGGGCTCTTTTTTGGTTCCATATGAATTTTTCTAACTCTGTGACGAATGATGGTGGTATTTTGATGGGGATTGTGTTGACTTTTTAGATTGCTTTTGGCACTATGGTCATTTTCACAATATTGATTCTACCCATCCGTGAACATGGGATGTGTTTCTATTTGTCTGTGTCATTTGTGATTTCTTTCAGCAGTGTTTTGTAGTTTTCCTTGTAGAGGTCCTTCAACTCTTTTGTTAGGTGTATTCCTAAGTATTTTTTTTTTTTTTTGGCAGCTATTTTAAAAGGGGTTGAGTTCTTGATTTGGTTCTCCATTTGGTCACTGTTGCTATATAGAAGAGCTACTGATTTGTGTATGTTAATTGTATCTGGAAACTTTGCTGAATTCTTTTATCAGTTCTAGGAGCTTTCTGGAGAAGTCTTTAGGGTTTTCAAGGTAAAAGATCATATCGTCAGCAGACAGGGACAGTTTGACTTCCTCTTCACCAATTTGGATGCCTTCTATTTCTCTTGTCTGATTGCTCTGGCTAGGGCGTCCAGTACTATATTGAAGAGGAGTGGTGAGAGTGGCATCCTTGTCTTGTTCCAGTTCTCAGAGGGAATGCTTTCAACTTTTCCCCATTCATTATTATGTTGGCTGTGGGTTTGTCATAGATGGCTTTTATTACGTTAAGTTATGTCCCTTGTGTGCCAGTTTTGCTGAGGATTTAATTATAAAGGGATGCTGGATTTTGTCGAATGCCCTTTCTGCATCTATTGAGATGATCATTTGATTTTTGTTTTTAATTCTGTTTATGTGGTGTATCCCATTTATTGAATTGCATATGTTAAACCAATTCTGCATCCCTGGTATGAAACCCACTTGATCATGGTAGATTATCTTTTTTATATTTGTTAGATTCGGATAGCTAGTATTTTGTAAGGATTTTAGCATCTATCATTCATCGAGGATATATTCTTTTTTGTTTGTGTCCTTTCCTGATTTTGGTATTAGGGTGATGCTGGCTTCATAGAATGAATTAGGGAAGATTCCTTCTTTATCTTGTGGAATAGTGTCAAAAGGATTGATACCAATTCTTTGAATGTCTGGTAGAATTCTTCAGTGAATTGTCTGGTCCTGGACTTTTTTTGGTTGGCAATTGTTAAATTACCGTTTTAATCTCGCTGCTTGTTATTGGTCTGTTCAGGGTATCTAATTCTTCCTGATTTAAGTTAGGAGAGTTGTATTTTTCCAGGAATCTATTCATCTCTTCTAGGTTTTCTAGTTTATGTGCCTAAAGGTGTTCATAGTAGCCTTGAATGATCTTTTGTATTTCAGTGGTGTCAGTTGTAATATCTCCTGTTTCGTTTCTCAGTGAGTTTATTTGGATTTTCTCTCTTCTTTTCTTGGTTAATCTTGTTAATGGTCTATCAATTTTATTTATCTTTTCAAAGAACCAGTTTTTGGTTTCATTTATCTTTTGTATTTTTTTTGTTTGTTTCAATTTCATTTAGTTCTGCTCTGATCTTGGTTATTTTTCTTCTGCTGGGTTTGGGTTTGGTTTGTTCTTATTTCTCTAGTTCCTTGAGGTGTGACCTTAGATTGTCTGTTGGTACTCTTTCAGACTTTTTGATGTAGGTGTTTAGGGCTGTGAACTTTCCTCCTAACACCTTCTTAGCTGTATCCCAGAGGTTTTGATAGGTTGTGTCATTATTGTCATTCAGTTATAAAAGTGTGTCCAAAGTTTCCTGAATTTTTTAGTTTTTTTAATATTTATCTTTTTATTTCTACATAGTTTTTAATATAATTTTAGCATCTTTTTATTTTTCCATGTTTTTGAACAAAATTATAATGATAGTATTCACAGATCTTTGTTTCTTAATTTTTCTCATTAAAATTATAAAAATTCTTTTTTTTTTTTTTTTTATTGATCATTCTTGGGTGTTTCTCGCAGAGGGGGATTTGGCAGGGTCATAGGACAATAGTGGAGGGAAGGTCAGCAGATAAACAAGTGAGCAAAGGTCTCTGGTTTTCCTAGGCAGAGGACCCTGCAGCCTTCCGCAGTGTTTGTGTCCCTGGGTACTTGAGATTAGGGAGTGGTGATGACTCTTAATGAGCATGCTGCCTTCAAGCATCTGTTTAACAAAGCACATCTTGCACCGCCCTTAATCCATTCAACCCTGAGTGGACACAGCACATGCCCCAGAGCACAGGGTTGGGGGCAGGGTCACAGATCAACAGCATCCCAAGGCAGAAGAACCTCTCCCAGTACAGAACAAAATGGAGTCTCCTATGTCTACTTCTTTCTACACAGACACAGCAACAATCTGATTTCTCTATCTTTTCCCCACCTTTCCCCCTTTTCTATTCCACAAAACCGCCATCGTCATCATGGCCCATTCTCAATGAGCTGTTGGGTACACCTCCCTGATGGGGTGGTGGCCAGGCAGAGGGGCTCCTCACTTCCCAGAAGGGGTGGCCGGGCAGAGGCGCCCCCCACCTCCTGGACGGGGCGGTGGCCGGGCGGAGGCTCCCCCCACCTCCCTCCCGGACGGGGCGGCTGGCCGGGCGGGGGCTGACCCCCCCACCTCCCTCCCGGACGGGGCGGCTGGCCGGGCGGGGGCTGACCCCCCACCTCCCTCCCGGACGGGGCGGCTGGCCGGGCAGGGGCTGACCCCCCACTTCCCTCCCGGACGGGGCGGCTGGCCCGGCGGGGGCTGACCCCCACCTCCCTCCCGGATGGGGCGGCTGCTGGGTGGCTGCCGGGCGGAGGGGCTCCTCACTTCTCAGATGGGGCGGCTGCCGGGCAGAGGGGCTCCTCACTTCTCAGACGGGGCGGCCGGGCAGAGACGCTCCTCACCTCCCAGACGGGGTCACAGCCGGGCAGAGACGCTCCTCACATCCCAGACGGGGCAGCGGGGCAGAGGCGCTCCCCACATCTCAGACGATGGGCGGCCGGGCAGAGACGCTCCTCACTTCCTAGACGGGATGGCAGCTGGGAAGAGGCACTCCTCACTTCCCAGACTGGGCAGCCGGGCAGAGGCGTTCCTCACATCCCAGACGATGGGTGGCCAGGCAGAGATGCTCCTCACTTCCCAGACGGGGTGGCAGCCGGGCAGAGGCTGCAATCTCGGCACTTTGGGAGGCCAAGGCAGGCGGCTGGGAGGTGGAGGTTGTAGCTAGCCGAGATCACGCCACTGCACTCCAGCCTGGGCAACATTGAGCACTGAGTGAGCGAGACTCCGTCTGCAATCCCGGCATCTCAGGAGGCCGAGGCTGGCAGATCACTTGTGATTAGGAGCTGGAGATCAGCCCGGCCAACATGGCGAAACCCCGTCTCCACCAAAAAAATACGAAAACCAGTCAGGCGTGGCGGCGCGCGCCCGCAATGGCAGGCACTCGGCAGGCTGAGGCAGGAGAATCAGGCAGGGAGGTTGCAGTGAGCGGAGATGGCAGCAGTATAGTCCAGCCTCGGCTTGGCATCAGAGGGAGACCGTGGAAAGAGAGAGGGAGACCGTGGGGAGAGGGGGAGGGGGAAGGGGAGGGGGAGGGAGAGGGTTTTTTCTTTAAGCTATCTATTTCCTTGAATATTTCTCCCTTCACTTCTTGTATCATATTTTGGATTTCCTTGCATTGGGCTTCGCCTTTCTCTGGTCCCTCCCTGATTAGCTTAATAGCTGACCTCCTGAATTCTTTTTCAGGTAAATCAGGGATTTCTTCTTGATTTGGATTCATTGCTGGTAAACTAGTGTGATTTTGGGGGAGTGTTGAAAAGCCTTGTTTTGTCATATTACCAGCGTTGGTTTTCTCGTTCCTTCTCATTTGGGTAGGCTCTGTCAGAGGGAAGGTCCAGGGCTGAAAGCTGCTATTCAGGTCTTTTTGTCCCATGGGGTGTTCCCTTGATGTAATAATATTCTCTCCCTTTTCCTGTGGATGTGGCTTCCTTTGAGCTGAACTGTAGTGACTGTTGTCTGTCTTCTGGGTCTAGCCACCCAGTGAGTCTTCGTGGCTCCAGGCTGGCACTGGGGGCTGTCTGCACAGAGTCCTGTGATGTGAACCATCCATTGGTCTCTCAGCCGTGAATACCAGCGCCTGTTCTGGTGAAGGTGGCAGAGGGTGCAGTGGACTCCGTGGGAGTCCTTAGCTTTGGTGGTTTAATGCTTTATTTTTGTGCTGGTTGGCCTTCTGCCAGGAGGTGGTGCTTTCCAGAGAGCATTAGCTGTAGTATGGAGAGGGACCAGTGGTGGGCGGGGCCCTAGAACTCCCAAGATTGTATGTCCTTCGTCTTCTGTTACCAGGTTGAGTAGGGAAGGACCATCAGGTGGCAGCAGGGCTAGGCATGTCTGAGCTCAGACTCTCCTTGGGCGGGTCTTGCTGCGGCTGCTGTGGATGATGGGGATGAGATTCCCAGGTCACTGGAGTTGTGTGCCTAGGAGGATTTATGGCTGCCTCTGCTGAGTCATGCGGGTTGTCAGGGAAGAAGGGGAAAGCTGGCAGTCACAGGCCTCACCCAGCTCCCACACAAACCAAAGGGCCAGTCTCACTCCCACCACACCCCGAGTCTGTTTCCAGGCAGAGGGCAGGTGGGGCTTGAAAACTTGCCTGAGGCTTTCCACTTCCCAGAGTATTTGGGGTGTCTCCCGGGTCCTGTAGGAGCAGTTTTCTCAGGATTGCTGGCCTGCTCTTGCAGCTGATCTGGAGGTAAAATTCACAATGCAAGCCTCCGCATGCTGCTCTGTCTGGAGCTGCAATCTAGTCCTGCCTCCCGTCTGCCATGATCCGACCAGCATCAGTTTCAATAGCTCCTGCCTCCTTTAGGGACTCTCCTTCTTCTCTTCATAGTTAATAGATTCCTTGAGTTTTGTGTGGGAGGCTTGTACCATCTCACCTAGATAGAAGAATTACCCAACACTTCCACTCTCTTCAACATTTTTTGTTTTGAAAAAATTAAAACTTACAGAAAAGTTGAAAGAATAGCACAATGAAATCCATCCTGCACCTAGATTTTTTTTTTCCTCCTTTGGATGAGCCATTTGAGAGTAAGTTGCAGACATCATGGCACTTCCTCTCTAAATATCTTAGCAGCTATCTCCTAAGAATAAAAATGTTCACTTCTATGATCACAGTATGATTATCACACTCAGGAAAGCTACTGTTGATGGAATACTGTTATTTAAAACATAGTTCATATTCAGGTTTGCACAGTTGTCTCAGTATTGTCCTTTATTTTTCCCCCAATAAAAGATCCAGTCAAAGAGCACCCATTGCATTTAGTTGTCATGTCTCTTTAGTCCTTTTTCTTTTTGTTTCTTTTCCTTTCCTTTCCTCTCTTTCTCTCTCTTCCTTCTTTCCTTTCTTCATGACATTGACAGTTTTGAAATGCCCAGGCCAGCTATTTTATCTTACTATCTACTCCTAAAGCAAACATAATTAAGGAAATAGGGAGTTTGCCCTATGAAAGTTTGCAGTTTTTTCTTTCTTTCTCTTACGAACCTCCATGATTTTATGACTTACTAAGAAGCCTCTAAGATGATGCTATATGCATTCCTATTGGATGTGTGAAATTAAAGGTAGCTTTTTCTTCCTAAAAGTCTCTGTCCTGATAGACTCTTCCAGAGACTCACTTCTCAGGACATTTGTGAGGCTGGTGAATATATAGCAGGTGCACTTTTGACAAAATGGCACGTATCTCTAGGAATTTGTTTCTGATATTCATAGGCCTCGTTCATACCTGATCCTGTATTCATATCAATAGTGAATACTTAGCTGCATTTCTTACTTAGAGTTTGGTTGGTTCAAGACAGTTGTTTTGTTTCTTAGCAATAGTCAAATCTTTCAACTTAATACTAATCTTATATATAAAGAAGAAAGTAAATCTCATTCTGATTATTAGAGCTTTTCAGTCATGAAATTAATGTTTCTTGTTACTATCACTGATTCCTCTTGAGGTTTCAGTGATGTGAAATAGTTTGTCATTGCATCAGATCTCTCCAGGTGTAGAGTCTCTTGAGTAAATTTTAGGACACATCAGAAAAGACTTGACAGTTTCAGTATGGGGCAAATCTAGATGAATGAGTTTGTGTTTTAGCTTTTTAAATATTAATATACTTTTTTTAAAAAAGTTATAAACAAGAGAAAGACAAATATTCAGAGTTGAAGTAGGAGAAATCTTTCTTCACTAAAGATCTTGGCCATATCCTAAAGTTGTATTCAAAAAGAACAATATTTTTGATTGTTTGTTTGGTTTTGTGTTTTTACATGATTCCCATATCCTTTATACATCTCTTCTTCATCAATTCTCATTGAATTTCAAAAGTAGCTACTAGCTTAGAAGACAGGAAGTTACAGATGTGTGGCAGGCAAGAATGAGATGGGAGTAAAAATTGGCTCAGTTAACTGGTTTGTAACTTCAGCCTGTTAGAAGCTCGTTTCTTTTAGTGCACATGGGAGCTTTTTTTGGCCATGGGAAGGCATACAAGGTTATCCAGGAAATTTTTGCTTCATTATGAAACAAAGAAAATGAAGTCCTGTAAGCTCCCTGAGACATTAAGAAATATGGTCTCCAGTCCACTGGAGATAACACAAGTAATTATCACAAAAGGTGTTGGTTATCATTTAAGGGGGAAATATTATGTTGACATAATACATAATTTCAGCATCTGTTGTGCCTTATTTTGGATTATAAATCCAGACTAATAGATCTGTGGAGCTGTTTAGCCCTTTTCACATCAAATTCCCATGCCTCCTGGAAAAGTTAACATATGAAAGATTCGATTGAGATAGGCACTTTGCATTTAATAACATTTTCATTCTGAAACTAATATTACTAAGTGTCTGCTATGTGTGAAGTTATTTTATTTAATTCATAGAACAATCCTGCCAAATAACTATTCTTCCCTAAACAGATAAGGAAAGTGAGGCCTAGAGAGGTAAGGTAATTTGTGCAAGATAACATGGCTAGTGTGAGGAGTAAGATTCAGATTCTGTTCTTTCTGACTAAATTTTGCCCTAGTTCATCAATTAGTATATGTCTTCTCAGAGATCAGGTTAATCACCAGTGAGTAATGCCAGATTAGTAACTGTTGAGAATGTTGTGGGAACAAGGAATAGAGACCAGTTAATCTACACACCCAGTCTTGTCTTTTACTGGCCACCAACCACTGTAACCTCCCTATCTAACATGGCTAACTGGCCAAGTATGAGATTTCACAAATGTATGCCGTAGCAGTTGGGCCATTGGCCTCCAATCCCAAAGTGAAATCCAAGCAAACCAAACTGTATCATGGGAGAGCTCTTTTCATCCATATTAGGGGTGGACCTAGGACTGATGTAGGCCAAAGACTTTTCTGTCCTTTTTCTAAAATCCCTGAGGTAAATCTCAGATCTTAGTATTCCAGTGGTACATGGAAAAGCAATAAAGGGCCGGGCATGGTGACTCAAGCCTGAAATCTCAGCACTTTGGGAGGCTGAGGCGGGCACACCGCTTGAGCCCAGGAGTTCAAGAGCAGCCTGGGCAACATAGCAAGACCTCGTCTCTTCAAAATATAAATTAAAAAATTAACCAGGCATGGTGGCTCACACCTGTGGTCCCAGCTATTCGGGAGGCGAAAGTGGGAGTATCCCCTGAGCCTGGAAGATCTAGGCTGCCTTGAGCTGTGATCGGGCCACTGCACTCCAACCTGGACGACAGAGTAAGACCTTGTCTCAAAAAGAAGAAAAGAAAAGAGAGATAGCCCCAGTGCCAAAAGCCATGCTGACATCAAGTGCCTCATGGTGACCGTGGCCTCCTGAGCTTGCTAGGTAGGCAAAGACAGGAAGAGGATGGAATCCCAGATGAGAAAAATGGGACTTTTGACACTCTGGACCAAGGAAAATTTCCTCCCCTTGCTCCTGACCACCCCTGGGGAATGGAATTAGTATAAGAGAGCTCAGAATAGGAGAAAACTGGGAACTGAGGATAGTTGAACCTGCCAGACTACACTTCTCTTCTTTGGAATCAGAGTTGCTTCCTGTGCGATGGCTATTTGATTTTCTTTCCCCTTCGGGAAAGAGGGATTTAAACAAAAGAGGAAATGTAGCCTTCACATTCTCCTTGTCCCTAGGCAATGCCTGTGCTTAAGGATAAAGAACATATATATTTATGTGGTTCTGTTAATATAAATACTTAATACCTGCATAAAAGGAGTACCTTTGGATGGTAAAATTCCACTTTAAAAAATTAACTGACCAGTTTCAGCAAGCTTAATTATTATAGCACAAGAGGTTTTGTATTTGTTTTGGGTGATGATAAAAGGGCTCAGTGGTGAGAAGTGGTGTAGGGGTGCGGAAACAGGGGAGCAATATTCTCAACTGTAATGAAAATTTATCCGTGTGGTAACTTTTGCTTTGAATATGAATCAGAGGGAGTTCATGCTTTGAGACAAATTTATGGTTAGCAGTAAGATAAAGGCCTGTTTTACTGCCTTCTTTTTACTTAATAAATCTTAATTGCTTTCTCTCCATAAATTAAAGCATTTACCATGCTATATCCTAATTATCAGATTTGTCATGTATAGCATCAGTTTCACAGAGTAATTGCCATGTGGGCTTTTTGGAAAACATCACCTTCTACTCTTTGTTTTGATGCCTGAGAGGAATTGCCAGCTGGATTTTCAGTAAGGACTCTAGTCTTGCCATGTCACCTCAATTTTTTAAGGATGTGCTGATACTTATTGGACTAACTTTGGGTGTTACAGCATCATGGGCTCACCAATTGAGGGCAAAGTAGGAAGGGGAGAGAAATGGTGTGAATTGAGGACTATTTAGAAAGACATTCAATGTTATTCCTTTGAAGTACATAACAAGATATTTCTCAGTATAGATCCTAGAGACTGGCTTTTGTGAATAGATTTATTTGTAATTAGTGGAATTTCACATAAAAGTACTAAAATCCTAGAGAATATTTTATGGACTTAAGTAAGTTATATAATCTTCTTTATTCTGTTAATTTGCTTAGCAAACCCTTTCCTGGTATTTAATGTAGATTTACAGTTGAGTTCAATCCAGATGAGTTATCACAAATGTTCCTTATAAATTAGTTGGATTTCATAATTCTTGGCTCCACGCATGTGAAAAGGGTGTCCACAAAATGTTCAGTTTTAAGTTGATTGGACAGACTAGAGAGTGGCATTGTTTTTTTGAATAGCTGTTTATTTATCAAAAGAAAAAAGGACAGAAATGAACATAGAACTGTATGTATTTGCTGAGGTAGTCATGGCCTGTGTGTTCTCAGCTCTGTGCTACACCACTTTGCTGCTCCACTCTGAATGGCAGGGAGGCTGCTCCTGCAGGCTACAGATCCTAGAGCCCCAGCTCGGCTGGCTTCTGGCTGGGTTAGGCCAGCAGGAGGCTCTGATAGAAGACTAGAGGTAGGAGGAAAGGAGCAAGAGGGTATTTCGCCTTTGCTCTGCCTCCAGCAACATCTCTGATAGAGGATGGGTCTTACCCATGGCTCCAGCTTCTAGTGTGTTTCCAGCATCCTCTGATGGCCCCAATACCCTGTGATAGGAGTGGCCTCCTGCTGTTGAGAATCTCTTAACTTGCCCAAATGTGCCCTCTTTGACGTTTCAGCTCTTCTCTCATGTGTAATAAAGCCTCTGTGTTAAAAGAGTGGTTTCCTTTTCCTGATTCATACATTTTGTAGAACAATTTGCTTTTATGTCACAGCTTATAGTCTTTTGAATGTTGATAAAGGAAATGTTAAATTATTCATTATCTCATTTAATCAGCTTGGTATTATATTTAGGTGATGGGGCAAAGAAGAATAAGACAAAATGACCTGATTGCCCTCAGGGAACTCAGTCTGTTTGGGGAAACAGTGTGTTCCCCAAGTGCCAGGGGAGCTAAATGGAAGAAAGACCTAGACTGTAGTAGTGGTGGGAAAGATGTCACAAAACAGGTGACATCCGAAAGTCTTGCCAGATACTAAGATCTTGCTCAAGCAGATGAGGAAGAAGGGCATTCCCAGCAGAAGCAGCAGTTTGTATGAAAGCATGTGTCACGTTTGGCTGCAGGAGCATGGTGGTCAGGGGGACTGGAGGAAGAGGAAGCTAGAGAGGTGGTCGGGGTAGACCACAAAGAGCATTGAAGCCTCTGCCAGGCAATTGGACTTTATCCTGTTAGGACTGGGAAGCAGTGAAAAGGATTTTAAGCAGAGGAATTACATGAACAGATTTATCCTTCAAAAAGGTCACCTTAGGAGAGGTGTGGAAGAGAGACTAGAGGGCTGAAAATGGAGGCAGAGAAACCTCCTGGCCAGGTGGTGAGTGGCAGAAGTCCTGGTGGGAGTGGGTGGTGTTTAAACAAAGACCTGAATTAAAACTGAAGGCAAGAGGAGGAGGGGAAAAATCAAGAAATGTTAAGAAAGTAGAATGTGTAGAACTTGGTGATTTGTTTGAAAGTGTTGGGAGTTGTTGTTAAATGATGGTCTCAGAGATCATGGAATATTTGTCTGGTTTAGCTAAATAAATGTTAAAACTAGAAGCCTGTTTCTCAAATTGGGGTCGCTGTGTCCCCTTAGAGGTCTCATGCAAACTCTGAGTTGTTTATGCTGCCTTATGAGCTAGATGTATCTTAGGTTTCAAACAATTATGATTGCAGCACTACTCAGGTCTTACAATAAGCCAGACAAGCAATTCTTTATTAAAAATCATTTGCTACTCCCACCACCCACCACCCCAAGATCTTTTTCCTGGCCATTATGTGCCTTATCTCTCTCTACTAGTCATAAAATTTGTTGGCCACCCACTGTGTATTTATCTCATCTCCTACCTCTACCCATCACAGCTTTCTCATCTTCTGATTAAATAGAAGAATTAGCCTCTTATTTGATAAATCATTGTATGGGTGCCTGTGTCTAAGGGTTTCTGAAGTCTAGCAATAGAACATCCTCTGCTCGTTGAGAAAACATGTAGGGTCACCCATCACCAAGCACTCCACATGCCAGAGACTGCACTGAAAGAACACTCAATTCTTTCATGTAGTTAAAAGAACACAATGCTTGCCCTCTGAGAGTTCAACATCTGGAAACAAATCTAAAGAGGGAGAAACTGGCAAGAAGAAACACATTAGAAATAGCATCTGCCTTAAATGATGTACAGTAGGATTTGGGTTGAGGTGCTGCTCTGGAGTTATGGCCTGCTGTTAGTAGTCTTGATAGCTAAAACTAACATGCTTTTTTCTTGTAAGATTTCAGATTGAATATAGTGGTTGAGAGCCTGGATTCTGGGATCTGACTTCCTGGCTCTGCCACTTCCATGTGTCACCCTGACCAAACTGTGTCATCTCTATGCTTCCCTTCATTGTAAGATGAGGATCATAATAGTATTTACCCTAGGAATGAGAGGATTCAATGGCATGTGTGTGTGATGTGCAGCACACCTCCTGACACAGTGTCAGTGCACAATAAATACTCGCTGCTGACCCTTCCTGAAGCCAAAAAGAAGCCTCTGAAGGCTCAGCTGAGAAAGGTGTGCTGCGTGAGTACCAAAAATTACTGCCTTCTTTCCAAACGAGAGCTGCTATGGCTAACCCTGAGATCCTTTGTAGTCATTTAATTACAGAGAAATTCTGGAACATACTTTCTTCAAGCCAAGTTAGTCTTTTTAGTTTTTAAATTACATCTTGATCGTATCACACACAATCAGTTGTCACTTCAGGGCACTTCCAGAAACAAGTTTGCAGGCCAGCATGTGGCAGGTAACACCTTAGAGGAGACTGGGGCATCACTGCCTCTCTGAAATCGTCCATTGATATCATCCCCTCCCTCCTCCTTTGAGCTCAGCACACATTAATCAAATACCACAATTTTTCAGGTTCTGTATTAGGCTCCAGGGATACAAGGGTGAACAGACAATTCCCGTCCTCATGAAATGTGCAATTGTGTGGAACTACATGTGAACAAATTCAATCCACTGTGATGGAAGCCCCAATGGGAGTGTGTAGAAGGTCAGAAGAGGTACACAGAAAGGACAACAAGGAAGGCTTCACAGAAGTGGTGACGTCCCACTAGGATTTTGAAGGGAATAAGAATGGGGAGAATCAGAAGATCAGCACGGTTTGCACAGAGGAACTACAGCAGAGGTGTTGTGGGGGGACATGGTGGTAGATGAAATTGAAGATGTAGGCAGGAGTTTGATCATGTAAGAGCTTGGCCTTTGTCGTGGGAACATCAGGGGCCATTGAGGGACTTCAGGTAACAGAATGCCACAGATCCACAATTTTAGCAGGATCACCCTAGTATGAAAGACAAACTTGAAAAGGGTTTGCAGATGCTGGCAGGTTCATGTCACCACTGCGGATTCATTGAGGGCAGAGACAGAGTCCTATTTATCTATGTACCCCTAAAGTTTAGTGCTTTATAGACATTTAAGAATTTTTTTTTTCAGAGTGAAGACAGCCCAAGTTGAATTTTCCCATTCTGTATCCTATCCTCAGAACATGCTGACCTGGACTTCCATCTGTCACAAGCAGCTTGACTAAGATCCTAGGAAATTCCTTTTTTTCTTGGCATTCTTCTAACTGACACTCTCTGTTTACTGGGCCCTCTGTGCATCTGTAACGTGTGATGACTGATGCTTATAATTCTGACCTTGAAGTACTTCATGGCTTCTAAATCATCAAAAAAAGATTAAAGCATATTCTCAGTATCACTGTAATGTTTGTGTGTTTTACTGCCTTCTTCTCTGGAAAGTGGTGGTTTATGAAGTGCCCGTGCGCTTGTGTGCACACGGACACAGTGAGAGTCTGTGATGGTCCTCAACTCTTCTCCCACAGGGAGGCTATGGTGCGTGCTTGAAAATAAACAAACAAAATAACCTGGGTTCTCTTCATGCCTAGCAGGAGGAAGCAGCTTGGTCCCAGGGGCAAAGAAGCTTGAAATGAGAGCGAAAGCAGTGGTTAGGAAAGCAGAGGGAATGATGAGGCAGAACTGGTGCAGACCAGGAGTCAGGCAGTTTACGAGCCAGCCCTGGCTGACTGCATTCTGACCCCAGGAAGAGCAAAGCCCAGGGTCGGGACTGCAGCTTCATGTTCTGTGTGCCTGGACCCGAATCATCAGGCTTGGATTTGGCGGGATTCTCCACCAGCTATGTTTGTATCTCAGTAACAACCGCTCAGTAAAATGCCAGACATTAGGCAAGTGAAAACATCAATAATTAGAGCCTCCTGTTCCCCACACATCTTTTCTTGAAAACCTTTATTGCTGCAGAGCTGACATTATTAGGCACAGAATGAAGAACTCCAAATAGAAACTGTGAAATGGCTCCATCTTATAACCTGAGTCCTGAAAAATAAGGGTGTGATGTTGTCACTAGGCGGGAGATTTGTTTAGGTTTTCTTTTTTTCTTTTCTTTTTCCTTTTTTTTGAGATGGAGTCTCGCTCTGTCGCCCAGGCTGGAGTGCAGTGGCGAGATCTCGGCTCACTGCAACCTCCACCTCCCGGGTTCAAGTGATTCTCCTGCCTCAGCCTCCCAAGTAACTGGGACTACAGGTGCCTGCCATCACACCTAGCTAATTTTTTGTATTTTTAGTAGAGACGGGGTTTCACTGTGTTAGCCAGGATGGTCTCGATCTCCTGACCTCGTGATATACCCGCCTTGGCTTCCCAAAGTGCTGGGATTACAGGCATGAGCCACCACGCCTGGCCCTTGTTTGGGTTTTCTTTGGGGACCGTATATTGCAGTAAATAGAAATGCCCCTTCCATTTTGTTGTAGAAATTTGTTTTTAAAATCTGTGTTTGGTCTACACTCGTCATCCCAGCCTAAAGAGCCAGTCCCTGAACCACAGAAGTTCTGTTTGCCGCCTCTCAGCCACGGCATGTGTGGGCTTTACAGGCAGCTTTACCACTTGCCAGTTCTGTGAATTTGGGCAAATGTTTTAGACTCTTTGGGTCTTAGTTTTGTTTTTTTAATCTGAAATATTGGAATAATGCAGATTCCTTATTTTACAGCGTTGCTGTGAGGCTGAAATAAAATGGTGGATGTGGAAATGCTCAACTAGAAGGCCCTATCTATATCAATAATAGTATATTAAATATACTAAAGAACATCATAAATATCCTAACAAAAATAGAAATATATTTCATCTGCAAACATGACATCCTCCAAAATTGTCCCAAAGTAGAGTAGGGAAATGAACTATTTATTGAATCTCTACCTTAGGGGAGGTGTTCCAGCTATCACTTTATCTGTTCTGCAAAGTAGATCTTAAATCCCACTTTTAGACACAAGGAAACTGAGACTCCTAGTCACAGCAGAAGTGGGATTTGAACCTGACTCGAGAACTTAATGCTCCTTCTCCTTGGCTACATTATCTCGTTGTCTAGTTCCAGACCCCCAGTGTTCTTAAAAGCTTTGACATTCTTTGGTGCTGGGAAGTGTGCCAGCCATTTCTTGGTCATTCACTCCTGTAAGTGGGACAGGGTGGCACCCAGAGGGAACTGGAGCACCAGGTGCCCCCAGAGAGACCAGCAGCACGGAGTCGTCCAGTGTGTGGGACAGGCCCTCCGTTGGCGTTCCACTTTTAGGGAGTTGGCCTGGCATGGACAGAAAGCCAGGCAACAGCTGTGCCACATTTCCTAGCCCTTGAGAAAATGGCTACGGCCCTGTCGTTTTCAGAAGTTCATTCTTTTTCTGTCAAAGTGAAGCCACCCTTCCTCAGGACTCCTCTCAGCAATCAGTGCCTCTTGTGTATTCTGACCGGCCCCTTATTCTGTTTGTAGAGGGAGTGAGATTAGATTTATTCTATGTAGTAACCACTCCGCTAAGCTTTTCTGCGACTCTTCCTGTTAGCTTTGATGCCGGGCACTGGGGGAAAGGGTTCCCGATGTGGCAGTTCCTTAAGTGCCCGGTGGGACCCACTGCTGCATACATTTTCTTCTTTATATCCTTCCCTGATTCCCAGGCAAACAGACTCGGCTTGTGAACTGGAGCTGCCCACCCAGAGAACCAGAGATAATGCCTGTTGAAGGGCCAAGTTGCATATTCAGCGAGGATGTCAGTGTGTGGGAGAAGCATTTGTTCAGCCTGCGGTTCTGAGAGGAACTGTGTGTTGTGTTCCCATAGGTTCTCAACAGGAGGTGTGTAGAAGCGGCGGTGATGACAGGCCTGGCTCTGAACTGCCACATAAACAAGAAGTCCTTGTTTGACAGGAAGCACTACTTCTATGCAGACCTCCCTGTAAGTACACTTTGTGATCCACCCCACTGCAAGTTCTCAGAGCTGGGCCAGCCCTGCTGTGGGGGGTCGGAGCAAGGGAAAGGGGCTGTGCCTCTCATGTTTTCAGCCAGCACTGTGTCCATCCCAGCAGGAAGTTCGGCCCAGCCCTGATGCAGGCAGGTGCCCCTGATGGTTACTAGATCGGATGCAGTTGTCCTGATTGCTGACTTCTTGCTTACCTCATGCTTCTGGTGGCTCGCTCATAATTGCACAGGGAGTAGAAGCCAGTGTTTGCAGGCTCAGCCTGGCCGTGGTATTTGGTGCTAATTGCCTGTTAGTACAAAAGCTAAGGCTCTGGCTGATGCAACAGTAAATGCATACTGTAGTTCTGTCAGCAGAGCGAGAGCGAATCGCTTTTAAGTTGAAGTTCCCAATAATAGGGCTGTCTCCTTTGGAGACATTTCTGTCATCTCACAAGGAGCAAGTAAGTGGACAATAGTAAGCGGAAACATGAACCAGAAATCTGGACCAAGAACAGTAAACTGTTGGTCCAGTTACTTGGCTGAGCAGTAAACTCCATATTGACCCGCTTTTTTCTGAAAATTAAAAGGTTTTTTTCTTTAAGCCACACCATGTGAGTGAGAGCCAATTTTTCATACTATTGAACAGGAACAAAACTGAAATGTTGAATGGGTTTCCCAAAATAATGTTTTGTTTGGTCTGATTCAGAAAAACAACAGTGATGATGTTGCTTCACCTCTTTCTCCTTGAACTGAAGATTGGGGCGAGCTGTTTTTTAGTGGGTGAGGGCACGAGTAGAATTAAATAAAAAATACAAGTAAGACCTGCGTTCTCCAGTGGCTGCTGCTTTTCCCCTCTGGCCTCCAGCCTCTCAGCAAGTCTACTGTTTGGTAGGGCGGAAAGAATTAAACCGCCTTTCTTTATCTTTTAAGAGTGACAGACAGTTTGGTTGAGGTGGGAGATTTAGTAATAATATGACTAAAATGAGATGTTTTGGTCATCTGTGGCTTTCTGGTCTTTCTGGCCCAGATAGTTCAAATAATCCAGAGTTTCATGGGACATACTCATATAATAAAGCATTTGTTGTTTTTTCTGAAATTCAGATTTAACTGGGTGTCCTATATTTTATCCAACAACCCTACCCAGAGCTTAGTTTTACAAATTGAGACTTCCCGTCTCAGCATAGAAAACGGGTTAGCCTTTTGCAGGATTCTCAAAGTGTGGTCCCCAGGGCACTGACATCATCATCTCCTGGGAACTGGTAAGAAATATAAATCTTCAGGCCCCACCCTCGACCTACTGAATCGGAAACCTTTGAGGTCGGGCCAAGCAGTCTGTCTTTTGACAAGCACAGTAGTATTTCTGATGCAGTTAAAGTTCTTAAACTGGGGGCCTGCCAAGTGGTGAAAGACACGGATTTTGGAGCCTGACCATCTGAATTCAGACATTGACATTGATGCTCACTAGCTCTGTATGTGGCTGTGGGCAAGGTCTTAATCCCTCCACGCCTTGTTCCTCCTTCCTAGGGTTGTTGTGGAATTAACTGAGGGAACACAGTGAGAGCAGCACCTGGGACCTAGGAAGTGCCACAGATGCCTTTGCTTTTATTCTCTGTTCTTCTCCAATTCTCCTCATTGACCTGCTGTCTCTTTAGTGCGTATTGGTGCCTCTGTGCGTTTGCAAGTAATTCTTCCTTTCCACTTAGAAGCAGGTGAGGGATCCTTGCAGGATCCATCAGTGCTTTAGTACCATGTGCCTTCCATTAATGGAGGGGGAGTGTCACAGCATTTTCTGACTGGAGGAGCTAGGGAGGTTGGGTCAGGGAGGGCAGCTGCCATGATTGATTCCTTTAAAAAGCAGAAACAAAACAAGCTTAAACACACACTAGCAACTGCTGTTGGCCGTGTGGAGAGTAGATGGCAAAATGCTTAGCCAGCATTCCAAATAAGGAGGGTCTGCCAGGAGCCTGGTAATGAGATGCAGAGTTTAGGCTAATGAGCTGGATGGAAACAATAAATTCTTTTCTTAGGGGTCCCTGACAATGACATTATTGTTATTCCCCAATACAGCACTTTAATGAGGGCAATGGGATGAATTCGTGTTGTTTATTGCATCGTTATCAGGGGTGGAGGATTTGGGGAGGGTGAAGGGGTGATGGCAGGGGCAGAAGAGACCAGGCTCAATGATGGCTGCAATGCAGCAACTAATTTTTTTCTCCTTTTCCTTTTTTTCTTGTTGTTTTTGCTTTAAGTAGGCCTGTCGTTGTGTGACATTGTAAAAGGGATAGTAAACTGGATCCCAGCTTTTATGTGTGGACCAGTGACTATGTTTACCCTATGTTTGTGTGCAGGCAGGCTACCAAATTACCCAGCAGAGGCTCCCAATTGCTGTGAATGGGAGCTTGATATATGGCGTCTGTGCAGGGAAGAAGCAGAGTCAGGTGATCCCCAAGACGGTGAGGATCAAGCAGATCCAGTTGGAGCAAGACAGTGGCAAAAGCCTCCACGACAACCTGAGGTCTCAGACGCTCATTGATTTGAACAGGGCAGGTAGGCTTGGAGTGTTTTCATTATTTCTCCTTCCTACTTCAGTTCTTGGATAGCAGGGCCCTCTTTTCACCGCTAGAGTTTTCTTGAACAAATTGAGAAAGCAGTCACAGGAGCCTGATAGATGGAGACTAAAATATCAGCATTGGGATTGGCATAGCTGACTAGCGAACATGGCTTGAACTGTAATTATTAGGCTTGCTAATAACTCACCCTGAAGTTAGACAAACCTATCCACCTAGTCACAGACCCAGCAGCTGGATATTTTAAGCAGTCATTAAAAGAAGTGAAACATTTAAAAATCAAAACGTGGAGCCTAGGTGCCTACACGTGTAATGCTAGTGACTCAGGAGGCTGTGGGAGGATCACTGTACGCAGAGTTTGAGATCAGGCTGGGCAACATAGCGAGACCTACTTGCCAAAAAATTAACACCTAGGTGTGGTGCCATACACCTGTATCCCCAGCTATTCAGGAGGCTGAGGTGGGAGGATCACTTGAGCTCAAAAGTTCAGGGCTGCAGTGAGCTATGATCATGCCACTGCATTCCAGCCTGGGCAGCAGAGCAAGATGACGCCTCTTTAAAAAAAAAAAAAAAAAAAAGGTGGGAGGGAAGAGAAATGATTGAGAGGCTAGAACCACTCTGAGAGTCCTTCAGTAAGGCAGGGTTTTCCTGAAACTTAGGCCTAATTTTTCTGTTGGTGAAATTGGAGAGCTGCAGTGAGGCTGACTCTGCCCCTCTTTGGTAGGAGTGGGCCTTCTGGAGGTGGTCCTGGAGCCCGACATGTCCTGTGGAGAAGAGGCGGCAACAGCTGTCAGGGAGCTGCAGCTGATCCTTCAAGCCCTGGGGACCAGCCAGGCGAACATGGCAGGTAGAAGCCACAGAAGCAGTATTCTTCTTTCCCTCTCCCTTCCTGCCTTCTAGAACCTCTCTGACTTTAGTTTTATTTTCTGTCTATTATATTGAGGTTGTTTGCAGCCATTTTTTCCCCAGCCTTTTGCAACCCTGTTTTTTTGTTGTTGTTGTTTGTTTGTTTGTTTGTTTAGAATTTTCCTTGGATTCTTTGATGAGCCCCCAACCAAATATAAATATACGACCAACAACATTGCAGAGACACCAAACCCTTAATGAAATAATGGCTTTGAACAGTTCAGTCTTTCTCAGGAAGAAGACACTGTTTATCAAGAACAGTTCTTAGTTAGTGAGTACCGTATAGATAGCACTTCATAATTAGTTGCCTCTTTTCCTTTGGGTCTGTTTCTTTCCTTTTGTAGATTTTTCATCCATATACAGCGGAAGCCAAATTATATTGACTATAAGCCAAGATTATGAAAACTTTACCCTGAGATAAAATCTTAATTAAGTTCAGTGGAAATACAGTGGGAAACTAAAACAAATAAAAGAAACACCTGCACCCTTGGGACCAGACCACACATTATAAGCATTTGTAAATTACATATAAAGATCATAGGTTTTGGTCACACTCAATTTCCTCATGGCTCTAGGTATCCTTTGCCCTGGTCTGGTACTGCTTTGCTCTCCCATAAGTCCGTAAAGGGTAGCCTCTGCTATCATTTTCTCCTGTTCTCTGTTCCTAGGGACTTTTTGAAAACTTCTTCCACCCTCAGAGCACACCCTGATGGAGAGGAGACAAAATATAGGTTCTGAATCTACAATTGTACTTTTCCATAGCACTGTACAATGGTCACAGCAGGTGCCCAGGAAATCCCGTTGATGATGATGTTCATCTCCATGCTGGTTGATAATACTGTTTACCAAGCTTAGCATGTCACATAATGTATTTGCATGTTACAGGGGGACTTCTGGATTTGTAATGCCACATTTGTCACATAGGATGTGTAATAAGCAACAAATTATAACATCAGAGCCCTGGTACATGTTGAATCTGAGGACAGAACTTGCTTATTTGCTATTTTACTTAAAGACTGGAAAAACACAGCCACATGAGTTTGAGTGGCATAAAGGTTAGCTGCCTACAAGTTTCTTTACAGAGACAACACTCTCTTTTAGAGTAAGAGAATTCTCAATTTTAGATTTATCACTCATGCCAGTTTTTTTTTAATCCACAGAACATAAATGAAATGTGGGCAAGTTGGATGGTTATCCATTTATGCTCCAAGTGTTGATTGCTTTAAGAAAGTTTTTATTATCCCATTCTTCTTCAAAATAACTGTGATTCCTACCAACCCTATGGGATCATAAATAGGTCACCTGTTAACTGAGAAATAGTCCCATCTGGGTCCTTGCCAAGAGATAAACGATAGTGGCAAGAACTCATCAGTCAGTGACAGCTGAGAGTGTTCATTAAATCTCACTTGTTGTGACACTTTTTGTTTCTTTTAAATACAAATCCAACAGCTTTTAACACAGCAGCCGAGTAGCTTTGGTTGTTCTAAAGTTCCGTGGGAGCTGAGGTCTGCCTGGAGTCTGCAGGGAGCCAGCTCCTTTGGTGCTGTGAGCATTTTATCAGCCCCCTCTCCTTTGCTCATCCTTCTGTCCCTCCTCCCACCCCTTTAGGACCACTGTGTTGGCCTTGGAGCCTGCAGCTTAGGAGCTGAGGGCCACCCTGAAGAGGTGACACTGAAGACTAGTGGACACCCAGGGTGCTGTGGAATGAAGCCTAATTGCTTCTGGGCTGTGGTTCTGTGAGTTCCTGATAGTTTTGCTGATGAGCATAGACCAGCTTAGCCCAGGTTCCAAGTCATTTCATTCTCAGTGGACAGCCTTTTGCCCCTGTTGTGGAGATGCCCAAAGTATTAATAGTTTGGTAAGTTGAATGTGTACAGAAGTAGACATGCTAAGTGTTTCAACGATAATAATATCTATCAGTTGGAACATTTAATATATGCTCCTCAGTTCACTAGGCATTTTAAAATTAATTTGACATCTCATTTACATTTTATGACATTGCTGAGAAGTAGGTGGTAGTGTTTGCCTGTTGCAGGTGAGGAAACTGAGGCTTAGAGAGGTGGGAGTTATTTGCCTAAGGCTTACAAGAAGTGACAGAGCTGGGACTTGAGCCCAGGTGTGTCTGGGTCCAAGAGCCCTTTCTGTAAGCACAGCTTCGTACCACTTCCCTAGTGGCAGCCATGGCAGTGTCATGACCATCACAGATGCTGACTTAAGAGAGGCAGGATAGCAAGGTGGGGTGCCAAGGGCTGCCAGGTCCTGGATCTGGCTTGGAATCCTGTCCTGCAACTTCTAGCTGTAGGTTCCCAGGCTTTGATTTATCTGAGCCTCACTTTCCACACTTAAAAAACATGTTCCCAAATAATTTTGTACAGAAGGGGAAAAGAAGAAACCAAAGAGGAAAGGAAATCATCAAGGCCATCTGATAGAGCTGATGGAGTTGCAGCAGCTGGCTGAGAGGAATGACTTTGTGGGAGAAAACATAGAATTCCAGTTTGGGCAGGTTAAGTTTGAAAGGCCTTGGGAATAGCTCAGTGGCTTTGTCACCAAAACCAAGAGTTCCCAACCATTTTAGCTCCGGGGACCGGTTTCGTGGAAGACAATTTTTCTGTGGACTTGGGGGGCCGAAGGCGGGGTGGTTTCAGGATGATTCAAGTGCATTACATTGATCGTCTGCTTTATTTCTATTATTACATTGTAATATATAGTGAAATAATTATACAACTCACTGTAATGTAGAATCACTGGGAGCCCTCAGCTGGTTTTCCTGCAACTAGATGGTCCCATCTGGGGGTGATGGGAGACAGTGACAGATTATTAGATGGTAGATTCTTATAAGGAGCACAAAGCCTAGATTCCTCTCATGCACAGTTCACAATAGGGTTCGTGCTCCTATGAGAATCTAATGCCATGGCTGATCTGACAGGAGGCGGAGCTCAGATGGTAATGCAAGGGATAAGGAGCAGCTGTAAATACAGATGAAGCTTGTCTCTCTTGCCCATCACTCACCTCCTGCTGTGCCATCTGGTTCCTAACAGGCCACAGACCAGTACCTGTCCATGGCCCCCGGGTTGGGGACTTCTGACTAAAGCTATATTACAATGAATGTACTAATGTCAAGAAATGTACTAATGAATGTACTAATGTCTAGAAAACTTAGGACAGGGCCTCGAAAACAGCCTGTGCTGGATACATGTTCGGTGCTCTTATTAACAGTAATAAGTAGTAATACTTTTATGGAATTACCACTCATCTAGATGAGTGAGCTTTGTAAAATACGTTCAGTAAAATTTGTTCGCTTTTTTTTTGGTCAAACCTTGTTATTTTCAGTGATCAGAACGAGATAGCTTAACAAACCTTACCCACTGCATCTTTGGGCCCCTGCTGTTTGCAGAAACAGTTTTCCATCTTGATGTTATATTTCTGTTGTGTGAGTGTGTTTTAGAGAAAAATATGAAACTGCACTTTATCACTGTGCTCAGTGGTATAGTTTTTTTTAGTTTTGCTGTTATAAATCTCTACTTCTAGAAGATAGAAATTGAGCCTGATGCCATTCTCATGATGTGTGAATGAAGGCTGTCCCTCAGTGGTGCAGAATGCATTGAAGTAAACCTAACTAGTAAAGCTTTTGTGCACTTGAGGCAATTTAACTTAATTTGTTTAAAAGGTATTTTGTCTTCACTAGATAGCATGTCTTTTGTTAATGTTTGATACTGCATTTGAATCCAGGCTGGTGAACTCTCTTTCAACACTGCAGGATACTAAATGATTCCTCTCAGGTATTTATGGAGTGTAGTCTTCTCTGGGAGAGACCGAAACTCATGCTTTTATTCCTCTTCCAAATTAGAATTCTAAATTGTGAAAGATGCTTTCATTTTTAAAAGCAGGCGAGGTCCAATTCATGGTTCCCTGAGTTCAAAAAAAGTTGTCTCCCAAGTATTGCAATTTGGTTCGATGGAGCTCAGCACACTTTGGAAGTTTTCCTTTGAGCTTAATGGGCCTTTCAGAGGATTCCAACTGCAGATTAGTCCTATTCAGACGGAACTGTAGAACTTACCGGGAACCTAGTGTGAGACAGAAACCAGTCTGCTTACTCATTGCTCAGGAAAATGCCAGCGTTCTGGCATTCGTCGCTCAATAAGATTTCATTTATTGAACAGTCACCAAGTGCCAGACCCAACTCTAGGTCCCACAAAAGGCGTTGTTCCTGCCACATGGATCTTATGTTCAGGAGGGTGACAAAGACATTAACAAATAAACTAATTACAGCAACAAATGCCTCAAGGAAATAAATGGGGTGCCATGCTACAGAGTAACATTGGAAAGTGACAATGTTGTTTTTTAAAGGCCCTCAGAGGAGGTGACATGTATTTAAAACCTGAAGAATGATTCAAGGCCCAGGCAGCATAGAGCCAGGAGACGAGCATTCCAGAAAACAGCTAAGGCCAAGGCCCTGAGGTGAGAAAGAGCTAGGAATGGGCCACGAGGTAAGCGAGGTAGCACAAGGCCACTGTGCCAGAAGCAGAAGGAGCAGTGGCATCAGGTGACACTGTAAAGGCAGGCAAGGGGTAGATCAGAGAGAATGGCAAGAAGTTTAGCTCTCAACCCAGGTGCAGTGGTAATCACTGAAAGGCTTTTAAGCAAGGGAAAGACATAGTCTGATGAATGTTTTAGAAAACCGCTCTGGCTGCTCTGTGGGAAGTGGATTTCCGATGGGTAAGAGTAGAAGCCAGGAGACCAGTTAAGAAGCTTTTGCAATAGTTCAGATGGAAGATGATGCTGTTTTGGACAGCACTGGTGGCAGTGAAGATGAAGGAGAGACAAGAGAGACATACAAGATGGTTTTTAGAAATAGGCTGGTGTGGAAGGTAAGAGACAGGGAGGAAGCACAAATGCCTTTAGGGAAGTTGGAGGAGCTAGATGGTGGTGCTGTTTACCGAAATTGGAAGATGAGATCGAGAATGTCTTTGTGCAGGGGCAAATCAGGATTTCCTTTTGGAAATTGAGATGCCTGTGAAACCTCCAAGTGGAGGTGTCAAATAGATACCAGAGCTGTAAGTGTGGAGCTCAGAGAGGTCTGGGCTGGAGAGAGAAATGTAGGCATCCTCAGCATGAGGTGGTATTTAAAACTGTATCCGTCCACCCAGAGAGTCTAGATAAGGAAGGGGATCCTGGGTTTGGATGGGAAGGAAGCCATCAGCAAATGAAATGGAAACAAAGCATCCAGAGGACGAAAACTGGGAGCAAAAGGCAGCAGAAGCTGAGCTAGGAAGATAATTCACGAAGGAAGGATTGGTTGGCTTGTCAAATGTTGCTGAGGCGTCCAGTAGGTGAAGACAAGCGTGTCCTGTGTCCGCTGGATATGGCAGCCAGGAGACTGTTGGTGACTCTGACAAGGGCATTTTTAGAGAGATGGGGAGAGAAGCTAGGCTGACGTGGGTTAAGGAATAAATGGGAAGTGAAACAGCGGAGACAGTGTATGCAACAAACAAACAAAACTTGTTTAAGAGGCTTTGCTGAAAAGGAAACCAGAGAAACGATAGATGAGTGACTGATAGAGTGAGAACTGGGTTCAAGGGAATAGGTTTTGGGGTTCTTGTTTGTTCATTTAATAAGAAATACTATTGCATATGTATACGTCAGATGGAATGCTGAGAAAGAGTAATGACTGGTATGGGAGAGAAGGGATAACTGAGAGTGATGCCCTTGAGAAGGCAAGTGGGAGTTAAAATCTGGCTCAGTCCTCAGGGGCCTTTCATTCTGGTCTTAAAGATGGAGGCCAGTGCACAGAAGACTATGGTCATGTACTGAATTCTGTAGTATAGATTATAAGTATTCTGATAGTTTAGGGGACCCACCAGTGCAGGCCAGCTTGCTGAGGAGGGCTTCTAGGAGGAGGCGGTAACACTCAAGTGAGTCCTTGAGGGATGAGGAGAGGGACAGTAGCTCTGATAAAGAGAGCGTGCTGGTGGAGCAGACAGGGTTGTGTATACAGAAGGCTGCCCTGATTGGAGGGGAGCTTTCTCCCGGAATGAGCAGTGGGAACATACAGGTTATGTCGACTGAATCCAGATGACAGCTGTGGAGCACCAAGCAGAGGAGCCCAGATAATCCGGTAGGAGCTGTCTGTGCTGTTGAGTAAACAGCAGGAATGATGAACCCAGACTATATATAGCAGGATGAAAGTTACAGCCACATTGCCAGTCCCTGGACAAGGAGGGAACTGTGTTGAGTCAGGATGTGCTCTTATCACCTAAGCCTAAAGTTCGGAGACCTCGGGCGAGGCACCTTGGGCAAGGGTGGTAGCCATGGAAATGGAAAGGCCGTGACAGACATTAGTGATATTTGACAGCTTCCAAACTGGTAGGGGCTAGTTGCCAGTTTGGATATAAGGGGCAAAGAAAACAGAGAAGTAGAAGATGACCTCAGGGTTCCTAGACCGAGAGTCTCACGGTGTCAGGAATAGTTGGGACTTCCTGAGATGCAGATACACACAACTTGTCAAAAAAGGGATTAAAAATCAGGGGTTACAGAATTCTTGTAAAAGTGTTGAGAAGTCAGTGCTGGAGAGAGTAATGTCTGAGCTAAGAGACATCTTTTCCCTGTCAGCACGGGTGGCAATTGGGCGAGCCCTTCCCTTTCTCTGAGGGTGAGTGGTGAGGTGTCAGCCACGGGCCGCCGGCGACCTCCAGCTTGGTATAGGCCCCACAGCCCAGCACTGGGAGAATGACAGAGAACCAGTTCCAAGGGTCTCCTTTTCTTGACATGGAATTCATTTTGACTACTTTATTATTTTAATATGCTTTTGCTTTGGAATCTTGGGAAATGAATTTATTCAGCCCATCAAGACACTCAGGTTTGGCAGATTACTTTTAATTTAAAAACGTAACTAGGAAAATAAAATCCAGCATTTTGTCTTCTCACTCTGTTCTCTTTTAAATGTTGTAAATGAAACGAGGAACAGAGAATCTGAGAGCTTTACTTTGTAGGGTGCCAAATGTGATTCTTTCTTACCTACATCTATTTGTCTTGGGATTTTTCTCTCTCTCTCTTCCTCAAGAGCCTTTTAGTCCTCCCCACACATTGCCTGCTTCTTTAGGGCTTGTTGCTCCTAATCTGAGGGGCCTCCAGGGTCAAAGAAGGTCCTCCCAGCATGGGGTCAGCACCTCTCTGAGTCCCACCACAGACTCCTGACTTCGTAACAGTGCTGTCTGTCTGCTGTAGCAAATCGTTAGAGCAGTCAGGAAGGATTCGGAGTCATGTTTGTGGAAGGAAGAGATTATTACAGTACCTGGAGGAAGGAGGAGGGGGGAAAGCCCAGATTTCAGTTCTTGCCCTTGAGCTGCAAATTCTCAAGGACTCTCCTCTAAATCTCCTGGAATCACTGTTAGAAATCCACATTCCAATGGAGAGCAGTGTAGGGTTATCAGATATATGAGGCCTTTCCTCCAACTCAGCTCTGACACTTTGAAAAAAAACTTCAGTATAAAACTGCAGAGTCAATCTCCATTTTAATAGTTTTGTTTTTCTTGTTTAGCACAAAAAAATTAGATCTCTCCAGCTGGCGAATCTAAAACTTCTCTTCCATATGTGCATAAGCACACACATCTGTATATGTTCACATGTACAGGCACACACTGTAGATGCCTCAGGACTGTAACCCCTCTCGAGTGGCCAGAAGTACCAGCCACGACCTACTTCAGAACCAACCGTGCCTTCTCTGAAGTTAGGCTGCTATAACTAAACAGCAGGTAGAGTTAGATGCTGCTTCCTTTGACACTCCCTGCCTTTAAAAGACTATGTCACCTCAAAGAATTTCTAAGGAGTTGTTTTCTTCTCTCCTTCCAGAGGGCCAGTTGAGAGTGGATGCCAATATATCCGTGCATCACCCTGGGGAGCCTTTGGGCGTTCGAACGGAAGTGAAGAATCTCAACAGCATCAGGTTCCTGGCCAAAGCCATAGGTGAATGCCAGCTGCCGCTCCTAGTGTCCTTCTTCCTATTGTTTCTCTCTTGCTGGGTAACAAACAACCCAGAAACTTAGTGGCTTACACAAGAACTACTTTCGTTTTCACTGGTCCGTTCTGTTGGTCCTGTGTCGGCTCACTCATGTGGCTGTGGGAAACCGGCAGGCCAGCTGAAGCAGAGGGTCCATGGTAGTCGCTCTCATACCTTGGGGCCTTGATGCTGATGTCTGCTGGGCTTCTCCATCCATGTGATCTTTCTTCATGCACTTGCCTAGCCTTGGCTTTCTTATGAGGCAGTGGGAGCATTTCGGGAGGATGAAGGCAGAAGTGAGTCCTAAGCTGTAGACCTCACACAGTGTCACTTCCAATGTGTTCTATTCAAAGTAGATTGAGGCCAGGCACAGTGCCTCATGCCTATAATCCCAGCACTTTGGGAAGCCAAGGTGGGTGGATTGCTTGAGGCCACGAGTTCAAGACCACCTGGGCAACATAGCAAGACCCCATCTCTATAAAAAATTAAAAATTTAGCCAGGCATGGTGGTGAGCACCTGTAGTCCCAGCTACTCAAGAGGCTGAGGTGGGAGGATCACTTGAGTCCAGGAGTTTGAGGTTGTAGTGAGCTGTGATCACGCCACTGCACTCTAGCCTGGGCGACAGAGCAAGACTCTGTCTCTAAGAAAAAAAAAGAAAATTACATTGAATTCAAAGCAGACTTGAGGGGAAATTAGACTCCACCTCTTTATCAGAGGATCCACAAAAGATCATGGCTGTGTTTTACCATTTACCACCTTCTTTCTGACCAGCTTGAGATTTACTAGGTCATGGTTGTTCATTTTAGATTGACCATGGCTTGACCTAAATGGTCATTATGTTTTCCTGCTTTTTATATTCTTTTTAACTGCTAGATTATGTGCCCATGCAGTGAAGTAGTAGTCTTTCTGGAGCACACACTGTGGGTATTTCTTTGATGATAAATGTATAATAACTAAAATAGTTTAGCAAGATAAATATCTGAGCAGTCCCGTAGATATAGGTAACTGTGAATTCAAGGGGAGGACCTCAGAGGACTAAAAAGATTTTTTAAAACCGAAGCTATCTAGAGAGGAAGAGGGAGGGATGGAGTTTGAAGTGCACCCCTTCAAGGGTGCACAGAGACCAAGACAACTGAATCTGTTGCCAAAGTTTTGCTGTAGCCAAAATGTTTAATAGAGCCCTGGTCTTGTCAAGAAAAGTATTAGAAACAGTACAGAAAAGATGATTCTAGTCTTGTATTAGACCTTATTGTCCTGAACCTGAAGTGAATCAACCACTCAATGAAGACAGTCTTCAGGAAAAAGGCATTAAAGTGGTCAAACGGATAGCTTATGGGAGCAGAGAGGGAAGGGATAGGCTCCTATATGAAGGCAGACTAAAGATGGTGAACTGTTCTGCATCCGGAAAGGGACATAGCCCATGTTCCCAAAGCCATGAAAGGTTTGAGTCAGGGAAAACCCTTATAAGCCAAGTTGGTGAGGAGGAAGCCTGGAACAAATGGAGGAAGTTCCACCTCCCCCTGTAGGTAGTGGGCTGGGACCCGTTATTTTAAGAGGTGGTGATGGTAACCTTAAAAAAGCAGCCCAATTTTAGGTAGAGTCATCCATGAGTTCTGAAGGAGACCCCTAACCTTCTCCTGTCCTATGAAGAACTCTTTGGAGGACCAGTCTGAGGGAGAAATCTCCCTGTGGTCTGACTCAGAGTGGAAGAGCCAAAGCTTTACTATGGGTTCAATTCTCCAAGCCTGTGATTTTTCACCACCTTTTTCTCCCTATGTCAGGCCATTTAGCCATCATCTCGTGTCAACCAAAGAGATCACTGGAGTTGGGGAGAGATGGGGAGCAAAAACTGACACGTTTTGCTGTTGCTGCCTCTTAGCAACTCAGATAAAAGGGTTTAGGTTTGGGCAAGGGAAGGTAGTACATGGTGGGAGGGAGAGTTAAGGTGGAGGCTCAAGATATTTTCATAAAGCAGTTTAGCAGGCTGGGCTTAGTGGCTCATGCCTGTAATCCCAGCACTTTGGGAGGCCAAGGCAGGAGGATTGTTTGAGACCAAGAGATTGAGACTAGGCTGGAAAACATAGTGAGACCCCCATCTCTCAAAAAAAGAAAAAAAAAGCAGCAACAGCTTAGCAATTGTGGTTGTGTTTTGATTCCCACAGCCTCCCTCATTTGATGCTGAGGCATGGGTCCTTGGATCTTAATCATTTGGGGTCGTGGGTCCCTCTGAAAAGATAATGTAAATGCTGGACCCTCTCTCCAAAACCTGCACATATGCACACAACCCACACTTTGTGTATAATTTTGGGGATACCAGAGCCTTTGAAGCCCATCCCAGACTCCCAGGGTAAGGGCCCTGGGTAGGCAGCAATCTCAGACCGAGATATTGGGCCCAGCCCCACTTCTGCCAAGTCATGTCATCTGCATGGGGTTGCTTAATCTCTCTGAACCTGAATTGTCTCAACACGGAGTGAGCCTGCCTTCCTAAGGCCCTTTCCAACACCAATATTCTACGATGGCAGTGAGAAGGAAATATAGTGTGTAAGGGAAGGATTATTATAAACAATCTTCTTGATTTTTTTTTTTTTTAACTTAGAGATTGAGAAAGGTTGTTTCTAATTATTGCTTGACTGGATGAAAGGTATAATCAAAATATGATGCTAAATTAGTGTGTTTTTCCTAGACTATGAAATTCAGAGGCAAATCAATGAACTTGAGAATGGAGGTGAAATTCTGAACGAAACACGCTCATTTCATCACAAGCTGGGGTGAGTTCGCATTGCTGAGCGTCCTGACCACAGCCGGGGGTGGTGCGAGAGGGCTGGGCTCAGCCACTGACCAGCCATGTGACCTTGAAGGAGGCACGTAGCGTCTCCACTTTTAGGTTTCCTCATTAGTACAATTAGAAAAGTACTGTACCCTTCATGCCTGTAATCCCAGCACTTTGGGAGGCAATGGGCAGATCACGAGGTCGGGAGATCGAGACCATCCTGGCTAACATGGTGAAATCCTGTCTCTACTAAAAAAATACAAAAAATTAGCCGGGCATGGTGATGGGTGCCTGTAGTCCCAGCTATTTGGGAGGCTGAGGCAGGAGAATGGCATGAACCCGGGAGGCGGCGCTTGCAGTGAGCTGAGATGTTGCCACCGCACTCCAGCCTGGGCGACAGAGCGAGACTCCTCTCAAAAACAAAAAAGAAGGCCAGGCGCCGTGGCTCACGCCTGTAATCCCAGCACTTTGGGAGGCCGAGGCGGGCGGATCACGAGGTCAGGAGATCGAGACCATCCTGGCTAACATGGTGAAACCCCGTCTCTACTAAAAATACAAAAAATTAGCCAGGTGTGGTGGCGGGCGCCTGTAGTGCCAGCTACTCGGGAGGCTGAGGCAGGAGAATGGCGTAAACCCAGGAGGCGGAGCTTGCAGTGAGCCGAGATAGTGCCACTGCACTCCAGCCTGGGCGACAGAGCAAGACTCCGTCTCAAAGAAAAAAAAAAAAGAAAAGTACTGTACCCTATAGGGATATAATATACCCTAGGGCTGCCAGGAGGCTTGAAGTGACCCAGACTGTGCCCAAGGGCTTCGTTTTAGGCCCTTTCCTTCTCTGCTTCCAGCTTACCTGCCTTGTGGCAAGAATTTTTACTTCCTTAATCTATCAGATCTTTCCCAGCTGAAGCTAGAGGCGGAACAGAGTGAAGACCTGGTTGTAGAGATGCCTTATTTTTGTTTAGATAACTTGGGCCTTAATTTTCTCACTCAGAATTTTGAGCATTGTATACTTAAAGCAGAATACTGAAAAAAGCTCAAAAGCCGAGTTTGAGCTGGCTGAAAGATGGCTACATTGAAGTCATTTCCTTTAAAAAAAAAAAAAAAAGATCATTCTGTACATTTCGCTTTCTTTATGATTGTTTTTTGAATGTATTCATTTAAGGTTTCCCCATGGAAGTCCACAGAGTTTGATTTTGCCTGTGCCCCTTATTGGTAGGGGAGCCCTTCCCCACATATAGGCTGGCCAGTGCTGCTTTCAATGTTTAATGTTTTCTTATTTAACTATTGCAGGTGCACCATGTCAATGAGAGACAAAGAAGGAAAACAGGACTACAGGTGGTTACTCCTTATGGCAAAATACCGCTATATATCGGGGGCTGGGGCGTATTTCAAGTTCATTTAAAGTTCAACATAATGATCCTGAACAATTTTTAGAAACCACTTTTTGTCATTGTTGTAACATGATGGGACATCTAGACTTCCTCTTTGATATGCATACCGAGAGAAGTACTAGTTTCTTGATTTGGTAGCCTCAGATCTGGTGCCTTGTTTGACTGATTCAGCTTTTGGAAGAACTTGTTCATCCACTGCTGTGTCAAAGTTGTCATAGTTGAGCTAGGAGGATGGCTGTAGAGGTTGGGGCCTAGGCTGTTCTTATTCTAATGTTCAGTAACTGATTCAGTAATACGCTGAATGAAGCTCCTTGAGAAGAAATGAGAAAAGAGATGTTGATAGCGTATGTTGATGGTAGTTCCCTTGAACCTCATATGATGCTATTTCATGATAAATTAAGTTGAACTACTTAATATGAGACCCACAAATAAAGCAAATGCTAAGAACAGGCATAAGATAATTGAAACTTTTATTTTTTTCTCATTGAGTTTAGCAGGTTGAAGTTTTAAGCAACAAAGTTGTGAGATCGGCCACCTTTCCTTTGTGAAGGGCAGAAAGATGCAAATGTAGCTATTATCAATGAGGATCAAAATTTGCATGTTTATGTGGGAAAGAAGAAACTCATAAACGCTTAGCATGAACCTCACCCCAAGAACTCCCATTGTCTGTCTGCTAGAGTCAAAATTATTTTAATTAACCGTGAACTTCCCGGGTGAGTCTGTTCTCCCAGGGGCCCACTTTATTCCTGAGTGTTGCTCCCTCCCCTGTTGGTGCGCCTTCCCCTGAGTGTGGAGTCCGGCTTTCCATCCGCCCGTGGCTTCAGCATGATGCCTCAAATGATAGTGAGCTGCAGGAAGCTTCCCCTGGGTTTCCTCTTGCCCTCAGAAGCCAGACTAACTCACAGAAGAGATCTGGCAGTGAGCCGATGGGTAGCGTGTGCTTCGAATCCATTCCCTCCAAACCACCACTTCTTCTGAATACCCTGCTTTTTCTACATAAGCCCTTTGACAAAAATGGGCAGAGAGTAACCATTAGTGCTGGACGAGAACAGAGGGAGGGACATCTTGTTTCATAAGATTACATGCAATGGTGCAGCTTTGACACTTAAAAAAATTAATTCCCTTCATTTTTTAGAGCAGTTTTAGCTTTACAATAAAATTGAATGGAACGTCCAGAGTTCTCACATACTCCCGCTCCCCACTCTCCCCCCAGAGTCTCCTGTTAATGTGCCACAGTAATGCAAGATGCTCATTTGTTACAATGATGAAACCAATCACACTTCCTTATTGGCTAGAGTCCATGGTTTACACTAGGGTTCCTTGTTTGTGTGGTACATTGCGTGGGTTTTGACATATGCACAATGACATGCATCCACCATCGTGTCACACTGAGAAGTTCCACTGCATGCCCTGTGCTCCACCTCTTCATCCCTCCCTCCCTCTTCTCCAGCTGTCACATTTTGTTTAGGCAAAATCTATTCATTTCTTCTATTTCTCAAGGGTAAATTTTTTTCCTTTCATTTTTTATTTATGTAAATGCTGCTAAAAATAGTAGAAATGTTGAAATGGGGGGAAAGTCATCTTTCCTTCTAATAAGCAAATTGCTCTCATTTGGTCCTGTTTTTTCCAGCCTGTGTCTTTATGAAGACATAGTCCTGCATACATATGGATGTTTCTGTCAACAGTGGATTACGTATGCTACAGGAGTCCCATAAGATTGTCATATGGCATTTTTACCGTCCCTTTCTTGTTCAGACATGCTTAGATACACCAATGCCATTGTGTTACAGTTGCCTGCAGGATTTGGGACACTCAGTAGCCTTGGAGCAGTAGGCTACTCCACATGGCCTATCTGTAGTAGGCTGTACCATCCAGGCTCATGTGAGTGCACTCTGTGATGGTCCCATGACGAAATCACCTAACGACACATCTCTACGAACATATCGCCGTTGTGAAGCAACACACAACTGTGGGCACAATTCCTGATGAACAGTGGAATGAATGATCCACAGTTACAAATCCCAGTGTGACTTCAAGCCTGTGTTGTGCTTCTTTCACTCATCTTATTTATAAGCATGGAGAGGGGTGGGTTTGGAGGTTTTGACACTTATGCAATGGCTTCCCTGGGAAACAGAATTGACGTAATAGGACATTTGAAAATATTTGCAAGTAACATGGCATCTAAACACAGAAACATTCATATTACTGGGGGAGGTTTTGTTTTCTCATTAATCCAAGTACTCCAGATTCAGGTCCCGTCTCCTCTGTCTGCCCAGGTTCATGCCAGAACCCAACCTGCCTCCCCTGGTGCTCTACGACGCCACATCTCTGCCCGCAGGTGCAGACCCACAGCAAGTGATCAATATTGACCAGATTCGGGAGACACTCCCGGAGCTCCCCAGTGTGACCCGAGAGAAGCTTGTCCAACAGTATGGGATGCTGCTGGAACACAGCTTCACTTTGCTGGTAGGTATCGATCGGATGCCAAGAGGATCCCGGCTCAGCAGATGGGGCAGTGCCCTTCAGAGGCCCCGCCACACACAGGCTGCCATGGGCTCTGAGTGGGGTGGGCGTGTTTCTTGGGTTGTACTATAGATGCTACTGAGAAGAATAAGATGTAGTAACCTTTGCTCACTACCCTTTATGGTAAATGCTCTTCATACAACCAGAAGATGAAACGCAATCTTGTGTTAGTCATTTCTTCTGTGTAGAAATGAACGCCTGACCACAGCAGCTGTGGAGACTTCTTGAAGACTGTCCAAATGTTATGGATGAGTTTTTCCCATGTGTCTGAAGGACAAAAGAAAATCAATGTATAGGGTTTCTGGATGTCTAGCGGTATCGAGCCATGACAGGGCTGGCAGGATGTTGCGTTCTCAAAAGCCAGCCAGTTGTTTTGCCAATTTCAGAAGAAAACATTTATTCCACATGAAACACTAAAAACTCTGACTAAAAGTATCAGTCCTTTGAGGCTTGAGGCTGCGTCTGACGGGGCCGGTAGAGAACCTGACACTGTCAAGATCTGCTTAGGGATTTTCCATCCTTTTCAAAGCTGCCTGGGGCTTTGTGGTTTTCTTTGTCATGGCAGCATTAAAGTGATGCGGCATCAGTGAGGGTAGTATTTTGTCACCGTTGTCGTCGTCTGTTAGGAAGGAAGTGGGAAGTTTTGTTGCTGCATCTTCCAGGGAATCAGTATATGCCACACCTATCTTTTGGGGCAGCAGGATCTGCGGAAACTGGATTTTTGCTTTTTGGATGGCCAGTCATAACTACATTGGGATGCTGGAGTATATATATTTATATGTCTATTTATACACTTCCAATAACAACATCCTAGCATTTACAGTACAACGTAGGCAGTCAGATGCATGTTGAATGAGTGATTCTCTCTTCATCATCCATAAATCAGCTACTTGGAGAAGCAGAGTTGGTCACTGCCTCCTGTGGGCTGCTGTTTGATCTTCTTCTTACCTCTCTGGCAATTATATCACTGTCTTTTAAGTACTTATTAGTGTATGTTGTTCAGCATCTTGAAGGCAAGGACTGCTTCATCCTCTGTGCTACTCAGCACAGATGAGCACAACATCAGCAGTGCTTAATGCCACACTTTGACTATGACTGAGTCAGTCAGCATTCCGTACAGAGCACCTCTTAACCCAAAGCCTCTTACAATTCATGTATTTTTCCTAGGTTGACGTAACAAAACTACGTTTTAGTCTTATACATCTTCCCCACCATCTTGACCACTTGAGTTTCCAACCTACTTGAAATAAACACTGAATTCTAGCCCTACCTTTTATTACTATTTGTGAAATTACATAGGAGATGGGAGGAAGGGACCAAGGCTACTCAGCCTCGAAGATTTAAGTTACCTCCCTCCACTCAGCAGGAGCCCAAGCCAACCCTTTGAGGTAGTGTATGATGAACCAAGAAATGGCCAAGGTTTCCTTGCTCAAAATGTGATTTCATAGAGAAATTGACTATATATAACATTAATTTGTGTGTGTGTGTGTGTGTATTAGCTGTCTCCATAAGAGAGTGAAAGAAACTTTCAGAATCTCAAGAATACAGCTGTTTCTGTTCAAGGCACTGTATGAGAATCTGTGCCCCCTTCAGAGGGCATTTCCATAGGATTGTCACTCTCGGCCGTTCATGAGCGGTGATGGGGACAGTGCCTGCCTTACCTCACTGAGCATAAGCTCCATGAGGGCAGGGACATTTTTGTATTTGTGTTTGTGTCCTTGTCTTTATTCATGGGTCCTGCATGGTGCCCAAACCTAGTAGGCCTTAAATAGGTGTTTGCTAGGGGCTGGCAGATGAGTGAGTCTATATTTTAATAGTTTAAAGGCCTGTATAGGGAAACCTACCTTCAGTTATTTAATTCAGCACTTTTTTTTTTTTTTTTTTGAGACAGGGTCTCAACTCTCGCCCAGGCTGGAGTGCAGTGGCACGATCTCAGCTCACTGCAACCTCTGCCTCCCAGATTCAAGACATCCTCCCACCTCAGCCTCCCGAGTAGCTGGGATTCCAGGCATGCGCCACCACTCCTGGCTAATTTTTTGTATTTTTAGTAGAGACAGGGTTTTGCCATGTTGGCCAGGCTGGTTGAACTCCTGGCCTCAAGTGATCCGCCTGCCTCTGCCTCCCAAAGTGCTGGGATTACAGGTGTGAGCCACCACACCCGGCCTGGTTCAGCACTTTTATTAGCATCTTCTGTATAGCACGTACTGAGACAGAAACAAAAGATTTTTTTAAAGATTTTTTTTGCCTTCCAAGAATTTATACATACACATGCACACACACACACACCCCACTACAATAACCAGCCCACAGGACAGATTACACTAGATAGATGGATAATGTAGGATCAGGGCCCACAAGAGGTAGTGGTTAACTTGATTGGAAAAAAAAAAAGAAGGGTGAATTTTTTGGCCATTTTTGAAAGGACTTTTTTTGATACCTTAAAAACGTCCTTATTTTTATGGCTTGCAGATAATGTATTGGGTGATTAGTATTTTTCCTTTAAAGGGCTAGTACTTGAAATTTCCAAGATGAGTGAGATTAGAATGAGATAGGAATGGAAAGAGAATGATTCAGACAAATTGTTTTCCTGAAATTAGGCAGCCTGAGCCCTTTATGACTTTGTAATCATTGGAAGCGGCGTTACTCATAACATACCCGAAAATGATATGTTCGTGTTTTTTCCTGCCTTCATCAGAAACACAACAGATTGCTGAGAAGGGCAGATGCACAAATCTAATGAACCATCTTTCAATTTAAAGAGCGCCCAGGAGTATTCATTAAATAAATAGCAGTGGTGGAGGTGTGCTTTGCAGAGCTGCAACTCTGTGCTCTCTGTCTTTGGATTGCTTATTAAATTAAGCATTATGCACATGCCCACCCCCATGCACACCTCACCCACAAATGACGAAAAACTTCAGAATTTAACTCTAGTCTTTAATTTATCTTGTCATTTTATCGTGCAGTGAGCACCAAATTATTCTTAATATTTACAGAACTCTAATGTTATGCTTTAGCGTCTACCACACACAATACCTGACACGGTAGGTACTCCATGACTGGGTGGACAGACGGGTGAGTGAATGGGATGTTATCACAGCACACAGGAAGATCCTGGGAGAAGCAGTGTTCCTGATAAAAGCATCCCTGTTTCCAAAGGTCAGATACATAAACCATGCTTTGACAACCCAGAGAATCATGGGGTATCTTGCCCCACCTAAAACTTCAACCTATTTAGCTAACCTTGCTTCTCTAGCTTATGTCAAGTTGCCTTCATTTCATATATATATATATATATATATATATATATATATATATATACACACACACACACACATATATATGAAATCGATTTTTGTTTGTTTGTTTGTTTTTGAGACGGAGTCTCGCTTTGTGGCCTAGGCTGGAGTGCAGTGGCGCCATCTTGGCTCACTGCAAGCTCCGCCTCCCAGGTTCACGCCATTCTCCTGCCTCAGCCTCCCAAGTAGCTGGGACAGAAATCAAGGCAACTTGATTTTGTGCATGTGTATGTATATAAATATATATATCAAGGCAACTTGACATAAGCTAGAGAAGCAATGTTAGCTTTTCTATATATATAAATTTATATATATTATAAAACATATACGGAAATATTTATGATTATAAAATTTATTATAATATAAATGTAGGGGCTACAAGTGCAATTTTGATACATAGATATATTGCATAGTGTAAGTCTGGACTTACAGTGTAACCGTCACCCAAATCATATACATCATACCCAGTAAGTATTTGTCATCCCTTATTCCCCTCCCACCCTTCCAAGTCTTCAGTGTCTGTTATTCCACACTCTGTGTCCCTGGGTACACAGAGTGTACCCACTTATAAGTGAGAACATGTGGTATTTGATTTTCTGTTTCAGTGTCGTTTCACTTAAAATAGTGGCCTCCTGTTCATCCATGTTGCAAAAGACATGATTCCATTCTTTTTTATAGCTGAATAATATTTCATTGTGTAGATATACCACAACTTCTTTATCCAGTCATCCATTGATGGACGCTTACGCTGATTCCATATCTTTACTATTGTGAATAGTGCTGTGATAAACATTCGCTTGCAGGTATCTTTTTTAAATGATGATTTATTTTCCTTTGGCTAGTTGCCCAGTAGTGGGATTGCTGGATTGAATGGTAGCTCTATTTGTAGTTCTTTAGGGAACCTCCATACTGTTTTCCATAGAGGCTGTACTAATTTACATTCCCAGCAACAGTATATAAGCATTTCCTTTTCTCTACATGACCTCATTTGTAAAGATTAAAGAATAGAAATGTTGAAGCTGAAATCCAGGCATTAGGATTCTGAAAAAACGAGAGATTCTAATAGCATAACAAGTTTTTCTCTGAGTCAGTATATCAGTAGTAGTTATTATAATACAATGATCAGAATTATATGCATGTGCATTTTTCTTAGCAAAATCCTCCCTGGCTGATTTCTGTGGGGCATCTCTTCCTAAACTCTGTGCTTTACTTCACTCAGAGAACACAAAAGCATTGTAGCCATTTGCCTAAGCAGCCTAGAAAAGGCTGCCTGCTTCTAGCATGCTCTGCAATTCACATTGTACGACTTTTTAATCTATCCTTACAGCAACCCTCTGAGGCAGGGACTGCTGCTCTCCCCATTTACAGGTAGGGAAATGTAACCTCTTTGGTTCAATAACTTCCCCAAGCCCGTATTGGAGCCACATTCAGATCATGCTGACTTCAAGGCCTACGCTCTTCATTCCTAAGCTCTGCTGCCCGCTTGCATATATAATGTGCTATAATGTCAAACAGAAATAGTGTTTTTAGTTAATTGATGTTTGGAGTCACTTGTGTTTCATTAGTGGAGAAAACAGAGTTTGTACTTTTGTTAACATTCATGCCACTAGCGTTTTGTACAGCACAATCACAGAACATAGATTCATTTAAAAGTTTTTACCACTCCTATTGATTTTTAAGATGCCAGACTGCCCTATAAATAAACATAAAGTGCCATCCACTAAATTTAGTGAAAATCAGTCAACGCCAATGAAAAGCAGAAATCATGTCTATTTTCCAAGTGAAAAAATAAAGTTAGAAGAAAAGTAATATAAGCCGTCCTCTGCAGCTTTATTTATTTTGTTTCTTAAACCTTCTGCTGGAAGCACTTGAGTCCTGTCTGAATCGTTGGGAAGTTCCAGGCACGGTGACTCACACCTGTAATCCCAGCACTCTGGGAGGCCAAGGTGAGAGGATCACTTTTGGCCAGGATTTCGAGACCAGTTTGGGCAACAACGTAGTGTAGTGAGACCCCTATCTCTACAAAAAAAAAAAAAAAAAAAAAATTTAAATTAGCCGGGCATGGTGGCACACACCTGTAGTCCCAGCTACTCGGGAGGCTGAGGTGGGAGAATTGCTCGAGCCCAGAAATTCAAGGCTGTAGCGAGCTGTGGTCGTGCCACTGCAGTCCAGCCTGGGCAACAGAGAGAGACCCTGTCTCTAAACTTTAAAAAAAGAAAAAAGAATCTGAGGAGTGTCTCCACGTAGGGCAGAGTTTGTGGCATTTGTGGTTTGATTTTGCCTGGTGCCTCCTGTCCTTCAAGACTGGCCTTTAATAGGAACTTGGTAGGAAGCAGAGATGAGCTTGCAGGGCCCTGGCTGTGCATGCAGTCAGTAGACGGGAAGATCTGAAGCTCGTCGGTGGGAGAGTTCAGCGGAGGAAGCCAGAGCATCCCGAGTTGAGTGTTTCTTGAGGGCCTGCCACCCTGACTGCAGTGCCGGATGCTAGTTCCAAATGTCAGTGCTTCAGCTTTTCCATGTCTCTCCAGAGCAGCCCTACAGGGAATTGAGTTAAAACACTGACTTGGGGACAGACACCCTTGATTCCACATCTGACCTCTGACACTTTGGAGCTGGGAGGGCTCTGCAGGGTAACCAGAGCTGTTTCCCTCCCCAGCTGAAAGAGGGGGCGATGACTCACTTACCCCAAAGATGACAGACACAGCCAAATCTTCATTGAATCTAAAGCCTAAATATAGCCAAGCAGACTCCCAAGAATATGTCGCCAGGGAGAAGAGTGTTGACACCAAGCAACGCGCTAAAACAGTTCATTGAGAGCCACGAAAGGCAGGGCTGTAGAAACATCCCACATGGCCCCAGTGAGACTGTAGGAAGATGTACTTGCGAGCCCTCGAATCAGCACCCTGGGCTGCCATATGCTTGTCTTTGTCTTTATAGTCAGCCTCAGGATCTGTCATCTTACTTACACAACTTCATTCTCTCCAGCTGGTTCTTCCACTTTTAAAATCATAATCCTTTGTTTCTGACATCATGGAAAAGGTTAAGGTGTCTCCAAGGGACAAAGAAACAGAAAAGATATCATGACTACAGCTGGTTGTTAAGTGGATTGTTTTTCAAGAATTTTCCTTTAAGTGGCTAGTAAGCCAGAAATGACCAGGTTTGCTTTCTGGATGAATTGCCTATAAAATAATTTCCCATGATAAATATCTATATATCCCATATGTAATACTACTTTAAAGCTAATAGTATCTACAAACATATTGACTGGTTTTAGACTGGCCAGACTTACTGAGGTGCAAAGTACTCACCTTCTAACTACTGTTGAAGGAAAATCTATTTGGTCAACATCATCAGGCACCATATTTCAGCTCCGTGCAATTTTCAAAATTGATTTTATTCTTCATTTTATAAAAATTGCATCCAGTGCTTGCTAGCCTAAGGGTGCTTTTACAGTGACTCTATACACTAGAAAAATAACCAATGTTTTGTTCTGGTAAAGTTGAATAAAAAGATGTATCATCTAACTCTACTTCTGTAAAACCAGCAGTTCATTTCTTTTGGATGCAAGGGATGAGGAGCTTTCAGAGGGGAAGATGCTCTGGGCTCAGAGCCGTGTGACACCTCAGGATCCTGCCCAGTAGGGAGACAGTGCAGGGAGGAGTAAAGTCCTGAGTGCCAGCCTTGGGGACCCACAGGGATTCTGTCCCCAACCTATCCCAAAGCCCAATTTCCTGTGGAATAATTTCCTTTTCAGGATAAATATATATTATTTCAGGTTTCAGGCAGATCTTGGAGGAAAGGAGCAAATCCTCACTGCCTCTGTTGCTGTTTTTAAGCTGCAGCCAGAAAGCTCCTATTGAGCAACTCAGGTTCCTTCCATGTGGGGACGATTGGACAGTGGTGGTGTTAGGTGCGTTGGAACGTGACTACAATTGGAATTGATTTCTTGACAACACACTGCCTGTGTCCCATTCGTGCAGATAGTCTTTTAGCAGTGCCGGTCTGCTGTCAGCTTGTAGTACCTGAATTATTTGGATTTTGATTATTCGGGGGAAGTTGTTATTCCCAAACTGGTTTCCTTCAGCATCTCCCCTGGAGTTACTGCATCTCAGAGGATGTAAAGTCATTTTCACATTAGTTTGAATATCCCCTAAATGGAACTGGTGCCTGAGTTGAACTCAAGATCTGTCTACTTTCCAGCTTTCCTGGGAACATAGCACAAGTGAAATGGTTGGGGCCAAAGTTTTGCTCAGATTTTAGGGGCTCCCAAGCCTTGCTGGGGAAATGACCCAGGAATAAAAATTGTGGGCACCAAAACAGGACCCTGGACCCCTAGTTCTGTGTTCCTTGGGAGAACACACCCGTGATGTTTGTGGGTCCATTTCAGAGCCTCTGCAGATCCCTGTATTCTTGCCAGCAGCAGTGGAGGTTCTGCATTGTTCTAGCTTTCTCCTGACACTCTTGAGGGGGGGGTCGTGTTTCCTGTGCCAGCCTCACACCACCAGTTAACTTCTGTTTGTTTTCTCCACTGACGAGGCCTCTCTCAATGAGTAATTTTTCTGTTCACAGGAGCACTCGCTGAAAGATTATTGCAGCGGCTTCTTGTTTCTGTGAAAAGCAGAAGGGGCACCGATTCCCGTGAACCCACCCAAGCCACCGCCCCACTGAACATTCCAGTCCTTAGCCTTGCCCTGACGCCTGCTTTCTGGCTGAGAGCCATCACTGTCCTGGGCCTCTTTGCTTCATTGCCATCCCCAGCACTAGCATTTGGTGTTATTTTCAGGGCCATTTTTTTTTTTACATAGCTGTTGTATTTGAGTTTTGTTTTTCTCACTTTATAAGAATGACCAAATCCACAGGAATAATAAAGCAGCAGTGCCTGCGTTGATACGCAGGTGATGAGCCTCCTCCAGCGTCTGCACAAATGCTCAGCAGCTGCTCACCCCAGCACCCCCGCCGCAAAGGGGACGGATGCAATTCCAGTGTGCGCCTCTGCAAAATGACACACTGTGACGTGGGAGAGCCTTGTCCAGTGGAAACCCCTGTGGTTCCGTCTGCAGATGTAGAGCCTTTGTATAGTCAGCAGCTCCCATCACAGGCATGACCTGCTCAATTAGGTAGGACTTACCCTATTAGAGGAATTAGAATGCAATAATAAATAAAATACAATATGCTCAATTGGTATGAGAAATAACAAGATTTGTCTTGTTCAGGACTGTGCAGTGTCCAGGTCTGGGTGTGCTCGCAGGACCTTTTCTGGGGCAGCAGTAGCGTGGGGAGGGGATGCAGAGGCAAGGCAGGGGGCAGGAGAGGGGCAGAGGAGCTCTGGCCGCCCTCCATCCCCGGAGCCCAGTATGGCCTGTGCAGTGGGCGTGCAGCTGTCTTCCTTCCTGGTCTGGGAACAGGTGTGTGTCATGCCACAGCTGAATGCCACGTGGCCTAGGTGTACACTGGCAAAGGCAGAAAGTAAACCTGCCATTTTCTCCTTCTGATTTCAAAGTTAATTTCCTTGCAACATTTTTAATATGTTAAGAACCTTTGAACAGCTGGCAGCTCTCAAATAAAATAATGGAAGTGTGGGAAAGTGCTTTCTTCAGATGAGCTGGCTGCCTCCCATTGCGCCTGGCACTCCTAGGTGCTCAGTTTCGGTCCCAGGCAGGCAAAGACCATGACCTTTTCTTCCTCAAAGGCAGTGCCACACAGAGGTTAAAAGCACAAACCGCAGAGGTTTGGTCCTAGTTCTAGTGCTCTCTTGCTGTGGGACCTCAAGCAAGCTAGTGCCTCGTGTCCTCATCTGTAAAAGTCCTGAGAGCGCTGAGCTCAGAGAGTTGTTGTTGGGATGAATTGAGGTAATGTGGAGAGAGTGCGTAGACAGTGCCTGGCGCCCATCACCGCTGCTGCTGTAACTCTGGTTATCACTGTCCTCAGCAGCAGCAGTAGCCTCACGCAGCCACCCACAGGGCCTGGTTCTGAGCTCTGTGTCTAGCAGATATTTAGCAGATACTCTTGAGCACCTTTGACTAGCCCAGAATGGCTCATCTGGGGGTCCCTTGTAGCTGTCAGAACGCTCCCTGTCACATAACCAGCTGTTCCTCAACTTGCATTCTTCTGGGCTGCTTTTCCTTCTCTGAGTCTGCCACTGGGCAGCTGGCTCTATCAGGTTTCCTTCTCGTAAATAAATATAGTCCACCTCGTTCCTGGCCTATCGTCAGCTTCACAGGGTGTGTGACTTAGAACAAGAAATGCAGTTGAGAAATCAGCCTTCATCCTATTCCAACTGGAGAGTCTTCCAGCATTTGCATTTGATCATCTCTGAAGGTGGGATGCAGAAGACCGCTTCGAGGCAGGTTGCTCCCAGGGCCTAGTGCAGGGTAGACTGAGGTTCCTTCCCTGAGCAGGCAGTGGTGGTGAGCAGGTCCCTCTGCTTTGCCTCACACCAGCATTGATCACCTGACAAATCATTAGTAATCAAGGGTTCCTGTTAATGTCTGAGAGGCGGAGCCAGCACTGGTTCTGGGTGTAATTCAGTGCTTTGGGAAATCTGATTAAAATGTGAAAAAGATGCTTCCCAGTCATAGAGCTGTAGAGACTGTCAGGTATTATACAAAAGACAGGACCGCTCATGCCTGCTGCTTTAGCCATCTCTGAAGGAACAATTAGAGTCGCAGTCAGCCAGGGAACTTGACTCTCTGTGTCGCTGAAGTTGCAGTTCTATTGCATGTAGGGTAGATTCATCCTGAGTCGAATGCTTGCTTGTTGCTTTTGAGGAGGACATTAAAGGTTCCCTAATGCTGTAGCCTTTCTGCATTGCTCTTCATATGATTTTTATGTAAGGGAATTACCAGCTCACTGTTTTTCTGAGAAAACCAGATGGCTGCACTGACATGTTCACCAGAGACTCTGAGATTCGTGCCAAGCTTATTAGCATTTGCCAATCTCATGGAAAAACTAAGAAGATGAGGAAACTAGAATGTGTGTGTTTCTTCCCTCAGAAGCAGCTTCTGCTATGAAGAGCAGAGCGGGCAGCCCATGTGCAGCTTTTATTGATCCATCATTTCCTGGGTGGCTGCAGCTCAGCCTCCTTCAGCCCCACTCGCTATAGCTCACCCCATCACCACCACAGATTTTCCTGTCTGCTTTAAATTGTGGACTGAAACTATGTATCCCCTAGTGAAGTACAGTTCCAGCTCAGAGAGGCTTCATCACAGCACTGACATGAAAAGACAAACAGAAATCTGACTTGCCGTGTTATCCATCCAATAAAAAAACCACCCAAGGGTAGAGGAATAGATATGCATCACGTCCCAGCAACTCAGCCAAGCCTGTGAGTTTAAGTGCAATATTTCTAGGTGGATTTAGAAAACCCTTTCCCTGGCAAAGCAAAGAGTTCTCCTGACAGCTCATTTTACCAGTGGGCCAGCCTGTCTGGGTTAGAACAAAGGGAATTCTGCCCGTCTGATTTGGGCCAGATAGCAGTTTTCTGCTTCCCCAGTGATTTGTGTACTATTGTAGAAGTTTGAATACTTTTCCATAAGTTAAGCAGAACTTCCTCTTCAAGTTGCCTGGCTCTGCCTTTATCTGTAGTCAAGCTTGGGCTGCCGAGGTGGCCTCTGCCCTGGTTTAGCATGAGCAGAATAATAGCACTGGCTTGAAAAGAGATTAAAGAGATGATTGCAGGATTATTCAGCAGGCTTGTCACCAGAGAATTTATCTGTTACAAAGAACATGTAGGGTTTTTTATTATTATGGAATTTCTGCTATGCCTGTGTGTGTATTCCAGCAGCTGCAATAGCTACACTTGGAGAGCACTTTTGTTAGTATATCTTGCTTCTTTCCAGTATCTCATTTTTTCCAGAAAATTCTTTTGGTTAATGAAGGGTCTCTGAAAGGAGCAGGGGTAGAAGCCTTAGGTGCAGTGTGAACTTAAAAGGAATATTTCAAGAAAAGTTTGTTTGATTTGAATTTCCATGGGTAAAGGAAATCTGCTACTTAAAACGTATATCCTCTGAATTTGGAAATTTCAGCCTTCCCTTTCTGAGCAGCACAGTTTTTATTTTTCTTATTGAAATAGTAGGGGTGGACTTACCTAAATTTCTTGATTGTGTCAAAACTATCTGAGCTGGCAGCAAGCTGTAGTATAGAACCTGGTAAGTGCCTCAGGGCTGGTCGTATGCATAGTTGTGGCAGTTGCAGTATTTAAAGGTGAACATGGTATGATAAGAATGCGCGCCTCATGTGTGATTTCCAACACACATACATGCTGACGGGAGACACCAATTCCGTCTGCTGATATTAGGTTGGTGCAAAAGTAATTGCGGTTCTTGCCATTGAAAGATGGCAAAACTGCAGTTACTTTTGCACCAACCTAATACTGAGCAGCTGCCATGGCCCAGCATGGACTTAGCTGTAGCTATATCGTGAACAGGGAGGGCACAGCCCTGACTCGTGGGGCTGACAGTTCAGAGGGGGAGAAGTGGTACAGTCTTGATGAAACAAGTCTCCAGCTGATCATTTCCCCAGGAAACGATGAGAGGCAGGGCATCTTGTACCTGGCCCAGCTCAGAAGGCTGGGACACTGCTGCCCTCTCCACCTGTTATTAAGTGGCCTAAGTGGGTCACATGTGCCCATGTTCTCCCTCACTTTGAAAACATTTCAGAACCATTCCTGTCTATTTCTTGTCATGATGTGAGAATCAGTACAGGTATGATCCACTTTTGATTTTTCAGAGGTAGAATATTCTGTTTGTTCTTTCTTGATTTTGCTTTGTTTTTTACCCTCTTTTCTAGCAATTACTGGGACTTCAGCAGAGGACAGGCCTGGAAAGAACAGGGGCATTAAAGTCAGGCCAAACATTTTAGGCCCAGTTCACAGCTCAGGGATGGAGAGTGCAGGTTACACACAGCAGACACGGAGAAAGCAAGTGGGTTTGGGGGATGTGGAATTTCACCATCCCTCTGGTCTGCAAAGTCAGGGCTCTCTAAAATGTGTTTATCCTTTTGAGAAAATGCTATGTAAATGCACAGTGACAGTAGTAGAATAGTTGTCATTAGCTGAAAGTGATCAGAATGTTCTGGTGACATCTCAGGGTTTAGCAAAGAAAAAGTGGCTGTCTCAGAGGAGGCAGAGGGGACAGTTTCAGATTTGCCTTCAGAATGCTGATCTTTCATTTTTGGGGAGGCTTTATGTAATTTTCTTTTTTTTTTTTTAACAGAACGAAGTCGGCCTACTGGAGTTCTTCCAAAATGTGATAAAAGAAACTAGGGCAGAGCCAAAAAAGGTGACTAGTTGGGTCCTCAACACTTTTCTGGGCTATTTAAAGCAACAGAACCTCGCTGTCAGTGAGAGGTGAGTGAGGTCTGGGATTTCTTTCTTCCTTTGTGATGAGCTCTGTCCAGAAGTGCTGGAAATAGGGCAGGTCCATTTTTTTGCTCCTGCTGTTCTCCCTCAGGATATCCTGACATGACACAAACATCCCCTGTGGACTCCACATTCTAAATATGTTCTCTAGCCCGTGTAAAAATGTATTTATTCCTTCAAATCTGTGACTGTGCACTGTGTCCTCTGCACTGTGTCAGAGGCTGGGGGCACAAAGATGAATGAGACAGACATTTACAAACTTGTGGAGGATACAGATCTGTAAGGAAACAGCCACCCCAGGGTGATCCTGTCATGCCAGAAGCATGCACGGGGTGCTGGGAATGCACAAAAAGGGGAGTTGAACAGAGGCTGGGGAACCAACCAGGGCTCCCCTCGGGAGGGGACGTTTGAGCCATGCCCTGAAGCATTAGGGGAGAGTCGCTCTGCAGTGGGAGGGACAGATCACGCAGACAAAGCAGAGTGCGAAGCTCAGAGAGCAGCAGCACAGCAGGCTCAGGAACGCCAGAAGCTGCAGGGGCCGGAGGCAGGCAGGTGGGAATGGTGGGGACAGAGCCGCGGAGATGACCAAGGGCCACCTGGAGAACTGTGTCTGCCTTTATCACCAGCTCTTGACAGCCATAGACTACAAGCTCATGCCAGTTTCACACTGCGGAAATGCAGTGTGTCTCACTCAACTCAGGCCACTATATTCCATAGACTGGGTGGCTTCAGCAACATGTCTTTCCCATGATTTTGGAGGTGGGGAAGGTCCAGGATCCGGGTGCCAGCTGATGCATTCCTGGGTGAAGCCCTCTGCCTGGCTCACAGATGTCCTCACATGACAGGCAGGAGTTGAGGGGTGAAACAGGAAGGGGGGAGGGAGAGAAGGCCCTCCAATCTCTTCTTATAGGATCCCCATTCCCACTATGGGGACCACACCCTCGTGACCTCTTCTAGACCTCATTACTCCTCCAGGGCCCCATCCCCTAAAACCATCGCGCTTCAATATAGGAATTTGGGGTGGGACACAAATATTCAGCGTCTGAGAGCAGACTAGAAGCAGGAATTCCATTTGGGAACCTCTTTCAGGAATGCGGATGAGAAATGCCCCAGGCCTGAGCCAAGGTGGCAGTGGCTGGGTTGAAGTGAGCTAGGCCAAGTTGAGAGCAATTATCTCAATTGGCAGAACTTCCAGATTTCTTGCTTGGGCAGAGGTGAAACAGAGGGCAGACTTTTTCAATGTAGGAGGAGCTAAAGGAAAAGGAATAAACTTTATAGGCCGGGGGTGAGGGAAGATGCCGTATTCCATTTCAGACGTGCTGACTTCGAGCTGCCTGCAGGACAGACATCACCCCCACGGGGCTAACCAGTAGGCAAGATCTATGAGTCTGCAGCTGATAAGATCTTGGGGAGGTTTGCAGTTGAGAGTTATCTCGTTGGTTCATTATTCAGCTCATGTTCACTTAGCCTCTGCTGTGTGCTAAGGTCTGTGCCCAGCATGAGAAGCGCAGTTCCTGGGACAGACACCAGCCCTGAATCAAAGCACAGGCAGCCTTGAAGCTGGTGGCTACAGTCAGTGACAGGGGTGCTCTGAGAGGGGAAGAAGGTAGCAGCTAAGCTAAGACCTGAGGAGAGGATGAGCAGGGACAGGCCAAGGCTGACAGGGAAAAGTGTTCCAGGCATGGGGAAAAGCACGTGGAGAAATCTGAGGTGAGTCTGGGCATGAGAGTTTGGGGAATCCAGGGACACAGCACAACGTAAGTGGAACATGGACTCAGCAGCATCTGTACTTGAAGCTGTTGGACAGATGAGAACTTTCAGGGAGGGTGCAGCGTGCCAGGGTGGCTGGGGAACGAACCTGAAGCTCTTTAGCCTTTAACTGGGAAGCGTGCACAGAGAAGGAAATGCAGGCGCGATGGCACAGAAGTAGAAGGAAAACCAGGAAACTGGGGGGTGGGGGGGGGGCGGGGCGGGGACTGGTGACACAGAAGCCAAGGGAGAGGCAAGTTTCAAGAAGGAAAGAATGGGCAGTAGGTGTCACTTTGGGGCATCAGAAAGAGAGTTCTCTGGGGGCACATAGGCAGGTGGCAGGGCCCTTGCAAGGTCCCGGGGCAGGGGGAGCCCAGGCTGGGTGGGTGTGTCATTGTCTCAGCAGCATCCCGGGGAGTGAAGACAGACAGATATTGACAAATAACTCCCAACAGTTGTTTGCCCAAATAAGTTAACTCTAGATGGTGTCAACTCCATGTTCAGCCACTGGATATGGATGCACACATCCATGTGTTAGTGTGGCCCGGGTGTTAGTTCCCTTCCCGACTCGGCTGCTCAGCTTGAATGAGTTCCCCCTCTGACCCTCAGTTTCCTCACTGTAAAATGAAAATGGCAGGACGTGCCTCAGAGAGCTTTTGAGGGAAAAAGTCACAGTGCCCGGCACGTTGTGGGCCTCGGTGTGAGCCACCTTCTCTTTGCCAGGGTGGTGTGCTGAATACCAGAGCACCTGCCACCCTCCTGAACTCTTGTGGCATCTGCTGCCTCTTTGTCTTTTTTTTGTTTTGTTTTGTTTTTTAGACAGAGTCTCGCCCTGTCACCCAGGCTAGAGTGCAGTGGCACAATCTCTGCCCACTGCAACCTCCACCTCCCAGTTTCAAGTGATTCTCAAGTCTCAGCCTCCTGAGTAGCTGAGATTACAAGCACCCGCCACCACACCCAGCTAATTTTTGTATTTTCTTTTTAGTAGAGACAGGGTTTCACCATGTTGGGCAGGCTGGTCTCGAACTCCTGATCTCAAGTGATCAGCCCGCCTTGGCCTCCCAAAGTGCTGGGATTACAGGCGTGAGCCACCGCGCCTCTTGGTCTTTCATCCCTGTCCTCCCGGGTTTGGCCTCTCCATTCAGAAATTCTGGTGTTGGTGCTGAAAATGTGTGGCTGTTCTGTGGAGGCAGGAGCCGTGCTGAAGAGTTTATGGATGGGATACAGCTCTACCAGAGTCTTCAAGGCTCAACAGGATTTGGTGAGGGAGAGGGCAGTGCCTACCTGGAGCCCAGGTGCAGGAACAGCAAAGAACTGGAATGATTGGGAAGGAGAGGAGCGTAGCTGGCAGGAGCAGAGGGTGGAAAGAGGCCAAGAGGTGTGGCTGTGTGCAGAGCCAGAGCTGAGCCGGAATAGGGAGCCTCTGGAACGTCAGGGGGATTCAGCCATGAACCCATCAGGTGCAGAGCCCCACTCTGCAGTGTGTGGGGGATGACCAGGACCCGGTTCTACCCCACAGGTGCTGTCAGCCTCCTGGGGAGGACTAGAACTTGTGCATCAGAATTTTAATTCAAGGCAGAATGGGATGCTTCCAGTGTTAGAACTAGACACAGTGCAGTGGGAACAGAGAGGAGGGAGATTCACACCAGCCAGAAGAGTCCAGGAAAGCTCCAAGAAGATGAGGTGTTTGCGCTTCTGGAGGAAATAGAAATTTCTTAGCTTTAAACTTAGTTTTTCTATGTTGTTGGTTAAAATGTACGGAATTGCTGAACTTTAGTCCTGGAAGAGAACTTAGGGATCTTCAGCTCTTTCATTTAGCAGACGAGGTGACGGAGGCCCTAGGAGATAAGGTGACTTGCCTCAGATGGCACAGCCACAAAGACTGGAAGCCAAGTCGCCTGGCTTGTGATCGGCTTCTGTATATGTTGGTCTGTGAAGTTAGGGGTTTAACAGTCATTTTGGTGGCCTCTAAAGGAGCTGAGAGATAAATTAGCCTGTTGAGTGGACCTGGAGCCCCTGGTATTTACCCAAGCAGTTTATAAGCAGTAAAGTTTTAAGAACCTGAAGGGTACCCAATTCTAAATAAAGGTAGGCTTGGTTGTTCCAAAATCAAGTAAAGAGGAAGCAGGCAACAGTTGTGTTTTACAGTTTAAATGGAACAAGGACTGAGAAGCCAAAACCAAACCATAGCAGCTCTTTTCCTACACAGTTCAAAGAACGTTTAGCTGGACTGATATACTAGGCTACCCATAGAGCAAACATTAATTAATGAACAGCCTCAGCTATGAGTGCTAATGTTTCCAGAGCTTAGAAGGGCAGTAGCTGCAAAACTAGCTATAGTCTCACAATGATACCCAGGCAAGGAACACTCTGGAGATCAAATTGGTAGAGAATGATTACGTGAATTAGCATTCATCTTTAAAGACCTCTCAGAAGACTGATGTTTGAAGGGTCCAACCTCTTGTTGAACTTGGCTTTTTAATTGAGTATATTGCTTGAAAGGTTGGTTTATTTGGTTGACAGCTTCTGAATTATGAGTAACAGATTTGGTTTAGTTAAGAAAGTAGACATTGTAGATTTCCTGAGCAAGCATTTTGTGGTAAAATTAGGCAGGTACAGCTATCCAGCTGTCCAAGCCAGTTGAGTGCCCCAGTGTTTCAGGTGAGCTGTGGGCAACAATTTCTGAGCACTGGAGCAGGGAAGGATTTGAAACCAAGAAGGGACTGGAGGTGAGAGGAAGATGTGTCCCACAGCATGAAATGTAGGATAGCATCCAAGGATGGGCTGCAGGCATTGGAAACCTGTTGAGCTCACTGTGGCCAGACCCACAGCAAGTCAGAAGTGGTGGTGTTGGGAATGCAAAAGGCAGGATGGCCGTATTTCATGTTTGGAAGGATCACTAGGATCTGGTAATAAGGTACTAGATTTTTCAGGGAGTAGGTGATGAATAAAGCAAAGACAACATGATAATTTGCACTCTGATACCTAGAAGCGTGGTGTTGTCATCATTTGAGACAGAAGATGGGTGGTGGGAAATGCAGAGGAGCTGGTCTGTGAGGAAGACAAGTTTGGCTTAGGATAAGGATTGGGAAACTATAGCATGTCAGCCTCTGGCCTGTTTCTGTAGAGCCTGTGACTAAGAATTGCTTTTACCTTTGTTAAAACAAAGAAGCATATGTGACAGAGGGCACTCACCAAGCCTCAAATATGCGCACCCTAGCTCTTTCCAGAAGTTTGCCATCCTGGTTTAGAGCACATTGTCTAGGTGTGAACGGGGCCTCTCAGGAGGTGGTTGACATCAACCAGGGAGAGAAACAGGACCTGAGGCAGCAGCGGCAGCCCTGGGCATCCTCCTCACGGCTAGGGGTCAAGTCAGAGGACCCAGCAAGAGGACACCGGAGCCACCTGGCATGAACTGGCAAGGAGCAGCAGAGGGACAGGCAAGGAAGAGGAGGACATTCCGGAGGCCCAAGAAGGAGGTTTCACAAGGAGCTTACGGTGCAGCCCCAGGAGTCAGGGTGCAGCGGGATGGGGAGAAGCTGAATGTTTGGCCACAAGCAAGGGGGTTGATTTTTAAGAGAAGAGCTTCTATAGAGGGGTAGGCACAGAATCCAGATGGCATGTGCTTACACAGGGTAGGTAGTAGCCACTGGTGCTAGATCGTTATTGTTAAAGCAAGAAACTGGGCAGACGCAAGTGACTGCAAGGTCAGCCAAAGGCATTGTCAAGACAGGGAAGATCGGAGCATTTGTGAAGCTGTGAGATTCAAGCCACAGGACACGGGAAACCAGCATCTTTGGTTCGGAGGAGTGGAAAGAGTGGGGTTCTGAGCAGGGGTGGAGGGGTTGTTTGATGGAAGAGGAGGAGGAGAGTGCCCTAGAAAGTTCTCAACCGTGGCTCAGCTGATGTCCTTGTGAAATGGGAGGTGAGGGCATGTGCAGAGGAGGGGAGCAGAAGGGGGCTGCCTGGAACAGGCGCTTGGTGGGACGCCAGCTAGGGGCACTGCGAAATCCGTGAGATGAACACAGAATCCTGTGCGCAGCAGGTACCACCTGGAGGCCCAAGTCCCAATGTCTTCCTTCTTCTTGCATCCTGTTTTAACAGAAGCAGAGAAGGTGGACTTTGGGCCTGAGATAAGCTGGGGGATTGGGACAGACAGCATGGTTCACGGGGGGTCGGGGGTGGTTGTAGAAGCATCAGCGTTGTCTGCTCTCATCCAAGCAGGAGATGGAGCTGTGATCCTGAATGAGCTCTGAGGGACTGGACAAATTTTGGAGCTTTGAAAGAGCCCCTTTCCCCTCCTCTGTCGAACCGCGGCCTCAGAGAATGGGAGGGAAGAGAGCAGCACACAGAGCTGAAGGCCGCGGTGTCAGTTTCTTCTTCAGCGGAGACGCATTCACTATCCAGAAACCAGTATTACCTGACAACAGCAAATTAGTAGCCTGTGCTGCTGCTGCCATTGCGTGTCGAGTCTGAGGGTTTATTTATTTAGGCGATGAGTGGGGTCTTTCGGGGTCTGTGTGACAGGTACTGATCTTTGTCATCGTCTGACTCAAGTTTAGCCCTGGCATATGTGGAATTAACATGTGCAGTCTGCCAGACATCCCTATGGGTGTGAGGAAGCCTGTGACACAAATATGATGACCTACTGTGTGACAGGCATCGTAGGGACAGAAAAGTGATGGAGAAATCCCAAGTGTGATTACGTCAGTGGAAAGATTTTGTAGTCTAAATTTATGACCCAACTGATGAATTAAGGTCCTTAGATGAACTTCTCAAAGGCGACGTTATTTTTAGTTATTTTGTGTTCCTTTTCTGTCCCTCTCCACCCCTACGTCTTTTATGTCATTGCGGCGATCTGAATGTTGGGATCCTCCCCCAAATTCCTGTGTTGAAATCCTGACCCCTAAGGTGATGGTGTGAGGAAATGGGACCTTTGGTGGGCGATTAGGTCATGAGGGAGGGGCTTTTATGAATGGGATTAGCACCCTCATCAGAGAAACTTCTGAGAGCTCCCTCGCTCCTTCCACCACATGCAGACACAGCAAGAAGGTGCCACCAGTGAGAAAGTGGACCCTCACTAGACATGGAATCTGCCAGCGCCTTTATCTTGGACTTCCCAGCCTCCAGAGCAGAAATAAAGTTTCCATGGTTTATAAGCCATGTCGTCTTTGGTACTAACCTGTTAGAGCAGCCCAAACAGACCAAGGCAATCATCGACTTGTATGGGCCTAGGGACCTTATCTTTTGCACGCTCAAGAAATCCAGTTCCACCTCAGTGCTTCTTATGGGTTCTGCACACAGTCTGCATTCTAAGATAATGGGCCATGGTATTTTCTAGGATTGCAGAACATCCAGGCAACCCACGCTTTTAGAAAAATCCGGCCTGCCTTTTACTTGTTAGTAAAGGTAGGTTTTTTTAGTTTGTTTAGCCGCCCGCTGCCCCTCTTCCTTTTGAGGTTTAATCAGGGTGGTTCACAGATGTTCTGAATACCAATTTAGTAACACCAGATATTCTCCAAACCTAAGTTTCACTTGGAATTGCCTTTTAGTCATACTTTGGGATAAACAGACACTTACAGGATGATGGGCTGCCTCAGTACATCAGCTGTTTTAAGTGGACAGCCCCAATAGGGTTTCACTGCACTTGAATTAGAGTACAGTAAGTCAGTTGGTTAACACACACTCCATTGGTTTAGAGCCCGGGAAATCGGCATAGGGACTAAGCTGTAGTTTCCTTTGTATTTTCTAAGCACATCCAAAGAAATTAATTTTGCATGATGGGAACCAAGACTTAAATAGAAGATGTTTTCAAGTGGCATGAAGCATTTCAGAAGCCCTCATTTACACAGTGTAACACTAATGTGCTATTGATGTCATTCCTACCTTTTTAAAACCAGTCCCCAAATGATCTCAGATAGGCAGCATCTCATGAGCCTAGTTGCTATAAATACAGGTTGAGTATCCCTAACCTGGAAATCCAAAATGCTTCAAAATCTAAAACTTTTTGAGCATTGACGATGATGTGCAAAGGAAATGCTCACTGGAGCATTTCAGATTTCAGACTTTCGGATTAGGGATGCTAAACTGGTAAGTATAATGCAAATATTCCAAAATCCAAAAATATCCAAAATTGGAAACACTTCTGGTCCCAAGCATTTCAGATGAGGTAACTCAACCTGTATTTAGAAGTCAGAAAACCGTGCATTTTAAAAGAAATAGTTTGTAATTCACTGTTGTCTTTTCCATAATTTAGGCACTCACCCCTACCATTAATTCACCTTCAAGTGAATTAATGACACTTCGCTGTTTCACTATGCTTGGATGCCCCTGACCTTTTCTTTCATGGGATATTGGCAAATAAGTCACATCCTAGAAATATAGGTATAGTGGATTCTAGGCCCTTCTGTGTCCAGAAAGCTGTGTGAGCCTGGAGAAGAGAGTTATGTATCAGGTTCCTGAGGATGGATGAAAATGTGGCTGGTAGTCATTGTGTTCCCTTGCAGAAAATCTCTTGCAATTTAAAGGAATTTATATTTGCACAGAAACACTCAGAAACGTGACTTTGTTAGCTGGTTTTTTTTTTTTTTAAGTAATTTTTAGGCTGATCTTTCCGTTGAAAATATTTAATTACTGGAGTTTGTTTTCCCTTTCCTGTTGTGGTTCATGAATTTTGCAGCCACCTCCTTTTCTTGACTAATTACACTGAGCAGTTGTCTGTTGCTACAACTTCTGCCAAACAGCTGTTATTGTTGGGTGGTGAAAGAAAGAACACTAGTCACAAAAATTTGTTATATCCTAAGATATAAAATAAATAAGTAAAATAAAAGAGAGCCCAGTTGGCCTGCTGTTTTCATCCCTAGGCGTGGGTCCGATATTTACCCCCACTAGAGCAAGTGTTCTGATTCCGAACAGCCATTCATGGATGCCCTGACAGTGTGCAATGTAAATGTGTTTTCTCTTTTGGGGGCCACCAGTCCTGTCACACCCTCTGCACTCGCTGAGCTTCTTGACCTGCTGGACAGCAGAACAATTTCTTCATCAGCAGCTAAACAGGTATGTCCACACTCCCGACAGCTTCTGACTGTGCTACTGTCCCAAGAAATGTTTTCTGTGACACCCAAATGCCATCACTGAGTGACTTTCATCATGGAAGTATTAAATGCCAGTAGTGGTGTTTTTAATGCTGAAAGGTAGAAACATTTTATTTAGCAAGCGTATGAAGCCAATATGTGCAATGCAGGCAGTTTGCTTCTCGTCATCACCGCTAACCTGGGGAAATAGTTATTGTCTGGTCTTGCCCTGAACATCTCCGCCTGACATGTCTCCTGTAGCCCTTTTACACCTGAGAACTTTCCCTCGTGCCCAAGGCAGCCTCAGCTCAGCTCTCAGCCTGCTGGGGCTCTTGTCCCGCCCCCACACCGCCTCCCAGCCAGTCCCAGGGCTCCCTTGTCCCTGCTGCATGGTTGCCCTCAGAGAGTCTGTCCTCAACAAGGAGGGTGAAGTCAGACTCTGCACTTTGTAGATAAAATGTTACAGACATGCCCGGTGTGTGAAAACTCAGAAAAATAGCATCATCCTAAGCAGCCTTTTGTCTGTCTATACCTCTGCCTAAGTGCTAGGCAGTTGACAGACTCGTGGAATTCAGAAGATTCTTACAAATACATACCCAGAGGGCCGGGCACAGTGGCTCACGCCTGTAATCCCAGCACTTTGGTAGGCTGAGGCGGGTGGATCACGAGGTCAGGAGTTTGAGACCAGCCTGGTCAACATGGCAAAACCCCGTCTCTACTAAAAATACAGAAATTAGCTGAGTGTGGCAGCGGGCACCTGTAATCCCAGCTACTTGGGAGGCTGATACAGGAGAATCACTTCAATTAGGGAGGTGGAGGTTGCAGTGAGCTGAGATCATTGTGCCACTGCACTCCAGCCTGAGTGACAGAGCGAGACTCCGTCTCAAAAAACAAAAACAAAAACAAAAAAAACACATAACCAGAAAGATCAAGAACACCAAGGTGGCTGCCTCATCTCAGCTTCAGTGATCGCAGCTGTCAATGCTTCAGCCAGAAGTTTAATGTTATTTTAATGGTGCCTTTTGCATGTAACGTTTATCTGCACCGACAGTAGTGGCAGGTTACAAAGGGAGGCTTGGGGAAAGTGGCTGCTTTGGGATAATTATGAGGCACCATAGTGCACGCACCGGGCTGGGTGCTGTGGAACTGGAGACGGGACTAATAAAAGCTCTGTTTACCCACCTCGAGTGAGGCTGTCAACTACAGGGACCTCACCGCGTTTAGGAAAGGCTCTTGCTTGTCTGGATGTCAGGGGAATACAAATGTTTATGACAATGCTGAGCAGTTGCAGGAAGTTTAGATGGCCTGAGGGCAGAAAAAGCACTATATATATATGTAGAGAGAGAGAGAGAGAGAGAAGAACACATTGAATTATTGCACGTGAAATGAAAGAAGGGAAAAACCTTCCCCTTTTCCTACTCATCCTGCCCCACAACACAACAGAACAAAATACCTAGTGCGGTGAATAAGATAGTTCCAGTAAGAAGAAATGGAAAATGTTGGAAGCTGACAGCTGGGTTCAGATGTAGGGACGCTTTCAGATTTTATCAGCTTCCAGCATGTTTAAAGGAGGGGACTTCTGTGAGGCAGTCAAGCGAAAATACAAGCCTGGCTAGAAGGGTGTCTAGTGTGTGTTGCTTAAGGGGGTCCCCGTGATGTATCATTGCCTTGGGGTTTTTTTTGTTTTTCTACCTTTTTTTTCTGTTTTTAGGAAATTACTGATTTTCTGGGGGAAAGTAATATATGTTGATCATAAAAAAATATAAGTAATGTAGAAAAACAAAGATTCTCAGGTTCTACCACCTTGAAATAACTACCTTTAATATCAGATGAACATCATGAAGGAAGAAGGAGGAGGAGGGAGGAAGGAAAGATAGCAATAAAGACTTTCAAAAACTGAAGTTATGGTGTACTTTTTTTTAGTTTATTTCTTATTATTAATTATATAGTGTCAAGCATTTTATCTGGATATTTTATGTATTTATTGACTTTGTATTATTTATTTATTTTTATTTTATCTGGACATTTTATGAAAAGTACATCTGTGTTGCGGCACGCATCAGTCCTTCACGCCTTTTTAGGGCTAAATGGGGCTGCTCGTCTGCCAAGCCCCTTCACCATTGTACGGACACATTCCATTTTGTCTGTCCATTCATCAGTTGATGGACATTTGAGTTGTTTCCACATTTTGGCTATTAGGAATAATGCAGCCTTAAACATTCATGTACAAGTTTTTGCACACAGGCTGGATGTATACCTATAGGAATGGAATTTCTGGGTCATATGGTAATGCTGTGTTTCATTCATATAATGAGGAAGTGCCAGACTGTATTCTAAAATGGCCGCACCATCTTACAGTCTCACCTGTTAGTGTGCAAGGGTTCCAGTTGCTCCATGTCCTCACCAGCACTTGTTATTGTCCATCTTTTTGATTCTATAGCCGTCCTAGTGGGTGTGAAGTCGTATCAGGGAGGATTTGATTTGCATTTCCATAATCTGTTGAGAATATTTTTGTATCTTATTTTTATAGTGTACTTTTTTAAAAAAGAAAAATGTGTTACAGATATTTTTTTCCAAATTTAATAGAAGAGTCCAAGCATGGCTTGGGTTTTAGAAAGCTGTGAGCCAGAACAGAGACTCTCTGATCCTACTGGTTATTGGTGTTGCCTCTGGCAGAACTGGAAGAGGCTCCAATAAGTGATTAGATAGATGACCAGGGGATAAGGAAGAAAGGTGACTGAGTGACTGACTCCTAGGGATGACAGACACACAGAAAGAAGAATCATGTCCTGAGAGCAGAATTCCGAATTCCAAAGAACCTCCCACTTTGTGCTCTAATTGGTTATGAATCTGCCTTTCTCTGCCTGTCTCTCACCCACTTCCTTGTGCATTATCTTCATTCCTTCTGCCTTTCACTGCACCCTCCTCCCAGGTGTCCTGCCAGTGCTCCCGACATTTACAAACCTCATCCCTTCAGCACCCCAGAGCCAGGGGAGTTAAGAGGTTGCTGCCACAAAGCAGCCTTGTTCTTCAGAATCAGAAATAGAAGCTGGGAAATTATATATCATCATGAGCAGTTATCTCCTGGGAACTGTAGACAAAAGCACCCCGTGTGCCCCTCACAAGACCCAGGCTGTGTATTGAAGTGGCAGGTGGCACCCCGTCTCCTCCCCTCACTAAAGACAGGGTCAGCTTGGACACATCAGACTCCCAAACTGTCAGAGTTACAGCTAACCTGAAAACAGCCTCCCAGGATTCCCAAGCCTCTTGTGACTCGCCCTGGATGTCGTCCAGACAGCTGGTTAGTCATGGTTCAAGGGAAATCGCATGGGTTGTGTAGGTGTACGAAGGAGATCCTTCATGCACGTCTGGAAACAGATGCAGATGATCCACCATCCCCTGAGGATTGTCCAGTTAACGTTTCTGGAATTGGGTGCCGCAGAGATGGAAATCGCGTTTAACACACAAGTGTTCCATAATAACCAATCTCTTGTCTACTTTGTGGTCTGCTTTAAAGAGAAATCGCCAAAAACCTTTTAATGTACAAAATGTTATATATCATGCACCAAAGCTGTATTACAAATGACTAGATGTCTTTTTCTCTCTTTAGTGCTTCAGTTATCTGCACAGTTTACTGGGCCCCGCTTTATTAGGGGCTTGGGTTGATGTTTGTGCCTTTCTAGAAAAGTAACCTTTCACAATACTTGCCTTTGACCAAAAAGGGGGCTCCCTTCTCTGTAACTGTGACAGCTCCCTCCATGCCATGTCCCTTGAACAGGTCTTTCCACCATATCCTGACCTTGGAAACCCAGGACAGGCAGGGAGAGGCTAGAGTCTTGTGTGCTTTCCTTCAGGATACTTCAAAAATAGCTTTAGCTAGAAACAGTTGGGTGGCAACTAAGAGGGTGTGTAAATTCAGTCCTCAGGGAACCAAAGGCCGAGTCTCTGCCCCATGTGTCAGAGCCGGCTCCAGTGTCTGTGTGTGATGGGGAGTTCCCAGCTTGCATTACCCAGTACTCCTGGTCGGCCATTTATTAACACAGAGGACCAGCACTGTGCTAGAAATTCCTTGTTACATCTGTTTGTCTTGGGTAGGCAGCAGCAGGGCCTGGGAGCTGCGCTCCTGGCTGGAAACAGTTGCACTTGGATATCACTTCTCAGGGTGGGATTAAACACAGACAAAAGCTGAGGATTTATGCTGCAGCACAGGGCTCGGCAGCCACAGAGGCCACTCTGTGAGCGTCAAGAGGGCCAGGAGCAGGAGAGTCTGGCCTGGAGACAGGGCCGCTCCACTACCACCCAGTGGCTCCCACCCTCCTGGACTCCAGCCAGGAGTGCACAATCCTCGTCTTAAATAGGATTGAGCAAAGGATGGGACAACCGGCGTCTGTTGTATAAGCCTAGGGGACTGGGGACTGGGGGCCTCGACTGTCATGGCCACTGCACTAATTTGTGGAGTTAACTAACATTATGTATTCTAACTCTGGGAGGAAAGGACATTTCAGCCACCGGGCTCCCATGTGTTCCAGGAGGCTGCTGAATGATGTTTCTCTAGCGGCACTGCTTGGTACCACCCCGCCTGGCCCTCCTTCTCGGGGAGCAGCCAGCCTCTTCGTTTGAAGGCATCTGTCCTAGAGGTGCACTGCTTCTCCTTCTGAATGGTGTGATTGGAAGTGATCCCCAAGCACTCTGCCACTCTTCCGCTTATTTTGGCCCAGGCAAATCCAGCCAACATTCGAGCTGTGGGTCCCGTCAGAAAGAGGCTGGCTCACTGGCCAGCCTGCTCAGGGTCTGCCGTGTGCTTCCCACCGCAGCAGCTACCACAGGCGCTGAGAAATCGCTCCCTGGTCTGTGTCTGCAGACGCAGACCCAGGAGGGGCCCCGCCTACTTCCAGGCACAGGCTGCTCGTCCGCCTGGTTTTCCTGGAGGGAACTGCTGCGTAGATTTTTCACGAGCAAGTCCTTACAGGTGGTTTCTGTTTTGAGCCAGGTTTTCAGCTAGGAGCTTTTTTGGGAGTCTGTGCAGATGAACAAAATCAACACTGGTCAAAGTCTAGATATCTACGAGGAGGGGATAAATTATGATAAATACATCTGATGGATACTAGCTAGATCTTTTTATTAAGAAAGTACTTCTGTGCTAAATGAAAGAAAGCAGGACACAAACTGAATATACGTTATGATCCCAAGTATGTTACAAAACAGAAAGAAAAAGATGGGAAGAAAAAACACCAAAATATTAACATTGGTTTTCTTGAGAAAATGGGAATTCCGGTGATCTCTTTTGATCTCTCCTGTATTTCCTTATATTTTCTGCAGTGAATGTGTATTAACTTTTATTATTAGAAAATGATTTTTAAAATTTAAGTCCTAGTTCAAAAAATAAACGTGTCAGAGAAAGGGGGCAGATGGACTCCTCCGACTTACAGGGCAGCTCCATGGAACGCCATCCAGGTCCCCAGTGCTTCTGCTGGCAGCACTCCACTGATAAGCATGTTGAGAGTGAGGAAGTTTCTTCCCGCTTCTGTGCCCCCTTTCTCCCAATGGTTTCCTCATTGTCAGGCCACGTACATATCTGCTGAATTGAGTTGGAGGCACGTGCATTCTGTATTTTTCTAAGAGTAGGGCCAGGCTTTTCCTGAGCAGTCGGGCAGCGGCAGAGGGGTGCCCTGTAGGGAGCTTACCCAGGACCTGCCAAGCACACCTCCTTGGCCACAGTCACAGCGCACGTTCTGAGGCACCAGGCTGAAGGCGCAGTGCCTGTCCCAGCAGTGATAAGTATTTGTGGTTTGTTTTTGAATCAGACTGGGGAAGACTTTGAGCCCTGCTGAGACTCAGAGCATCTCCCTTTTATTTGCTTTGCTGTTCGTGCTAATTATGGAAGAGCTCTGTTTTTCCAGGAGGAATGGCTCCTGGTTGGCCCGTTCTCGGCCACCAAGGTAACAGGGAAAGTTGGGTGTTCAGTCATGACTGTGGACTGGACGGAGGTGGCACCGGTGGGAGACCAACAGAGGAAGCCCTCCTCCCGGCTCCCAATTCTGGCTTTCGCTAGAAGACAAGAGAAATGAGGAAAACAGCTACCCTAGGAAATAGCCTTCCTTGAAAATGGTTTCCTTTTTCTCAGGTTTGATGAATTTGGGGATTTGTTGTTGTCATTTTTTAAGTAAAAAAAAAATGCCCCAAACATTAGCGTTCATTATCCTAGTCTGATTTGGGTCCGGCTCTACCTGTAGGAGATGAATGTGGTAGGCCAGGGGGCCCCTGTGGATTCTAATTTATGTTTTCAGTTGTTTGCCATTTTGTATCTTCATTACGGGGCTACTTTCCTGCCTCCCTAAAGTCATCTTTCCCAGCATGCTGTTTCTGGACTTTATTTAGTACCGTGGTTACCTCCTGCAGGCTGTGTGGCCCCATCCTTCACCAAAATGTCACCTCAATTAATTCGGCGGCCATGAGACAGATCCATCAGTGGCCCGCCGACTCCCGTCAGCAGGCGCCCATGAGTGATGGGCACCTCCACGCCTCCCGCGGCCCCCCCCCGCCATGTGGAGTCAGCCGGGCAGGACTCACCATCCCTCTGGGCACGAGGGCATCTGGCTGGCCCGAGTCCTCTCACACCTTATGCTGAGGGAGACTTCAGCCTCAGGAGGAGACCCCAGGTGCATTCACTCCACCTAGCTGGCCTTGTTCCCCAGCCCTGCACTCAGGGATGCCTCAGGAGAGCCAACGCTCTGGCAGGGCAGCCAGGTGCCCTTTCCCTTTGGGCCAGGCCCAGGCAGTGGGGACTTAATTGAATCTGCTCATTCCCACCCCAGCTCCACACAGCACAGCACTGCAAATGGAGCTGGCAGAAGAGCTGACTTCTCATTTCTCTTTCCTCTCCCTTCTCTGGTCCATAGGTGTTTGAGGAACTGTGGAAGAGGGAAGGCAAGACTCCAGGGCAGATTGTTTCAGAAAAGCAGCTTGAACTGATGCAGGACCAGGGGGCACTGGAGCAGCTCTGCCACTCTGTGATGGAGGCCCATCCTCAAGTGGTGACTATCTCGGGCAGGGGAGAGGGCCAGAGCCAGCCCCAGGACATGCCCAAGAGCCTCGCCATCGCTCCCTGTGGCAGCCCAGAGGCTCTTCCTAAGAATGGCTGACCCAGTTTCATCAATAATTCCCTCACTGTCATCTTTTTAGTTAAGGTCAGAAGAGATGAAATAGGTGGATATTGGAAAAACACAACTTCTTTTCCTATAAGAAGGATGCCACCCCTGGAGTTTACTCTCCATGGAGGTGTAGTTTAAAAGGGTGTCAGCAAGCTCACGAAATCCAAGCTGTGACCTCCCAGGTGTGTCGCCCTCTCCCAGGGTTGGCATTTCGAATCTGTTGTGGTTAGCGCTACTTCCTAAGGACCTCCCAGTAAAGAACCAGCAGGTGTGCCGGCAGAGCAGGGAGAGTACAGGAACTTCAGCTTCATGCTTCTAAGAGGTGGGAAGAAAGGCAGAAGGGAAAAGTATTCATAAATTGTGGAGAAAATCCCTGACAGGAGCATGACTGAAAACCAGGTCATTTTGTGTTCTTAGCACAGCACAAGACATAAAAGCTAAAACGAGTGGCATCCCTCCCTCCCCAAGTCTAATCATATTGTCTAGAGATATTTTTTCAGTGGGGAAAAAAATTGTCGGCATCTTTTTCAGAATAATACCCACCCACCCATCAGCTTGCCGGGGACACTCACAGCTCTGTAAAGAGCTCTCGATAAGGAAAATGAGCCTGCACTGGGCCTCCACAGCCTCGTCTTCCTGCCTCATCTGTGGTGACTGATAAAGACGTGCCAGTAGTTTCAGGCTTGTTCTGTGGCACTTGAGTGCAGATCCTCATGTCATTGCCCTTGGAGACGCTGCAGAGCAGGAGGTCACGTGGTGGCCCTAAGAGTCAGTGGCTATCTGATAGGAATTCAGCACCTCCTGGCTTCCTCACTCCCCCTGCCCACACAGCACACTCCCCCCGACCCAGCGCTCTGGAAGACTCGGCCAGTGTGTAGATCTGCTTTCTGATAAAGGAATCTTCTTGGTGGGGAGCAGGGGGAGAAGGAAAGCCACACATTTCAGCTGAACATCACTGAGAATCAGAGAGGTGTCCTCACTGATTAGACGCAGTGATTCATCATCTCAGAGAGATTATCCCTCCCCAGACTCAGTGTCCTCGGTCATTGTGGCGTCGCAGAGGGGAGGGCCCTGGCTCCCACGTGCCAGCTTCTCTGGCTTTCGGCAATCACTTCTTGCTCATTTTAATCAGAAAGCAGAGTAGCAAAAATCTCCTTTGACAGGAGCCTAGAAACCTACTCAGAAGTGAGGCCCCTCCCCTTTTTCTGTTCTACATTTTATGTCTAATACTAGTGGAAATAAGCGGAATTTAATTTTCAGTAAACTTAAGCCTTAGTTTGGGATTTGGGGGCATGAATCCCTTCATTTTCTCCTCTTAAGTAAGTAATTTCTGTCCTTCTAGGTAATGGATGTGAAGAACAGAAACCCCAGAGCTATAAATAAACTGATTGGGTTGGTCCGGAAAGCGACTCAAAGCCGAGCAGATCCAGTCATGATAAAGGAGATCCTGGAGAAGAAGCTGTCATTGTGAGATGTTTGGGATCCCCTTGCCCAAGGGACAACAACAAACAGTGCAGCCTGACTGGGAACAGGATCCTGTGAAAGCTGATGCCCATGTGCCCTGAGAGCTGCCTCTCAATCCCTGTCCCAAGCCACAGCTATGGCATTAATGTCACCAGTGTTCTCACCCTCTAGGCCCTGTGCCTGGAGGTGCCTCCACAGCCGACCAGCAGCCACCCCGCCTGCTTCATCCACATCAGGAGGGTCCGGTGAGGCTGCAGCAGTGGTTAAGGAGTAACACCTTCTTGTATTAAGGAATTTTAAACTAAATAAAATGTATGTTGGAGATACTGTTACCCATTCTAAGAAAACTTTTCATTCTGCAGTTCCTTCAACAAATATTTTTGAGCAACTCCTAAGGGCCAGCCATTGTAGGTGATGGGCATTAGCAGTGGTCAAGAGAGACTGTAATTTGGATGTATTGTTTTCAGACCTAAACACAGGTTAACAAAGATGAAAATACAACCAAATAAACTGGCACAGTATAAACACATTTGTTTGTTTAAGGAGGTCTCAAGAGGGTGGGGAAGGAGGATATTATTAGAATTAATCAACCTATCGACTGAGTAGAAGTGATATTGCCTGTTAAACTCCCTCCCCATCCCAGAAGGCACAGTCTGAGAATAAATGAATTAAAAAAATAAGTTTTCCAATAAATTTAATCAATAAAATATATACTGAAATATCACATAAAAATTAACTTACACTTCAAAGATTGTGCAGCTGACAACTCCCCCAAATCCCCCAACCCTCAGGCCAAACAAGATAAAAAGAAACAAGAAAAAAGTTGTAACATGAAATTGACTTGTTTTGCTTGGAAATAAGATTATAAATTAGTAAATCAAAATCTTGACCTCTCATGATAATCGTGGTGTGCTGCAGGCATCACGATGAAGGCGGGGCTGTCTGCACTCCTGTGCTTGCGACACTAATACTGTTCTCTCCACTGCACCGGAGCACCTTTGTTCGGTATATATATGCCTTTGTTACCTCTGACTCACGTCGCTTAAAGACCAGTTTTGCAAATGTTGTTTTTTAAAAGCATACTTGTCAAAACTGTGATGTAAGAGAATAAAATCCTTGGAGGCCTTGATTTGAAGCTGTGAACCTGTAGCCTACCAAGGACAGTAAAAACATTCCCGTTGTGAACACTGCTCCAGAAGCAGCTGAGGAACTAGAAAAAAGTGGACACCCCTCCATCACCAATTCAGCGACTCATGCTTCCTGGCTTGCACAGTTCCTCAGGACTTCCCTGAGAGTGATGAGAAAGGTGCCCCTCTTCCCCAGCCCAAAAGGTAGGCAGAGAAAGGTAACCAGTTGCGTGGTTCATTTTGGACAGGCATGAGGAGGTGGCTTTTTAAAAAAAGTCGTTTAAAAAAATTAGTGACAGAATTTTAAGAGACTATGTGACCTTACCCGGGAAGCCAGGTGCCCCGCATCCTGTTGCGGTCCTGAAAACTACTGGGTCTAAAGTAACATGATTTTCACCAAATCTCTCTACAAGACAGTAAGGCTGAAGCAGTTCTCTCCTCACTCTGCAAGTCTGAATTACAAATGGGCAAAGGTGGTCTGAGACTGGAGTCTGACAGGATCTTTATTTTGTAAGAAAGGAGAAGGTTCAGTTTCATTTTATAAATTCTGTTTTCACCAAAAGTTCTGGCTTCTTGGTGACTAAACCTTACAGAAAGCATCGAAGATCTTTCCAGACCATTTAAAATTAAAGGCTTACTTAAAAGGGGGTGCAGCCAGAAAAAGACATTTACCAAAACTATTATGTCAAGTGCAAACTGTATTAAGGACTGATTATTCCCAGAGGAAGATGCCCTTGTTAAAGCACTTGATTTGTCCAGGCTGATTCTCATTCAGCTCTGACAAACTGCCTGTTGTCTTGAATGCCAGCTTCTGAAATCCTGAAAGCCAAACCTTGTAAGTTGATATCATCACTGCTGCTAGGAAAAACCCAAAGCATGGCTCTGACTGAAACCCGATGAGATATTCTAAAGATATGTTTACATTAACACCCCAAGAAATTCGCAAAGATGGCTCTGCTTATAAAGGGGCCTCAGTGAAATACAATTTTACATTCTTGCATGAGTGTGCGTTTAGTCTGGTCTACTGGTTCACCCTTCAGGGAGAAATCTCATTAAAATGTATGAGTTGGCACCACAGGTGATGCCATTGCCATCTGTCTCAGGAATCCACACACCTGTAGGCTGGGTGTATAATGCTGAGGCTCTGACTAGAAGTTAGAAGTGTGCTGGAAAACTGGCTCTGCCCCAGGCTGGCTTGAACCAGCTCTGCCTGGTCAGGCCCAAACCCTGTGTTCTGTTGCCTGGGGAGGAGGTTGGAGGGTTCTGGTGGGAAGGCAGGAATGTGCCAGCCCTAGCACTCTGCATGCTACCTAACAGAGGGAGTATTCAGTAAAAGCTCGCTTACTGTATGAAACAAATTAATGGACAGCCTTTTGTGGGGCCCTTTTGAAGAGACACTGGTGATACCAACTACTAGGCTTCTGCGTTCTGGGTCATCTGGGTCTAGAAAGGAGCTGTTTGATCTCTGTCCAGGGTCACACATCACAGTGAACTTCTGTTCCTGTCTTTCAAGGTGGAGGCCTAGGCCTAGGAAAAAGAACCTAGATCATTATTGCACCAAAGTAAGGATATTTTAGCTGAGCTCCCCCACCCCATGTACATTTTAGTAATTATTGCTAAAATAATTACTAAGATGGCCTCGAAGTTTCGGAAAGTACACACCCTCCTTCAGCTTGGAGTTGGTTAGTTCAGGACACAGCTTATGGCCATGACCCGCTATTTTATATTGTATCTTTCATTTCCATTGAATTTAGTTGCATAGTTTCCACATGGTGACTATTGGGGAAAAGCCACCAGATCTATCTGAAAGGCCATATTCTTTACCCATTACCAAAAGCAGCATGGAAGTGGCTGCCATGCCTCTTCAGCAGGTTTTAGACAAACATATTCATGGATTATTTGCAAATAGAGCTGACCCTTGCTTGTGAGGTGGGAAGCATCTGATTGAAACCCTTAGTCAAATAGCTTAGCAAGAGTCGTGTAAGTAAGATTGTCAACACCAAATTCCCTCTTTTAAAATATCCACAGGGCAAAAAGGGGCCTTGTTACAGGTGGGCCTTTCATAGACTTGTCCCAGTAAAAAGTCAGCTGACACACTAAGCAGCACAGACTTCTGCAGCCTCCGTTCCATGAAATTTAATCTGGCCTAAGAGCTTCCATCACCTTTGTTGGGTTCTGAAATGACACAGTAAATCTAAACTCCCCGAAAGATGCCTGGAATGCATGTCGAAGTCATGCTGACAGGTCCTATTGGCCGTCTTGTTACTTGTGTAGGTAACAGTGAACTAGGTTAACTTAAACCTTTTAAGACATGAACAAAATTCACAGTGACCCTACAAGCTAGGAAAGGTCAGTCCTAGCTAAAATCATGATCAGTTTTAGGATTCTACGTGCAAGAGGTCAAAGAACTGAAGGCTTCCACCCACCTTCTCCTGGTCATTCTTTTCCCTAAAGAACCTCTGAAAATCTTTCACTAAAGTCCTGTTTATCCAGTTATTGAGCTGCCAGGATAATCTGTAGTCCCAAAACAAGTAATGGCCTAATAAATGCCTGAATGTAGAGAGGATTTACTGAGGCAAAATTATCCTAAAAACCATTCTCAGTCTTCTGAGAGCTCTTTCTAAAGCATTAGGTTTACGAGGTTCATTCAAAAAGAAGGGGGGGAAAGAGTCAACTGCATTCTCTTACAGTGTTTCCTCAGTGATGTGATTTAAGGGTGGAACATAAAGTGGTTTGACAGTGTTCTGTTTTAAGCTGTTACTTGATGGAAAATTAGTGTTGTGTTATTTATAGACTGATGGCTGAAGCAACAAGGGGCCTAGAATATCTTCCTAATGACTTAAAGCTGATGTGGCATCAGCTACAAGAGACTGCTGTTTCCAGGAAGAGCTCACACTGCAAAGCAGGCTGCCGTTTGCAGCAAACCACACATGACACCAGCCTGAGCCAGTGACTTGAAGTAGCACGTGCAATAATAGCTGACCTGCAATAAAGTGTTTCATAAAAATGGCAAGCATGACAGACAGCCATTTCAGTAAATACAGGGCTGGTAATTAGCAATTACATTGAACTGCCCTTAAATGAGAACTGGGGCATATGCAGATACTGAACACCACGCCGGGACCATTTAAAATTAAGGGCTTACTTAAAAGGGGGTGCAGCCAGATAAAGACAGTTTACCAAAACTATTATGTCAAGTGAAAACTGTATTAAGGACTGATTATTCCCAGAGGACGATGCCATCGTTAAAGCACTTGATTTGTCCAGACTGCTGCGGCTGTGCTTCCCTCCTGAACACAACCTAGACACACTGATCCAGATTCAGAAGAGCAGCCCATCCACAACCCTAAACCTCAAACAGACCTGGGAATCAGTCCACATGACGGCCACAGCCAAGCTGATTTGGAGACACTGGAAACAACTTTCGACCCTGAGTACCCACTGGCTGCCCAAATTAAACAGGCAACCCCAATATTCATGTAGCCTGTTTCTAGATTCTGTTCATAAGAGGATGCTTTCCTGACAAGACCCTGGCTCCATGATGTCTTATCCTGGACAGAAACTAACTATATCTGACCTAAATAAAATCCACCTGCTAAGGAAAGGGTACTCCTGATGACCTATAAAAATACCGAATGCGTCCTACCTAACACCTGACAGACATCCACTCCAACCCGAGCACATCAAAGCATTTTCCAAAATGATACTCCACAAAATGGGGACCACTTCACAATTCCTCTAAATACCAGGGAAAGGAGGTATCTAATGGTAAAGAAAAATCACATCTCTAACTGGCTATTCCAGCACTCCCATTTCATGGTTGGGAAATTGTATTTTACCACCCATGAAATTATGTTTTAGGCTGAACCTAAGTTGGAATTTCTTTGTGTAAAATTTTAAAAAACATTTACTTGGCCATTTCCAAAAAATCAATTTTAAATATCCCAGTGCTCTCATATATTTTGAACCACAGAAGTCACTCAGTCTGGAACTTTAAGTCGGGCCCTGAATTATGAATTGAGGTTAATGTTGTGATACTCCAGGAACCCTTGGCTCCCTCACCTTTCCTGCCCAGGCCAGACGCAGTGACGCCAGCTCAGGGGCTGCGCCAGCGGGCGGTACCCACGGTTTCTCTTCCCCTACATTCTTCCAGCAAGGAGCACAGCGACTGGTGTAGGAGCCTGTCACATAGAGAAGTGTCCACACTCTCGGACCATATCTTTAAGCATGCCAAACATATTTAAGATTTTCCCCCCAACTCATTATAAAAAAAGATATTTCTAAGGGCTTGCCGATTTACTTTAGGACCAGAATATTCTACTTCATTGCCAATGATTTTTTTCCTGACAAGGAGTTCCCATTCTCACCCACCCACTCCCTGGTTTCTTCATATCCGCCTAGATCAATGTTCACTCCCCCGAATCGTGCAGGATTTGCTCTTCTCCCGTGGATAGACTCAGTTCTCTGCTGTTTTTCTTTGGCATGTCCACGTCACTCCCTAAATAACCCACTCTCAGTTATTTCACCCAGCCACATGGGTTTTCCTGTTCTCTCTACATCCAGCTCCATTTTCTGACTTCATTTTGCAAAACCATGGACAAAAACCTCTGAGGACTGTAATGGATTCAGAAACAGGAACCAGTTTCCAAATCCAAATAGGAAGTTAGTGTTATCGTGTGAGTTTGCTGCCAGCACCCCAGCATGGGAAGTTACATTCTCCTGCCTGTCACTGCACACACCAGTCATCTCTGTCCTCATTTAAAGTAAGTCTACTTCAGGCTGGACCCAGTGGCTCACACCTGTAATCCCAGCACTTCGGGAGGCCAAGGCGGGACGATCACTTGAGCCCAGGACTTTAAGACCAGCCTGGGCAACAAGGTGAAACCCCATCTCTACAAACTATACCAAAAAGTTAGCTGGGTGTGGTGGCACGTTCCTATATTCCCAGCTACTCGGAAGGCTGAGGTGGGAGGATCACTTGAGCCCAGGAGGTTGAGGCTACAATGAGCTGTGATCACACCACTCCACTCTAGCCCAGGCAGCGCAAGATCCTGTCTCAAAAAAATAAAATAATAAAGTAAGTTTATTTCAGTACCTATTGAAAAAAACAGTAAGAGGCACAAAATCAATCTTTTCCCAAAGGAAACTTTCCACAAAGGGGACCATGGTATTCTACAATGCAGAAATATGGATTCAAGAAGAATCAACACCACCACCAGATAATGGAGAAAGGTGTAAATCAAACTACAAAGCTAAAGAATTCCATTTACAGATGTGGCGTTGGCATTTTATGACTTTGTAAGTCCAAACAAGAAGATAAATACTTGTGCAAAAACAAACAGAGTATAATAAATTACAGCCGAACTTCCATCTTCAACTGTTCCTCTTTCTCTATCTTAAGCTACCTTCTTTTCTAATGGAGAGTTGTGGGCTGTGCAAATACAACCAGACATCAGGAAGCCAGAAGCAGACCAGTCTGCTGTGCTTCATCCCTTCTGGCTGCTGCACCACAGCTGAGCAAACCATTTGTCAAGACAAACAGAAATGTACAGTGAGTAGGAATCTTTGGTGTCTTGCTTGGACTATGAAACACGAAAGCAAGGCTGGCTCCTAACAGCTCACCCTGCCCAGGCCAGGTCTCCTGTTGTCATTTCACAGGCCAGCTCTCAATTTCTCATTCACTCAATACAAAGCTGCTTCAAGATTCCTGAAGCACAAAAGGGCCTCCACTGCTCCACAGCATTGCAGGTGTGGTTCTTCCGCCACTGCCCTGCCTGTGCATGAAAGGCCTGATTAAGACCAAACCAGTGCTCCTGAGGCACAACCACCAGACCTGTGGCTGCCCTCAGGGCTCCACAGAGATGCCCACAAAGAACAGAGAGAGACAAACCTTCCAATTTCCTTCCAAACAGGCAGGCTCAAGCTCGTTACTTGCTTCGCACCTGCAGAACTGGGCCCAAAATAGAGGGGAGTGGAATTTAATATCCATAAAAATCAGTTGTTTATGGTCTCATTTTCAGCTCACAATTATTCTGTTTTCCCCTCTTGGTGGTGGTTTAACATGGCTGTGGCTCTAAGTATAATCCTGCCTCTTGGAGCAGGCTGCAAAGCAGCAGAGGGACGCTCATACAGCACGTTGGGGCCTTCTAATGAACCCCATTACTCGGAAGGCAGCATTTCCATGCAGAGTGAGTCGCCAGCAGGCACTTGGCTTTGCAGGGCTCCAGGTGACCTGTTTGCATTTACATCCAAGGTCCCAAAGTGGGCTGTACAGTTCCTGTTTCTCTACAAAGTGCAGCTTACTAGCAAAAGGGAATAGAATTTTAAATAATGATCAGTGTTTTTACAGGCTGCATTTAGTTTATCTCCCCATCCCACCCAGCATACCCTCCCTGAAAAAACCCACTATGAAATGGCTTCACAAGTTAATCAGTTTGTTTTTATAAAACACTTACAAAAATAATGATGGTTGTCTTCTTACATATATATGTGATACCATTACTTCTTCATCTGATCAAACTCCTAAAAACCAAAGTAATAGTTTGCATAGGTATACTTAATTTTGTGCAAATCTTACTAATATAAGGCCATCTTCAGTGTTTAGGTAGTGTCATGCTGATTAAAGTAAGCTCTCAAGAAATAAGAAAAATTATCTGCATTCCAAATTCTCTCCAAGGACATCCGACTTCCCAGGCAGATAGCTGAGGCTCTGCCGGCACCATAAGGCAACACACGCTGGGGACGACACACGTCCTGGAAGTAAAATCCAAAGGGACAGATGATATGTGCTTTCGTGATGGAGGCAGGAGGAGCTCCATCTTTACTCTTCCTTTATAGAACAGAGGCCAAAATGCAGGAGGCAACAGGACCATTCGCACAGTTGCAGGTGTACAATCTTCCTGTGCTGCTGAACAGCTGGAATTCTGACATGGGGCACTTCCAGACATCACCAGACATCACTGAACCCCAATATCTGCTTGACGTGATCTGAGCTGCAAGAAGAGTAACTCAAAGGGATAGGAGAATGACAACCAAAAAAATATAAGGAGGAAAAACAGAGCAAAGAAAACTGCCAAGGGAGCAACCAGCTTATGAGACTTACATTCTATATATAACATAAGGTGGAAAGGCCCGGCTAGAGAGAGAGAGGAAAGATACAGAAAATTCCCCTCCCCACAAATCAAGTATTGTCAGGAAACATTAAAGTAGAAATCTTTGTAAGCAGCTTTGCATTTAACATTCAGTCAAGACACTAAAACCTTACAAAACAAGAACCTCTATTAAAAAAAAAAAAAAAAGCTAACAGCAGGAGTCCTCAAAGTCACCCAAGATCTTGTAGCACAGAATGGAGTGTTCCTGGGCCAAGGCCGCCAGCTCCTTCAGGAACTCTGGGAAGAGGGCAGCAGCCAGCATGGGGTTCCTCACCGGCAGGGGCAGGTTGGGGGGTGCCTCAGCCACCTTGGTTCTGTGGGTCAGGAAGGGCTGAAGCACTCTTGGAGGTCCATCCAAAAGGTTCTTGCCACTTCCTGTCCTGGAAGCCTCCTGAATGGGATCTGAAAGCAGAAAGAAAACCATCATGGTGTCCCTCCATAGCCTTCTAATCCACCCTCTTCAGTGAAGCATGTGTTTGGGGGCAGAGTTGCTGGAGAGTATCTAGTTATGAGTGCAGTTCCTATAACGGACTAAATCCTGAAGATGCAGCCCTTGTGCACTCCATGACACACATATTTGCCCAACAGATATCCTCCACCATATAGCATCTGATATGAGACTTTCACCCAAAATTCCTTCTAAGGAACTTCATGCAGAAATCATGGCAAGAATATAGGTTTGTCAAGAATCCTCCATGCCAGAATGTGGAAATGGGAGAAACTGACAAAGGCATCTCCTGTCATTGGCTTATTAAGGGGCGATGAGTAGTCCCGCCTGCTCTGCCAGCCTCTCATGCTGGGATGACTGTTCTCCCTTTGCCAGTTAAGCCCTGACAGCACAGCATAGCTCCAGCAGGGAGGCTGGGTGAAATGGGTCACTCCAAGCTCTCTGCAGCGGGTGCTCCAGCCTCTCGGGCTCCCCGGTGACCTCCAGTCTTCTGGCCAGGACCTCCAACGTTTTACATAAAAGGAGAGCGGAAGATTCCTTGAGATCAGCAGAAATAATGGAAGGGAAGGAAGTTGGGTGCTGGAAAGACCAGATTAAGAACTTCCTGCAACCATGGGGAATTAGTAGCAGCAAATGGCTTAGAAGCCTATATTGAAGGAGGGTTCCCATCTCAATTTCAATAACATAGGCTTAAGATGAGTTCAAATTTTAACATATCCAAGTGATTTGCATTTTCCTATCAAATCAGTTTTTACTAATTAAAATGGTTCAACATCCCTATTTGATTCCTGAACATCATCAGCCCTCATATATTTGTAGGAATTATTTATGTCTTCCTCTGCCCCCTACCCAAACAATCTCATTACTCCTTATAAATCATTATATTCAAGTTCTTCATTATTTTGGCTGCTTCTTAGAATTCAGTACCATTTTTCAACACTCTTCTCAGAGTGTTGCTTAACTACAGTACTAAAAATTCTTGACATTTATAGTACTTTCCACATCTCACTACTATAGTCTTTAGTGTTAAAAAAAAAAAAAAAAAACAACTTCCACTTGACTGCTTTAAATATCCTTTTAGATTAAGGCTTATCACAGCTTTAATGCCATAAAGAACTGGAAAAGTTGCTGAGAATCTGTCTTCTGCTACCTTTCAGCAGAAATTCATGTCCCGGCAACAGAGTGAGCACAAAAGTGTTGATGTCACTGAGGTACATGTCAACCTTGGAGAGCACCCCTTCTCATCCCCAACCCTAGCTCAGGCCCTGTCACTCTCCAAAGCGCCCAGCAAAGCTCACAAAGGAAGCTGGCCTGCGTTCCAATGGGGACTGGGACACCATGGACCTACTCCCAGACCGAGACCTGCACTGTTCATGCTTGTTCCTCCACCTGGAATTCCCTGCCCCATTCTCTGCTCACCTAAATCTTACTAGCCTTAGAGGCATTATTTGTACAGTGGTTAAGACCACAGAGTCTGCCACTTGCTGGCTGACCTCAGGCAAATTGCTTTACCTCTCTGTACTTCTATTTCCTCACCTGCCAAAAGCTATTCATAGAGTTGTTATAAGGATTAAATGAGTCAATAGGTATAAAGTACACAGGGACCTCTGAATGGGTGTCAGCTACCACATCATCCTCATCAGTACAGTTGCCACCAACTTCACAATGAATTTCCAGTTTCCTGCCCCCAGAAGTCATTCCTATAGTCTTTATGCCTTCCTCTGCCCTCTACCCAAACAGTCTCATTCTAGCCTCCTCTCCATGTTATTGACCAACTAAGGCCTGCATTGCCCTTCAGCCTCACATTGTTTATGTTTTATCACCTCTGCTAGACTCCAACCTTTCTCAGGGCTGAGCCCTATCTGATAACATGTCTTTAGCAACCCCTAACACACTTCTGTATTCACAGAAGCTAATAAACATTTGCTGAATAAATGAGTGAAGGAACTGATCTCATCAGTCTTCCCTACTCCTGATTCTCCCTGCAGCTGCTCGTATTCCTCTCCCCATTCTCCTTCAAATTCATTCATTCTCTTCCAAATTCATTCATTCTCTTCCCCCCTAAAAAGGGGTTTTGTGACTCATTTGTCTAGCTTGATCTGTGAATAAAAAGTGTCATTGCTAAGGCTCATTTACCCAGTATGAATCCAAGAATCAGAACTGTCTTCACTAATGAAGGCAGAACACCCAGTGAGGGAGACCAGGGGCTGGCTGGGAGATCCATAGCATGATTCCATCAGTGGTGGCAGCACATTGACCCGGGCTCCCCTCCGGGGTCTTGGCCTTTCAGTGTGTCACCAAGCACCATCAAATTCTCCATTCAAAAGCAAGCAGACCCGAGTTATGGTCCCTACCTGGCCACCAGCTCATCATAAAATGTCTGTTTCCATCTCTGTAAACTGGGGCCATTACCTACCTGATCTCCCTTCTAGAATCAGTGCCCAGTAAAAGGGCTCTGAATATAAGTAAATACAGTGAACTGTTACTCTGTGGTTTGGAAAGTATTTGAGTAGAAAGAGAAAGGCATGGCAAGTGGCTGAATCTCAGAGACCAACAGCCTCAAGAATAATAATGTGGAACTGGGAACAGGACGTCCGCTCTCTCTGGAGCAGCGGCCACACAGACTTTTACTGCTGTTGGAAGCATTAGTGAGGAGGCTCGTTTTTCATCGGGGCTGCCAGGAGGTGAAGGGAATGCAGGGCCTGCATAATGGAGCAGCTCTGGCTACAGACGCCTGAGTTACGCCCCTCATAAAAGGGTCCAACAAGCATGCACGAGCACCTGAAGAAAAAGGCAGGACGGAGGGAAGTATAAATAAATGTCAGAATTAGGAATGGCTTCTGAAATGTTGCCCTGGGTCTGAAAAGCTGCAACACAAGGTTTTCAAGACTAATACTGGGAAGATTTCAGAAGTGAGGAGAGAGATACATTATGTGTTCATCTCCCTGGCAGCAGCATTAGGCAAAGGGCAGAGCACACAGACACTTGGAAACCCAAATATTTGGCCCATTACCATAATTCTTCATTGTAAATTGCTCTGTATCCCAGTGAGAACAGGCCTCCCAGATTTGACTCATTTACAGGAAATCATGTCACAGTAAATGCTTCAGAAGTCAGCTTTGTACAAGGGGACAGGAAACTCTCATTCTGTCAGTTAAAGATGCTTTAAGTGGGGGAAGAGTATGACTTGGCTAACCTGGAAAAGTTAGAAAGTTAATCTAAAAAAACTCAAGTAAAAGAAAAATGTTATATCCAGAGAGAAGATTCTTACAGGTCAGAGCCCTGGAGTGTCACAGACCTTACTTAAGGAGCATGGAACCCAGCTAACTAATTTGACAACCTTAGGCAGTGAGAACAAGTTCCCTGGGCACATATTTTGCAATCATGGCCTCCAGACATTCTGAAACCAGGACAAGCCTAAGGTGTGAGTGACCCCCACCCCTTCCCTGAATGTAGGGGTTAAGGCTCAGTGTACCCTGAGTATCTAGTGCACCTCAGTATATCTAGGTTGGTCAGTGTGTACACTCATCTCCTTGAATTAGCTAAGACGGGCTCAGGCACTTGAGTTTCATGATCCTGGTTGAATACCCTGGACCTCTAATTTTGGCTTCCTTAATGAAAATTAAGCTAATGGTGCCTTTTTTGCCCTTTTCAGAGCACTGTTTGATAATGAAAATTGACCGCTTGAGAAAGCCCCTTATAAACTGTAAAATACAATGAAGACCAGGCCTTGTCTAGGAGACTGCAGAATGCCCACAACTTGTTGCAGCTCTTCCCACTCTTCCCATCAAGAGGTGGGGTTTTTGCTCCATTCTTCAATCTGCGCTGGCCCTCTGTCTTGCTTTGGCCAACAGAATGCTGCAGAATGGACCTTACGTGAGCTCCGAGTCTGAGCTTCAAAAGATTTTCTATGCTTCTGCTCTCACTCTTGGAACCCCATTAACTGTGACATGGACCAGCCTGGGCTAATCTGCTGGATGGTGAGAAACACCCCCATCACCTCCATCACTCCAGCCAACAGCCACAGATGTGAGTAAGGCCATCCTAGACATCCAGCCACCCACTGATGGCAGACACACAAGCGAGTCCAGGTAAAATCAGCCTGGCCCAGATCAGCAAAACACCCAGATGACCACACAGATTCATAAGCAATCATAAATGGCCTTGTGTTAAGCCAATGAGTTTTTGCAGTGGTTTATTATACTGGTAATTGGTGTACCTTCTCTCACAGGGTGGGTGGCAGCAGCATGCGCCCTGTTCAGGAGGAACACAGGTCACACACTTACCACCCATGTGTCTAAGGAGGCCACATGGCACCCGAAGTCTACCTTCTCACAGAGATGCCAGGCTTCTTTCCCTCCATGAATGCCTTTGCCTGCTCTTCTCAAAGCCCGACTCCTCGCTTTACCAGTGGCACATGGCCTACCTTTCTTTCAAATCCTAACTTGCAGTACCCTAAGAGCTCATCACAACCCAAGTTCTGGCTTCAGCCGGAAAGCACCTAAGAGATGGAGAACAAATCCTTCATTTAAAAGTCAAGGGACATTGGGCCTGTGAGGTAAAGCAACCAAGATCAAATAGCTGCACAGGGGCAGCATCAGGACTTCAGAGTTCTGGGTTCTTTTCAGCTTCTTTGAAAGGTGGAACAATTGCCCTGAGTTTCATTTCTGCCGCTCACTGCCAGTCTTGTTTCTGATCACTTGCCTTTGGCCCAGGACTGAGAGCCTTACTCTCCCCACTGTTCATCTGCCACAAAGAAGCCTGACTGGTCTGTGTGTGGAAAAGTAAAAGCCAGTGCAATATGGGGCATTCCTGCTTTGCTCCTACCAAGGCCTAAGTCACAGCTCAGGGGACAATGGTCAGCAAATCGGTCCAACCAGAGCTTAAATAAGGTAAAGCAGCAGTGGTGCTCCCAGGCCTGGCCAGCCATCCTCAGCGCTCCTACTAGCACCGACCCATGCCCCCACCCCCACTCCTCACTCTGCCAGGGCCCTGGCCTAACATCTCCTCTAGAGCCCATAAAAAGGCACTCTCAGAGATTTTAGGCTGAGCATAAACTTTACTTCTCCCAGTCCAAACCGTTTTTTTGTTTTGTGTTTTGTTTTACCTCCTAGGGCCCTAAAGCACACTTATTTTTGGCCCAAGAGCCTCTGAAAACATAATAAAGAGAACACATGCCCTCCTCAGAACAGGCTGCCCAAAAAAATGGCTCGGAGAGTGCATATAATGCCTCTTTCTGGCCCATGTGTGCCGTGTGATTTATTCTAGCCTGACAATACCCTACACATCAGCTCCTTGCAGGCACCACTCTCAGTTAAAAAAACAAAATCCCCTCTAGACCCTCCACAGAGGAAACAGGCCAGGTGTGAGCAAGGCAGACCTTTCTTTAGGTTTAAGAATGCTAAGAGGTGGTTCCTCCCTGTTGCATAAAAATGAAAATATCTCTGAATGCTTCTAGGATCCAGAAGCCAGTGCAGCATCTGTGAACTGAGGCCAGTAGGCCAGGGACGTGGAGGAGGAATTTAAGGAGGGGCGCTGTGGAGAAACCTGGCTTACCTTTGGTTAGTGCTGCAGGGGTCATATCAGACATGTCCACACGGAAGAGCAGGTACTGCTGAGCTTGAATGAGGAGCCCTGGGAAGTCTCTCTCCACAGAAGCAAACTGTTCAATCTTGTTTTTCACAGATGCAAGGACCTGTCAAAAACAGCATTACTGATGTTAATGCCTCACCATGAAATTCCACTCCCAGTTATCAATATATCTTGCAGGTAGCACCCTCATTATGGGAACTATTATGATGTTAGACATTTGTTCATTTTTAACTGCCTGGGTGTTCTGCGTAGGGCACCGTCAAAACATCAAACTAAATGAAGCTCTACAGTTTGTCTAGAATAAACTACACAGTGAGCTTAATAGGACAGGGAAGGAAAGCAAATGAATTAGAGCAAAGGAATTTTTGAAAAACAAAATAAAGAGAAATAGATGCCCTGCAAATTAGCACCCACAAAATCAACAGGTGTGGATGTGGGTTCAGCTAACATACCTGATAGAGAGAGCGGACGCTTGGCTGGAAGACCATGTTGGTGTTGAGCAGAAAGGAGCGCAGGAGTGGCTGGGGGTAGCTGGCTAGCTGAGTAATGATCCCGATAAGCAGCAAATTAACATGTAAAGAGTTCTCCAGCATGTTCTCCAGCTTTGACAGGACTACGCTGATGAATGGGCCTGCAGGAAGAACACAAGGCTTCAGGGCTGGCTGGGCTCACAGGGATGCCTTTCCCTGACAATTGCAGAACCATCGGTGCCACATCTCCCAAACCACCATGGGCCCACAGGTGCAAGCCAGACACAGCAAATATGGCCACGTTTTCTCCTGCCTCAAAACCAAAACGGAAAACAAACCACCATGGCAAAAAGAAAACAGAAAAATAGGCATGGCTACTGACATTTTCACTCCATGAGCAGTTTTGATACTTATTAAAATTATCACAGATCTCGGGAAAAAAAAACAAATAATTTAACTTTTTAAAATTAAAATATGCTTTTCTACATCATTCCTGTATTTCTTGGGGCTGCCAATGCTTAAAACATGACAGCCATCATCTCATGATGCACAGACTGTATGGACGGTAGGGTTTCATGTAAGCACCAAAGGCCATTAAAAGTCTTAGTAATGAAAAATTCTCTGTAAAGAACACCAAAAACGCACAAACTATGTTTATCAAATAGCAACACTGTCAACAGGGGTTGCCTATCCTGAACAAGCACACTGAGAAAAATTTGGTTTTGTCAAGTGTCGTAATGTGGAACAATAAAAAAAAATAGGTGAGAGGTGGAGGAGCCCCTGCTTATAATCTTAGTAGCCTTAGCAACTCGGTAACCACACGTGAATTTTCAGAGGAGAGAGAAAAGGGTGTCAGTTTTGGGAGATACAGTTCGGCATGTCACAGATTTCTTAAAAAATAAAATCCGTATGACTACAAAAGCAGTCATTTTAAAAAAGCAGTTAAAAAATTAGTCATACAAAAGCGGTCCATTAAGAAAAATAGGCAAAAAGAAGTTTCTGCTACTTTGGGTCACTAGAAAATTAATATGCTTTGAGTTCATTGAGGGCAGGGGAAAACCAAAAATAAATCTGGCATTAATAAACTTACTTGAAGATACTTTAAATTTTTACCATAAAAGTGTTCTGTTAAACACAATCAATGAGAATTTTGCATTTCCCTTGGTGGAGCTATTGATGATGCTACTAAACCATGGCATGTTTACAACGAAAGCACACATCCCTTGATATATAAGCCATGCCTTATGAAGATGTCACCAACATTAATACGAGTTTAACAAAAACATACTTCATCACAAGATGCTTCCTTCATTCAGAAGCCCTGGTAGCATAAGAGAGTAAAACCCTTTGCAAGGAACAGAAGCTCTGTGTGTGGAATGGGAACACCAAACCGAAACCTTTACCACACAGGGGAGGAACAGGGTAACTGCAATATCCCTGTCTCCAGGAACACTAAGGATGTCTCTAAGGGATCTCAACATGAGGCACCATCCCCTCATGTGTGGCATTTAGCCTCAACTTCCCCATCCTTGGGACGGGAGGCAGAGGTCTTTAGTCACTTTCCATGACATAAGAGGTCAATGAACTCTTCAGATAGAGACTCTTTGAAGATGCTTAACAAACAACTGGGAGACTTGCCAAACACATTTGGAAACTCTGGATAGGGACCCCAGTTTGAAAGCAACTAATGGTTTTCCCATAAAGAACCCCAGAAATGTCAATGGCAACTCTTAAGGCATCGCAACACAATTCGGCCTTCAAGGTAGATCTAGAGGGGGAAGGCTGCTGTCCTCAGCTTCCTCTCACCTGCTCCCCCGCAGTCCCTGGCTTAGCATCTATTTCCTTCCAGATGGAGCAAAAGCAGGTGAATTAAGACATACTTAGGTGGGCAGAGTCTTCTGTAAAACATATGACCATAAAATGATCCTTCAACTTCTCTTCCCCAGTCCCAGACTGTGCCTTCCCCAGTCCCAGACTGTGCTTGGCCTACAAACTCTAAACTGCTGACCATGCAGTGACCAGGGGGGACCATCCACAGGACATCACTACTATAAGGGGTGAGGTGGGGGGGCACATGAGCTTGAATCCCATGCCCTGTGGAGAGGAAGATCATGTCATCACTGACCTAGGTGAATGACGGAATATCATTAGGTCAAGGCCAGTAGACTGTAATGATACAAATGGAGTCCACTTTGACATTATAATTAGCATCTGCTAATGAAATGACTCATCACTCCTTGGGCATGTGTAATTAAAAATGTATTAAAACTTTCAAATTCCTACTTTATTCTTAGTTTCTAGCACTAAAAAAAAAAAAAAACCCTGCTTAACAAAAAATGTGAGGGGGATCTGGTAAGCAGCTGAAAATCAAAAGGCTCAGCACAATTCAGGAAGCCGCAGGTGTTTCTGGAGGACAGCAGTTTTATTTTCTTCCCACATCTCCTAAGAGGACAGATAGACTCCCCACCTCACAAAGTATTACATTCTTCAAAATCACTGAGACTCTCTCCACTGCCCCTCCTGTCATCCACTCACCGCTCTCCCGTTCCCCTGCCTCCATCGAGCCTGCACCCTCTTCCTGCACTTCCCCTGTCCAAGAATGGAGCGGCCATTGATTCCGTGCCTCCCTCGGCAAATTCTACCCTGGACATATCTCTGATGTGGACCTGAAGCTCCACCTCCCCTGCTCCACTGCCTAAGGTCAGTCTCATTTCCGGTCTGGACTCCAGCAACAGCATTTCTATGTTAATAGAGATTTAATTATTACTGAAAACATTTATTAATAACATCCTACCTGCCAGGCAATGTGCTAAGTACTTTTCATGTATCAACTCACTCAAGATTCAAAACAACCCTAGGAAGTATATTTATTATTTATCCCCATTTAAAGAGGAGGCAGAATGCTAAGTGAACCCAGCTTGTGAATAATAGAATTTTAATTCATACCACCTGTTCCAGTGCTCTTACCCAATGCATTATCTTGCCTGCCAAGGAGAGAGAGGGAGAGGGAGGGGGAGAGAGAGAGAGAGAGAGAGACACACACACAGAGAGACCTAGTATTTTTAACAATACACCCTAGAGACCACACCTCGTGTCAACACATACAGAGCTGTCTCATCTCAGGACCACAAAATATTAGATTGCTAGGGTGTTGCACAAGCAAGTCAGTCTCCTACTGGTGGGCATTTAGGTTGTTTCCAGTCTTTTCCTATTCTAAACAATGCTGCAATGAACATCCCTGTATGTACACCTTAGCACACAGTGTGAATACAGCTCTGAGGACATTCCTAGAAACAGAATTACTAGATAAAAGCACTGGCGCATTCTGAATTCTGACACGGCAATAAGGGTGTCTCACTTGTTTTTCCTGGCACCAACCTCTCCCCACTCCAGTGCTCTCCCCACACTCCTACCAAAGCTGGCCTTTTCAGATCCAGTCACATCATTCCTCAACTTTAAACTCCAGGGCCTTCTTCAGTGCCAGGGCACAAGGTTTCCATTCCTTGGCTTGGCCCAAAGGCTCTCCATAAGCTGGCACCAACCAAGCTTTCTGCCCTTCTCTCCCACCTCCCCACCCAATGCGGTCATACCCCACAGGCTGGCAGGCTCTTCAGTCTCCTCCTGGTGTCTCCTCTGCCTGGACTATCATTCTCACCTGCTTTCACCTGGGGACTCCCCTGCACTGTCCATGCCCCTCCTCTGTGAGGCCATTCCCACTCCCCTCACTGGGTTCCCACTGGTCTTGGCATATGACAACTAATCATGCATTTCCCACTAAGAGTACACTTCTTTGTTGGGGTCTCCTCTAAAAGTCTGTGAATTCCTTTAATGTTGTGTCCTTATTTCCTAGCATAGAACCTGCCAAACTTCAGGGGATCAATAAAAGATTGCTGAACACATGAATAAATAAAATTAGACAAATGGAATGCTTTGATTTTGCTGGGAAGTGAACTCATTTCAGTAGAAATCAGATGCCCTGGAGAGAAGAAGTTAAGCCTAATGCTACAGAACACACTCAGAAGTTTGGAAACTATAAAGCACACATACATGGAAAGAGAGATGTTTCCTAAAGCTGTGTATAAGGTTCAAAAGAGGAAAAAGGAAGGTTTTAGTGACAATTACCTGTATGTATCAAAGAGCTTGTAGTATGTTTTGTCAGTTCTCAGGTGTATTATATGTAAAATATTGATGTTATTTAATAAGGTGTTGGATTAGCTTTTTTTTTCCTTGCCCTGAGCTATACTTTCTTTCCTCTATTTACACATTTCCCAGGAATGAAGCTCCTCTGTAAGAAAGCTGCCATTCTAAAGAATAATCTTCATGGCTATGGATAGCCCAGATGTCCTATGAGAAGGCAAGCTGTGACATGCTAAGTTACTGCTGCCCTTTTCCCTTCAAGCGAACTCTTCCAACTCCCCCTTCCCTGTCCCCCTTATCAACTGGGAAAAGTGGGATTATCTAATCCATTTTACTTATGATTGACTGACTGATTGAATTTTAATTAAAACTCATTCAGACTGAAATGTTATCTCAACTAGAACTGCAAGCCTTTAATTGTGGAATTAAAAGCTTTCTTCCTGTATATACAAATCTTCAGGCATCAGTAAATAGATGAATAAATACTGGAGGAGGAGGCTGGAAGAGCTCCTTGAAATCACATAAACCTACTTGGCTGGCTGGACCAGAAGGCAATCTGTTTTCATCTATTTTGGGTTACTCCAAGAGGTAGGAGCACAGTCCCTCCTCACCAGGCTTCTCCTGGGTGCTACGTGTCATAAAATGAATAATGACCTCCCAGTATCTCATTCAGTCCTCACAGGAGCAAATGGAGGGCCTGGGATGCTAAAGCCACATGCTGCTAAATGCTAGAACCAGGACTCAATCCCTGGCCTGGTCCAAGGCCACTGTCACCCTCCATTGCTACTATCTTCCAGCCCCTCTCCTTGCTACCTGAACACCATCCAGTGGTCCCACCCTGGCCTTCCCTGAGCTTAGTGAGCCCTCTCATCTATGGCGATTCCCTCTGCACCATGATTTGTAAATGCAGATTTTGTTGGCTAATATTTAATGATGTTTTCTATCATAATTCCTCATCCTAATCTGCCTATCTTTAAGTCCTATCCTATCCCTTTACCTCTTGCAAGATTTCTACCTGTGGCTGGTAGTGTATCATTGAATATACCCACTCTTTCAAAGAGCTATTAGTTGACGTGGGTCCACTCCACTTATTTTTGGATAAAGATTTTGTGATTCTCTGAAATGAGCTCCCAGGCAAAGGCACAGCTAACCCCAATGCCTCTGATGTGTGCACAGCTACTGTCACCCAACACGGACTCTGAGCACCTATTCTGTGCTCTGTTCACTCTTCCAGTGCTAGGGAAAGAGCTCCACCCTCACAGAGCATACATTCTACTGGGGGAGACAGTCATTTGTTAAAAATAAATGTAAATAAGTGCTAAGGAGAAAAATAAGTTAGTTACGCTAGAATAAATGAAGTCATTAAATAAGACGTCTGGATTCTTGTGTGGTTTAATCAGCCCTACTGTTTTAACACTGACATATCAAAAGAAGTTACTAAGTAATAAAATCTAACCTCTAGCTTGAGAAATAAATAAGATAATCATTACAAGAATGGAAAAATAAAAATAAAGCCACCCCTCTTTGATCTTTACAAAAATATTTGCAGCCCTCTGTTAGACAAACCGATAATATCCCTTACCTTTTCCTACCTTCCTTTCCTGTTCCAATATATACAAGTACTTTCGAAAGCAGAAACCACAAAGCAATTTAAGATGGTCACCTGTGAATGGGGTGCTTTGAGTCCTCACGGGATGGCGACTGGCAAAGGCAGCCTCATCTCTCCCCACAAATGGGGAAGGCACAGTCTCTACAGCAGGCATCTCCGCTATAAAAGAGTCAAAGTCATCCTCCTCATCTTCTAGCTCCTTCTTCCCCTCCTTCTCCTTTTCTCCTTTACTCTCTTCCTTCCCTTCTTCCTCCTTAGTGAGAAGCAAGGGATCAGGTGTGGGGTAATTCTGTTCCATCAAGCCCTCGGCGCCGGAATCCAGCTCTTTAATGATTTGGTCATACTGGGCAATGAGCTCCTCGCTCTCCGGGTGGGCGGCTGTCAGGTTAGAGCTGTGCTCTGCCTCAGGGGCAGGGGATGCTAACTCTGAGTTGGATTCTGGGGCTGCTTCAGGTTCCCTCTCTTGCTTTGGCTCCTTGGGCTCACTGTGAAACGGGTCTGAATTGTCCCTATTCCACTCCTCCTCTGAATCTGTCTCTGGCTGGGTGCTGAGGAGGGGGCCGTTGTTGATGGGGACACTCTGAACTTCAGCCTGGGCTTCAGCTGGTGGCCTAGCAGCTTCCTCCTGAGAATCCTTCATGTCCTCGGAGTCCTTCTCAGCACACAGCCTGTACACCATCACATCATCCTGAAAGTCCGACTCTTCTATGTAGGACCCTTTGAAGAGCAGGAGGGCATTCTTCTTCATCTCCTGGATGTGTTTGGGGGGATCAATGGGTGCTGGGGGGCCTGAAACCTCCAGATCATCATAAGGCCCTGGGGAGCCCACGTCAGCCCCTGAGGAGATTCCAGTGTCATAGCTGTCATCCCATTCCAGCTCTGTCTGGCTCTTGTCCTTTCTGGGAGCCAGCTGAGGTCCTGTCTTCCTGGGGAGTTGTTGCGGGAGCCCGAACACAGGGCAGGCCGAGCTCACACTGCCCTCCTCCGTCAGACTCTGGAGAAACATCTCAGGGTCGGGGGAGTCGCCATCATACAGGGCGGACCAGACACGGCAGTCCCTCATGCAGCGGAGGATGTTGGTGTGGGCCTCCCACAGGTACTGCAGGTAGCTGATGTCCAGGGCTTTCCCATACTCCACAATGCAGGCTGACTCGGAGAACGCTTCGGGGAATGGCCGCTCCACAGGCCCTGCACAGGAGGCAGAGGCTGGTTAGAACAAGGGAGGTGTGGGGACAAAGGTAGTGGATGGGGTTGTGACCCATTCGGGCTAAGACTGTGTCTTGCCAGCTACTTTGGGTCTAATTATATCTGATTAAAATGACCTCTGAATAATATGGTTAGATTGTAAGAAGGAAAGATTAATAATAGAAACTCTACCCTCACGGAAGATAGAAAACCAATATAGCCAGTCAGATAGTGGCTATAGCCGATGGAAATCTATTATCTGGTACGAGTCATTAGAGAAAGAAGAGCTGATGATCGCAATCTCTCAGGTTGTTGAGAGGATTAAATTAGGTAATACACCTGATATAGTACCTGCCACAGAGTAATAACCTTAAAGTTTTTTACTTTGAATCTAAAGCGGAAGGCTGGTAATCCATGAATCTGAGAACCAGACGTTTTGTAGAAAAATCCTGGGTTTTTAGAAAAGCCTATTAACTCATTCTGTCTTCCTGGGGACTATCAGGGATGTTGATATTATCAAATGGTCTCTTAGAGTAAAATCATATTCACTACAAAAGTCATTTTAACCCAAGAATGCTGCTTATGTTACCATGACTGCCTCTGATGTTAAAAGTTCCAACTTCACTACTGAAATAGCTGCGAAAATATCTTCCTATGAGTTTACATTTTCCCTCAAGAGAAAAAGACTGAGGGAAAAATATATAGTCTATCATTTCTTAAACATCTAGTAGGCTGCAGGTGCTTTATCAATGCTATCTGAGTTAATTCTCCCAATGATCCTATATGGTAGATATTATTTTCTCCATTT